>NC_000024.10:9453713-10053713 GCF_000001405.40 Homo sapiens | reverse complement strand
TGACCTGCAAGTATACATCCAGATGGCCTGAAGCAACTGAAGATCCACAAAAGAAGTGAAAATAGCCTTAACTGATGACATTCCACCATTGTGATTTGTTGCTGCCCCACCCTAACTGATATGATATATTCTCCCTCTCCCTTGAGGAGGTACTTTGTAATATTCTCCCCCGCCCTTAAGAAGGTACTTTGTACACCTATCCCAAACCTATAAGAACTAATGATAATCCCACAACCCTCAGCTGACTCCTTTTTCAGACTCAGCCTGCACCCAGGTGAAATAAACAGCCTTGTTGCTCACACAAAGCCTGTTGGTGGACTCTCTTCACACGGACATGCATGACATGTGGTGCTGAAACGCAGGACAGGAGGACTCCTTCAGGAGACCAGTTACCTGTCCTTGCCCTCACTCCCTAAGAAGATCCACCTACGACCTCGGGTCCTCAGACCAACCAGCCCAAGAAATATCTCATCAATTTTAAATTGGATAAGTGGTCTTTTCACTCTTCTCCAGTCTCTCTTGCTACCCTTCAATCTTCCTCTCTCACTACTCTTCAATCTCCCTTGCTCACTACTCTTCAATCTCTCTATACTTCCAATTCTAATTCTTTTTCCTCTCTAGTAGAGACAAGGAGACACATTTTACCTGTGAACCCAAAACTGTGGTGCCAGTCACGGACTCAGGAAGAAAGTGTTCCCTTGGTGTTTAATCACTGCGGGGATGCCTGTCTGATTATTCACCCACATTTCATTGGTGTCTGATGACCACAGGGATGCCTGCCTTGGTCATTCACTCACATTCCCTTGGTGGCAAGTCAATTGCAGGGACACCTGCTTTGGCTGCTCACCCACATTGCAGCCCAGGGCTGCTCACCCCCTTCTCCATGTTTCTTCCTTTATCTTTAAACTTACCTCCTTCGCTATGGGCAATCTTCTACCCTCCATTCCCCCTTCTTCTCCCTTAGCCTGTGTTCTCAATAACTTAAAACTTCTTCAACTCACACCTGACCTAAAACTTAAGTGCCTTATTTTCTTCTGCAATACCGTGTGGCACCAATACAAACTCGACAGTAGTTCCAAGTGGCCAGAGAATGGCACTTTCAATTTGTCTATCCTATAAGATCTAGATAATTTTTGTCAAAAAATGGGCAAATGGTCTGATGTGCCTGATGTCCAAGAATTCTTTTACACATTGGTCCCTCCCTAGTCTCTGCTCCTAATGTGACTAATCCCAAATCTTTCTTCTTTCTCTCCTGTCTGTTCCTTCAGTGTCCATCCCAAGCTCTGAATCCTTTGAATCCTCCTTTTCTATGGACTCATCTGACCTCTCCCCAACTCCCCAGGCTAAGTCAGGTTCCAACTCTTCCTCAGCCTCCACTCCCCCACCTTATAACCCTTCTATTTCCTCCCCTCCTCACACCTGGTCCAGCTTACACTTTTGTTCCACAACTAGCCCTCCAATATCTGGCCAATAATTTCCTCTTAAAGAGGTGGCTGGAGCTAAAGGCATAGTCAAGGTTAATGCTCCTTTTTTCTTTATCGAACCTCTCCCAAATCAGTTAGCATTTAAGATCTTTTTCATCAAATATAAAAACCCAGCCCAGTTCATGGCCTGTTTGGCAACAACCCTTAGCTGCTTTACTGTCCTAAACCCAGAGGGGCCAGAAGGACATCTTATTCTCAATATGCATTTTATTACCCAATTGGCTCCTGACATTAGAGAAGCTCTAAAATTTAGATTCTGGCCCTCAACCCCACAACAGGGCTTAATTGACCTCACTTTCAAGGTGTACAATAATAGAGAATAGTTGCAATTACTTGCCTCCTCTGTGAGAGAAACCCCAGCCACATCTCCAGCACACAAGAACTCCAATACACCTAAACCGCAGGGGCCAGGCATTCCTCCAGGACTCCCTCCCCCAGGATCTTACTTCAAGTGTTGGGAATCTGGCCACTGGGCCAAGGAATGCCCACAGCCCAGGATTCCTCCTAAGCTGTCTCCCAATTGTGCAGGACCCCACTGGAAATCAGACTGTCCAGCTCACCCGGCAGTCACTCCCAGAGCCCCTGGAACTCTGGCCTAAGGCTCTCTGACTGACTCCTTTCCAGATCTTCTCAGCTTAATGGCTGAAGACTGATGCTGCCTGATCACCTCAGAAGCCTACAGGACAATCGCAGATGTTTTGAGTAACTCTTGCAGTGGAGGGTAAGTCCGTCCCCTTCTTAATCAATATGGAAGCTACACACTTCATATTACCTTCTTTTCAAGGGCATGTTTCCCTTGCTTCCATAACTGTTGTGGGTATTGATGGCCAGGCTTCTAAACCTCTTAAAACTGTCCAACTCTGGTGCCAACTTGGAATACATTCTTTCCTGCATTCCTTTTTAGTTATCCCCACCTGCCTAGCTCCCATATTAGCTTGATACATTTTAACTAAATTATCTGTTTCCCTGACTATTCCTGGACTACAGCCACACCTCATTGCCACCTTTTCCTCCAGTTTAAAGCTGCCTTCACATCCTCTCCTTGTATCTCCCTACCTTTATCCACAAGCATAGGACACATCTATTCCCTCCTTGGCAATGGATGATGCACCCCTTACCATCTCATTAAAACCTAATCAGCCTTACCTTGCTCAATGCCAATATCCCATCCCACAGCATGCTTTCAAAGGATTAAAGCCTGTTATCACTCACCTGTCACAGAATGGCCTTTTAAAGCCTGCAAACTCTCCTTACAATTCCCCCATTTTACCTGTCCAAACACCAGACTAGTCTTACAGGTTAGTTCAGGAGCTGCACCTTATCAACAAAATTGTCTTGCCTATCCACCTCGTAGTGCCAAACCCATATACTCTCCTATCCTCAATGAGACCTCCCTCCACAACCCATTATTCTATTCTAGATAGACCTAGCTGACCCAATAAATCCTAAATACTTTCCCCACTCCCCTTTCCATTCCTTAACAAACAGCCCTAAAAGCTGTTCCCACACTAGCTCTCCTTAGCTCATCCCAACCTTTTTCATTACACCCATCCAAAGTACAGGGATATGTGGTTGGAATTCTTTCACAAGAGCCGGGACTGCACCCTGTAGCTTTTCTGTCCAAACAACTTGACCTTACTGTTTTAGCCTAGCCCTCATGTCTGTGTGTGGTGGATGCCACTGCTTTAATTCTTTTAGTGGCTATCAAAAATTACAAACTATGCTCAACTCAATCTCTACAGTTCTCATAACTTCCAAAATCTATTTTCTTCTTCACCCCTGACACATATACTTTCTGCCCTCCAGCTCCTTCAGCTATACTCAGTCTTTGTTGAGTCTCCCACAATTACCATTGTTCCTGGCCCAGGCTTCAATCCAGCCTTCCACATTACTCCGGATATCACACCTGACCCCCATGACTGTATCTCCCTGATCCACCTGACATTCACTCCATTTCCCTGTATTTCCTTCTTTCCTGTTCCTCACCCTGATCACACTTGGTTTATTGATGGCTGTTCCACCAGGCCTAATTGCCACTCACCAGCAAAGGCAGGCTACATTATAGTATCTTCCACATCTATCATTGAGACTACCACTCTGCCCTGCTCCATACCTCTCAGCAAGCCAAATTCATTGTCTTAACTCAGTCCCTCACTCTTGCAAGGTGACTATGTGTCAATATTTATACTGCCTCTAAATATGCCTTCAATATCCTGCACCACCATGCTGTATATGGGCTGAAAGAGGTTTCTTCACTATGCTAGGTCCTCCATCATTAATACCTCCTTAATAAAAACTCTTGTTAAAGCCACTTTACTTCCAAAGGAAGCTGAAGTCATTCACTACAAGGGCCATCAAAAGGCATCAGATCCCACTGCTCAAGAAAATGCTTATGCTGATAAGGTAGCTAAACAAGCAGCTAGCATTCCAACTTCTGTTCATCATGGCCACTTTTTCTCCTTCTCATTGCTTACTCCCACCTACTCTCCCCCTAAATCTTCCATATATCAATCTCTTCCCACACAAGGCAAATGGTTCTTGAACCAAGGAAAATATCTCCAGCCTCACAGGCCCATTCTATTCTGTCATCATTTCATAACCTCTTACATGTAGGTTACAAGCCACTAGCCTGACTCTTAGAACCTCTCATTTCCTTTCCATCATGGAAATCTATCCTCAAGGAAATCACTTCTCAGTGTTCCATCTGCTATTCTACCACACCTCAGGGATTGTTCAGGCCCCCTCTTTTCCCTACCCATCAAGTGGGGGGATTTGCCCCTGCCCAGGACTGGCAAATTAACTTTACTCACATGCCCTGAGTCAGGAAACTAAAATACCTCTTGGTCTGGGTAGACACTTTCACTGGATGGGTAGAGGCCTTTCCCACAGGGTCTGAGAAGGCCACCACAGTCATTTCTTTCCTTCTGTCAGACATAATTCCTCAGTTTTCCCTTCCCACCTCTGTATAGTCTGATAACAGACCAGCCTTTATCAGTCACATCACTCAGGCAGTCTCCCAGGCTCCTGGCATTCAATAATAACTTCATGCTCCTTATCACCCTCAATCCTCAGGAAAGGAAGAAAGAACTAATGATTTTTTAAAGCCACACCTCACCAAGCTTAGCCTCCAACTTAGAAAGGACTGGACAGTACTTTTACCAATTGCCCTTCTCAGAATTCGGGCCTGTCCTCGGGATGCTACAGGGTACAGCCATTTGAGTTCCTGTATTAGGCCTTATTAGGCCCCAGTCTCATTCCAGACACCGGCCCTCTAGGTGATTATCTTCCAGTCCTCCAGCAAGCTAGACAGGATATTCACTGAGCTGCTAATCTTCTTTTGCCTACCCCAGATTCCCAGCTATATGAAAACACTTTAACTTGACAGTCAGTTCTCGTTAAAAATCGGACCCCTCAGACTCTACAACCTCAGTGGACTGGAGCCCATTTAGTCATCTATAGTATCCAAATGGCTGTTCATCTGCAGGACCACCACCCACCATTCGGTTCATCATTCCAGAGTAAACCTGTGCCCATCAGACAGTCTGATTTCTCCTCTTCCTTCTGAAAGTGGCAAGTACTCACCCCTACTTCCCTTAAACTCACTTGCATTCCTCAATGATAATAGAAACCCTTATAAGCCTAATACATCCTTTCATTTTTATTAGGTATCTTCTTCCTTACCCTACTCTTTACAACAGGGCTTTAGCCAGTCACCCCCACTACTTGGACTACACCTCAAAAACTTGTCGTCCTTACTATCTTCTGTCTAGTTATACTCCTATTCACCATTCTCAACTACTCATAAGTGCCCTTGCCCTTGTTTACACTGCCAGTTTACACTTTTCCTCCAAACCATCGTAGTGGACATCTCCTGGTACTAACCCGAATCCACTACTCTTGACTCCCTCTTACAGTGGATAGATGATTTTTGCTGACAGGGCGCTCTCCAATACTTTCACCCTGATAACGTCCTATTCTTTACTTTTATACTCACTCTTATTTTTGTTCTGATTCTTATATTCTTATGCCACCCTCTACCTCTCCCCAGCTATCTCCATCACACTAACAATCTCACTCACTCTATCCTAGCCTTTTCTAATCTTTCCTTAACAAACATTTGCTGGCTTTGCATTTCTCTTTCCTCAAATCACTGAGTCCTTGACTTACTCACTGCTAAAAAAAAAAAAAAAAGTTGGGGGGGGGACTCTGTATGTTTTTAAATGAAGAGTGTTGTTTTTACCTAAATCAATCTGGCCTGGTATATGACAACATAAAAAACTAAAGGATAGAGCCCAAAAACTCACCAACCAAATAAGTAATTATGCTGAACCCCCTTGTACACTCTCTAATTCAATGTCCTGGGTCTCCCAGTTCTTAGTCTTTTAATACTTGTTTTTCTCCTTCTCCTATTCGGACCTTGTTTCCATTTAGTTTCTCAATTCATGCAAAACTGTATCCTGGCCATCACCAATCATTCTATATGACAAATGGTCCTTTTAATCACCCCACAATATCACCCCTTACCACAAATCTTCCTTCAGCTTAAGCTCTCCCACTGTAGGTTCCCATGCTGCCACTAATCCCACTCAAAGTAGCCCTGAGTAACATCGCATATTATCTGTCCATACCACCCCCCAAAATTTTTGCCTCCTCAACACTTCACCACTATTTTGTTTTGTTTTTCTTATTAATATAAGAAGACAGGAATGTCAGGCCTCTGAGCCTGAGCTAAGCCATCATATCCCCTGTGACCTGCAAGTGTACATCCAGATGGCCTGAAGCAACTGAAGATCCACAAAATAAGTGAAAATAGCTTTAACAGATGACATTCCACCATTGTGATTTGTTCCTGACCCACCCTAACTGATACAATATATTCCCCCCCCACCATTAAGAAGGTACTTTGTACACCTATCCCAAACCTATAAGAACTAATGAAAATCCCATCACCCTTTGCTGACTCCTTCTTCGACTCAGCCCACCTGCAAACAGGTGAAATAAACAGCCTTATTGCTCACACAAAGCCTGTTGGTGAACTGTTTTCACAGGGACACATGTGACAATAAGCTCTGTTTTCCTTTTTTGGTCTTTTCACAAATATCATGCATGGATCATTCCTGAGACTACTCCTCTCTTGATCCTTTGATAATATATTTTTCTCTGATATTCCTTTGTGTGTCATCCCGGGTTTATATGCCCACAGATACATCAGTCACTCTCCTGGCACTGTTCTGTAATAGAGAGGCCTGGCCCCTGGGAGGCATGGTTCCTAGGCTCCCATAAAAATTACTTCCTGTTTCAGTTCAGTCGAGGTGTGACACTGCAGAGATTAGAGAACAAGAAAAGGAGAGAAGCCAGTGTGTCTCCCTCTCCTCAGCAGGGGATATATTTCTGTGCAGTGATTCATGGCCTGCAGGACATGATTTCTTTGTTTCCATTTTCTATTTAGTAACCCTAATCCTAGATTCTTCTAATGCCATTTCCTCCAATTGTCTTCTCTGAAGAATTTGAGTATTATTTTTGGAGATTTAAATAAAAAATATTGATAGGGAAGGGGAGAAGGGAAGTGCTGGGTAGAGGAGGGCATGGTCCTTGGCTAGGGCTCCACCCTCAGGCCTGTGCTCACTGACCTACTTGAGGACACGCACTTCTGTTTTCTTGCCCAAATGTCGCATTTCCCAAGACCACCCTGGCCTGCCACAGCTCCATCCTGTGATATAAGAAACCTGGAGACCCTAACAGGCAGTGACAGCAGCTGGGCATCAAGAGGAACCATCAGCAGAAACAGACACAGCAACTGGACCTCAAGAAGACAACAGAGGAAGGAGAGCACAAGGACTGAGGCTGCAGTCCATCCACCTCAGAAGAACGCGGAGTTCCACAGAGCTGTGGGAGGAGACTGCTGAGCTTCCCCATTCCAAGAGAAAACCACCTTCCCACTTCATCTTCCTTCTGGGTCCCCATCTATCTGCTGGGAACTTCCAGTCAATGAAACCTTGTACTTCTTCTCCAAGCCCACCTGTGAGCCAATTCTTCAGGTACAACAAGGCAAGAAACCCGGGGATTCAGACAGCTCTCTGTCTTTACAGTAAGCTAGGGTGCCTAACTGAGCTAGCACAAATCGCCTACAGATGGATAAACTAAATTAACACTGTGTAACACATGCCTGCTGGGGATTCAGGAGCTGTAAACATTCACCCCTAGACGCTCCCTGGGATCAGAGCCCCACAATCTGTCCTCATTGCATGCCCCCGGGGAAGAGATAAGGGATATTTTCCCATTTCAACATGAGTCTGTTTCCAATGCAGTGTGCTTTCTATAATACTGCAGTGTTACCGCATATATTTGACAAAATAAGTTACAAATTATAAGTAATGTGAGAAGAAAATAAATGGTGGAGAATAAGGAAGAAAATGAAACATTCTTGCAGTAAGGAATGTTTTTTACTTCATATAACAGAAAAAGTAAGCATGAATTAAACAAACAGGGATTTCTGTTTTTCACATGTGAACTGTCCATAGTTAGGCAGTTGCTGCCTTTGATCAGCTGCTCTGCTGTATGGTAGTAGCAGAGCTGCATGGTAGTAGTAGTGATATTTTCGCTATTTTCTCCAAGATGAAACCTAGCTGAAATTCAACACCATTTTGGGTCCAGCTGTTCCTAGCCAGCTTTCTGGTTTTCCTCAGTCTTATCAACTCAGAGTTTATGCAACTATTTTAATAGTGGATTTTTGCTAGTCGTGTGAAACAGCTGCCTGAGATTTTCTATGCTCCTGCAGTCACCTAGTAATTTTGCTGTGTCAAATTACCTTGCTCATTTTTCTCCTCAGGACACTTTAGGATGTTCTTTAGCTGATTTTTAAAAGAGCATTGGTAAACCAGTTTCATTTCCCTCGAATACTTCTGAGAATTACTGAGAAACTTATACAAGTCTCAGCTAAACACCTGGCACTGGACCACTGCCCATTCAGCTGCCTGTTATTGACTTATATCCTTAGATAAGATCCCCCAGGCAGCAACTGCATGTGTCCGCCTGCCTCCACTTGGTGTCCTAAAGACCAACATCTAATGTTCAAAACATTTTAAATCTTAGATATAGCATAAATGGTTTATAGGATACAAAACAACAATTGGACACAAGAGATTGAGTCATTCTTTTTTGAACTCTTGTTTGTAATTATTTTGTAGTTTGTCTTATTGGAAATCAGAGACCCAGAGAGTAGAAACAGTGCTTCCTCTACATCCACCCTAATGTATCTCAAACATCTGTCTCATCACTTGCTTTGTATGAGATGTCCATGTATGAGCTCCCATAAAATGTTGCATAATTTATATATGCAAATGTTCCTGCAAAACAATATTAATTCTTAAAGATAAATTCACATTCAAAAGTAAAGATTTTCAAAACCAGAAATTATTTATAGAAATGCTACATAAAGTGGCATAATTTTGATAATGTGGAAATGGAAATTCAGACAAACTTTCACATTGTTACTGAGGGTACTTTTTCTTGAAGACCGGTAGTTCTCACTATCTGCATTCCAGGAATATTTTTATTATTTTTTACCATCTCATAACCAAATGGCCCACTAGGTTAGATTTTCCATGATAGAGTGTTTGGCTAAAGAGTCAGTAACTCTTGCAACAGTGAACATCCTTAGATGTAGACTATTTAAAAAAAATTCTGTTTCAGCAGCAATGACTGGAAAATGTAAGTAGGTATTTAATTAAAAACTACTCAATTTCCCTTTGAATCAAATTATGGGTTGAAAAGTGCCAAGAAACACATGGTGTAATCATAAAGTCTTGTAGTCCATGTTGGGACCACAAGGCTAAAAGTGGTATCCTGAAATCCAGAATATAGAGGGCTAAGGGGAAGAAGCAGCTGCTATTTCAGAAGATAAGACTTAGTTACATTAAGAAAACTATTCCTGATGATGAAGATGACATCTTCACAGTTTTAATATATGAATTTGGAAAAATTAAGCATATAATTCTGAGATACCTGGCTTTTTATTTACATCAAATTACTATTTTTTAAAAATCAATTGTGTATATTTTTAATTCTAATTTTTCTGCAGTTAAGAAATATGCATCAGTAATTGTTAGTATATTATCTCCATTAGCTATAGAAGAAATTCCAAAAGAATTCAATAATGCCATTTAGATGTTTCAAACAGAAAATTAAATTAAAAGTGGTTTGAATTTTTAATCAATCACTGGAACCAAAATAAAGCTGCTGAAATATTATTGTGCCAGAAATAAAACACTGGACAATGTAATAAATGTTTATTAATGTTCAGATAAAAAGCTAAACATTATTGGTAACTTTTATTGGTGACAAGAAGAAGCAACTTTGGAAAAGTTTGCAAGTAACTTCATTTAAAAATCAATATAAAATTAAAAGAAATGCATTTTACAGAAAAGAACTATGGATAATTATTGTTAAGAAATGGATTAATTCATATAAATATGTTCCAGAATCATTATTCTGCCTACTATTTCTAATGTTCAAATAATAAATGTAAAAAAGTTATTTTTCTGTTTTGCTTCAAGATATGTAATTGTGGTTTTAAATTTCCGAAGGGATTTCATTTTCAAAAATAGTTGGAAGATAACTATTTCATAGATCCATTGAAATAGTGAAGACAGTTTGTCTATAAGGAAATCACATATTAAATAATAAATAATTTTGTATATGTTAGTACTCTTTTATTCTAAAAAAAGTTTCCCTTGGAGCACTAAAGGTTTTCATCACCCTAATTTTACTAAATATCATTAGACAGTCCTGTGGATTGGTGGAAAAAAATTACCATTCTTTACACCCTTGACTACACTCAGTATTATTATTTTAATAGTTGCCAAGCTAATGAATGACAGTTGGAACCTAATGTGGCTTTGATTAATATCCCCAAATTACTAATGAGCTCAAGCATCTAGCCATTTTTCATTGGTCATTTGACTTCCTTCTTTTCTAAAAAGGATCTAACTATTTACCTGTCCTGCTTTCTTCAACTTGGCTAGATTGTATATATATTTTTTCTTATATATCTGTAAGAGTTATTTTGAATATTTTGGATACTGGTATTTTTATTTATATTTTTCTTAATGATTTTCTGGTGTCTTATAAACACCCACGACAATTTTTAGAACTTATGATCTGAAGATTTTCAAAAAGCTAACTCAGACCTCATTTGTGGGCATAATGCTATCTTCAAATGAAAAAATAATTTTTCCACTTTAGCAAAACATACTTTAAAGATACTAATTAGAAAGCACTTAAGTGCTCAATTCTACCCTTTTAATAAAACTTGCATTTAAATATTCATTTCAACAAAATCCTTTACCCTTATAGTAAAAACGAATTATTAAATGTTGATTACCTAGCTCCTGAATGGTTTTCTAAATATTTCACAGTTGTTCATTTTGGTAATAATCACTTAGCATACTTGTTAGAATTGCTTGTTCTCCAGGTCTCATTTCAGATGATTGAACCAGGATTTTGAAGGAAAATAGTATCTGCATATATATTTTATGACCCACGTTATTATTTGGGGATGTTTGTGAAACTCTGGTCTGACACATAAGAGAAAGTTAAACAACAATGACAAACAAACAAAAGCAAACCAAAAAAAAAACAAAAAAAACAAAAAAACAAAAAAAAACAAAACAAAACACACACACACACACACACACACACACAAAGAACATCAAGCCAGGAATCAGGAATAAATACCTTATCTTTTCCTAACTCCAGCCTTCTCAAGTCATATGGCCTTATCTTCTTTTTCATTCTTGGTAAATACTACTCCAAGACGTAGCACTTCACAGTAGTAATTAACCTGTTAGTTTGCAATTTAGCAAAAAATATGAAACCTGTTTCTGAACATTTTCTTTAGGATCCTATTTCTAGCTATGCACCACGTGCCAGTTAATGCTATGTATGGCTATAAAATAACAGTATTTAACAAAAATATTTGATCACTGGGCAAAATTACTTCTGTAGATGATCCACTGCTACTAAGATTACATGGACAATTTGGAGACTGTACTGACATTTTGAATTTCATATATTCATGGAAGATTGGAAAGCATCTTCAGATGTCATTGTCTACAATGATAATAGTTAATATTCACATCAACTTCCAAATTTTTCTGTGTTAAAGCAGGTGTGCAGGTATTGGATGAACAGGTAGGCCACTGAAGCATAACTGTGGTTAAAGTTGTAAAAGTTTTGGCGAAATTGCACATAACAACATCTCCACAGAAAATTTAGATTATGGCTCAGCTAGGAGATGTTGAAGATAATGATGTTTTTTATTCTTAATGATCCCCTAGCTGGTTCTTAAAGGGAGATAGCACAATATTGTGGGAAGAAGTAGTTTTGTAATCTGAAATTAGACTTTAAGAGAAGTTAATTATTTTGAGACCCAAATTTCAGATGTATGAAGTGGGGTCTAAAATATCCAGTACCTGAGAGTGTAGTTATAAAGATCATACAGTAAAAACTCATTCTATTTGCCTTGTACTTTTCTGTAAAACAAAGCCATCATTTAATTGTGTTACTCAGTATAGCTTCATGTGGGCATTTTTAAGGAATATTTGTCACTTGATAAATAAAATAGTAACACTGGCAGAGAATGGTACTTACTCCAACATTGACATTACAGAGCTCCAGCTGTTCTGTAAAGAAACTGACATGAATTGAAAAAAAAAAGTGGATGATTGAAGGTTACTTAGTGGCCATTCTTTATTTACTAAGACTGTAATTCTCGGAGAGGACACACAACCTGTGAAGAGTTAGATGTGACAGATGAAGAGTCATTGAGAAAACGCTGCCTCAAGGATCATCCTCTACATTTCTAGCTTGAAATACAGGGTATTTGGTGCTGTGAATTTCTGAAATTGTGGAATACTGTAGGAGGAAACATGTTTCAGGGATGAAATGAAGGTCTGGTTTTGGTTTGTGGAGATGTAAGGCATGCAGTTGGTTATGCCAAATCTGAATGTCAGAACAAAGATCTGGCCTGAAATTGGGAATTTGTTAATGGTCAGCATAGAAAGGGTGTTTTAGCAATGAGAAAACCCAAGAGGATCCATGACCGAGATCTGAATAACTTCAACACATACAGATGTAGTAAAGATGCCAACAAAATACAGACCAAGTTCATATTAAAATTAATGAGAAATGACAAACTACTTAGTGAGAGGTAGTCAGGCTACTAGCTTTTAGCTAGCTATTAGCTAGCTAATTTGGGAAAAAATAAAATGCCTAAAGAACCTTTTATCAGGTTTCCAAATATACAAAATAAAAACCACTCACATGTTAGAAATCAATATACAAAATTACATTATGTTAATGGTACTATTTAATGCTAATAGACAAAAATGAAAATTATTCTGAATTAAATATGCAATATATTTTCTATCATCTTTCTTTTCTTCTCCATTTCTTTGTGTGTCATTTTAACTCACTAAGCAGTGACTCCTCTTAATCCCATTAATTTTGATTTAACACTGCATTTGTTTTTCATATGTGCAATATTACACTTCCCAATAGAGAAGAAATGCAGAATTTGTGCTGTTATATGAGAAACACCTTTGCTTTTCATGTTTGGGCTTCTGGAGTGTGCTTAATTTAAGTATTCTCATCAGTCCTTGATTTTTCAGATTTCTATAATCATTCTCCAAAATAAACAATGTCTGAAGGTGATGACTACAATAAAATTAAAATTACACTGGCTTTTTAGAAAATTATGTTTATGTAAATTTGACACTTTTTTTTGGCGGGTTGTGGGGGTCGGTGGAGACATAGTTTTGCTCTTGTGGCCCAGGCTGGAGTGCAGTGGCGCAATCTTGGCTCACTGCAACCTCTGCCTCCCAGGTTCAATGGATTCTCCTGCCTCTCAGCCTCCCGAGTAGCTGGGATTACAGGCACCTGCCACTATGCCCAGCTAATTTTTGAATATTTAGTAGAGATGGGGTTTTACCATGTTGACCAGGCTGGTCTTGAACTTCTAACATCTGGTAATCCACCAGCCTTGGCCTCACAAAATGCAGGGATTATAGGTGTGAGCCACCCTACCCAGACTTCAAATTATATTTTCATACCCAGTCACTCACACAATTTTTTGTAACTATCTGCATGTTCTCCTTAGGTGGGGGGAAAACAGTATTAGAGTTCTTGAAGAATTTATGAAAGAGAGAATGACAATACTACACAAGGCTTAACCTATTCACAATACTGTATTTAGTAAATAAAACATTACTTTTAAAATCCTACTAAAGTATTGAGTAAATAAATAAAATATATTATTTCAGTAACTCTAAAATAAGTGTATAGGAAGAAAATAGAACAAGGGTTCAAATACATAAACAAATGAAGCTGGGCATGCTGGCTCATGCCTGTAAACCCAACATTTTGGCAGGTCAAGGCAGGTGCATCACTCGAGGTCAGGAGTAGAGATCAGCCTGGTAAATATGGTGAAACCCAGTCTCAACTAAAAATACAAAAATTAGCTGGACATGGTGGCATGCACCTGTAATCCCAGCTCCTTGGAAGGCTGAGGCAGGGGAATTGCTTGAAGCTGGGAGGTGGAGGTTGAGGTGAGCGGAGATCCCGCCACTTCACTCCAGCCTGGGTGACAGAGTGAGACTCTTCAAAACACACACACGTGCACACACACACACAAATGAAAATAAAAACTTTGTACTAGAAAAAGTACTCACAGTCAAACTCACACATATCTAACAGAAAAAAAAGTCCTTTAAAACCAACATTCCACAAGAGGCAAATAAGAAAACAATTTTATCACCTTGCATATAAAGTTCAAATAATAAACGGAAGAGAAAGACCGGGAAAAAATTCAAAATTTACAAGTAAGTACTCTAAAAGAAGCTGAAAGTCACTCAAAACTTTTCTAGATTCTATGTCTCTACATTGCAAACATGACCATAAAATTTGCCAGGAGCAGAACAATCAAAATGTATCTTAAAACTCAATAAACACTTCAAGTCTCACACAAGAATTATAATGGAAAATGGATGCATCTGCAGTATTTCCATACAAATCTGAAAAAAACACTATCTCTTTGTACTCATTGTTTCACTATTCTAAGAAAATAACTTCCATATTAACATTAGGAGATGTGACAAAGCAGGTCTTCATCATGATAAGTAATACAGGGTGTCCACACCACTACTCAGGTGGGCCTTAAATCCCAGCCAGTTTCCCTCCCTGGGCACAAACTGAAGATCCCAGCCTTTTTGCAATCTCTTCACATTTCCTCCACTATGAGCCCAGTGTGGTCTTTCAGATTCCCTGTGTAGTGGCCTCTCTTGTCTCAGAGGGCGGGGCAGTGTGAATGATGATGGCAGAGGGGGTAAGCATTTCAGGGGAGTCTCAGGTCATCGTAACAGAAAATGATGGGTCTGGGACAGCATTCTGGGAGAACAAAGAGATGGGCCTTGTGAGGACATCTGCATGGAGGGTGAGAGGGCGCTGGTTGAGCCCAAACTGAGCCCCAGGTGGTAGGTGGCCTCAGGGCAGGGAAGGGAGCCAGGAAGGGATGATGAGACAGCTATCCCTTGAGCCTTGCTTCTCACTCACTGACCTTAGACACTTATGCCTCTTAGGGGGATTAAGGTGCCCCAATCCTGAAATGTGGGTTTTACAGTTCCCTGATGGCCATTTATCCGCCAGCCCATGGATGGCCTGGGATGGCTCACTGCAGTCACCTCCATGATCCTTGGGTTCTCCATGTGGGGCACAACTCCAGGAATCAAAGGCCTCTCAGTCCCCAGCCCTAGACTGCTTGCCTGGCCTCCGCTCTTTTCCCTCTCTAATGGCCTCCCTCCCTCTGGAAGTACTGCAGGGGATTGAGCCACAGTCCCTGGCTGATGATCTAGGGGACTGCAGAAGTGTGTATAGGACACATCAGGTCATGGCTCAAAGCCAACTCCCCAGAGGCCAAGGAATGACCATCAAGGTACTTTCCCATGATGTTCCACTGAGGTGCCCACCTCAGCAATCCTGCCAGAACCTGGGCAGTCATGGTCAGCCAACCAGCTGAAGAAGCTCAGGTAGGAGCTGTACTGCTTGCAGCTGAAGGCTTGACCTTCATGATTCCAGAACCACTGGACTGCAGTCGAATGAATCATCCTGTATCCTGGAGACAGAGGAGTCAGGAAGATTCATGCCAGACCTACCCTCCCACACACCAGCTCCCCTACTATGCTGGGAGTCACTCCTTAACGAGGATGCAACACAATACTCCTGAATGATCACTTCATTGTGGAAGTAAAAGTTGTGATGAAAGGAAAGCTTCATCCTACTGTTGGTACCTGGGATGGCTGAGTTCCCCCACTACCTGGCCAAGAAGAAGAAAGAGGACAGACTCAAAGGAGCATTTCATGTAGCTGGGCTGAGGTGACTTGCTAGCTGGGGTGAAGCATGTGTTTCTCCTTCCCAGCTCTCCCACTGAGACACCCCCAGGTCCCAGGGGTACCTCAACCTGACCCAGACACTAGACCCCTCCTCAGACCCAGGTTCCTTAGCCTGACCTGCAAATCCATCATGTAGCTTAGCAGAACTGACTTCATCATTTGTGCTCCTGGCCAACATCTGGGTGTGCCCCACTATCTGCCTCTGGTCAAGGAGCTGCCAGATGATTGGGTGGGCGTGCAAGGAATCACCCTGCAACTTTGCAAGCACATGGAGAGTGTGGGGCAGGGCTACCCTGCAGGCCTTTGGCCTGGCACCCTCCCTTCCTGGTCCTCCCTCTCTGTCTGGCCTGGGGGAGACCTTCGAGGCTGTGGTGGTCTTGGCGTCTGGTGGAGGCGGTCCCAGACAGCCTGCTCTGACCAGGGGCGGGCACAAAAGAAGAGGGCAGAGGGCTGGGTGTGGGGTGCTGTGGTGTGAGGCAGCTACTTGCTTAGGGTTCCTGAGCTGCAGGAGGGCCTCGTGTGCTGGATGCTGGACAGGTTTTGCTGCTGTCCAGGTGTGCGGTCTTCCCTTCTCCTGATCTCCTTGAGAGGTGGGCGTGTCCACCTGAGGGAACCGCTGTGGGTAGAAGTGGCTGCAGGGTTGTGCCTGGCTCTCCCCATGGGGCTCCAGTGGTTTCAACTGAGGTTATATATACTCAGGGCCTAAATATCTTTGGGTGCAGCACCGGCAGAGGCAAGAAATCGTGTCCGGGGAGATGGTGCCTGCCTTGCAGAGGACAGCAGCCCCGTGCGGTGAACCCGAGTCTTGAGCACCTTGTGTTTCTGGGGTGAGCCTGCTGGACACAGGCACGGGGAGCAGGGGTAGTTCCAAGGCTGTCATGGGCATGCAGACTCCCCTTCCTCCAGGCACTTTCCCACTGAAACATGTCCTTCAACTTTCTGCTGTTTATGAAGGGTCCTTTGAGGGGCTATTCTCGCCTGTGAGTGCTGTGCTTGGCTTCCTGTCCCTGTAACGTGCCCTCAGAGCGCCCACAATTAAGCTGCCCTTCTAACTGCACGAGCGTGTCCTCGGTTCCCCTCGTTGTCCCTCATGCCCTGAATCCTGGCTGAGCCCCGGTGCCTGCCACCTTGTTTGCCCCAACCCCAATCCCGGGAGCTAGGCCCCCACCCACTGATGCCAGCTATCCCGAATTGGCAGCTGCAAGAATACGGCTCTGGCCCAGAAGGCGGGGATGCCTTGCGGCCTGGGGCATTCACTCAGCCCAGCTCCAAGTGAAGGACGTGCAGCCAGTCCTTTGCCAGCCGGGGCGTACTGGGGCCAGGGCCAGGCTGTGCCTGCTGGTCCTCCTGCTGCCGCTCCACATTGGCCTCTTCCTTGGCCACCACCTCCATCTCTGCCATGATGTCATACCCGACTAGCATGCCTCCTCCCCCAGGGTTACCTTCCTGCTCTGTGCACAGGCCGCCCTCTCCTGCAGAACCTCTGCCTTAACACGGTGCCCTCCTTTAGGCTCCCACAGACCAAGGCCTGTGCCGCCCAGCCCACGCCCCCGGCACCCCTCGACTCTGGGGGCAGCTCGCGGAGAGGCCCGCAAGCCTTGCCTTGCTGAGAACTATGTCCCACTCCTAGTGGATACAGGGTTCCTGGGGAGCCCCGCAGGGCCCACAGCCCACCGCACTCACCATGGGGTCCAGATACCGAGCACGGTTAGCTGCACACAGCAGCCCTGGAGTCGGAGTCCAAGGCTCTGGGCTTCCAGAGCCCGTCTAGCAGGCACTATGGCTACTGCTGCACTTGCGGGAGCCTCTTCGCTAGAAAGTCAATGCACATGGGGCATCAGATTGGCGACCATGGCGGCTGGCCTCCCGTGTGCCCAGGGCAGAGGATGAGAGGTCCTTTGGAATGCCCCTGTGAGTACAGCATCATCAAGGAGGAAGCATGGAACTCACAGTCTCTGTTTGCCTAGGCCTGAGAGTCCTTGAGGGTTTCAGCTTCTGGTGCATACGAATTCCACCCCAGCAATGTACCAGTCGACTTTCCTCCAACGCACTCGCCCTACCCCACTCCTCCCAAGCCCCCGTCGCCCTCACCCCAGCAGCCAATGCTGGTCCCTCTCTCTTCCCTCTGGATCTGCAATATTCAGTACCACCAGCCTAGCCTGCCTAATGAAGTGAGATGTTTCATGTGTTCCCTGTGGGTCAATGTCTTGCCGCAGTCAGTATGCCAGTTAGGGTGTAGGTCTTCCATGCCCACAATTGCAAAGGGCTCATCGCCTGCTTGTGCCTGAATCCACTGCCTCCAGGCCCCAGGAACATGTAGCTTTTCAGAGGATGCTTACCAGGGGACGACTGAGCTGCAGGCCAGGCAAGGGCCGGGCGCCTCGGGAGACGCCTACGGACCTCACAATAATTGGCCGACACCCACCGCCCTCGCAATGATTGGCCGCTGGAGGTAGGCAGGATTTCCGGGCATGGCTTCTGGCATCCTTCCTGCTCAGGCCAGCTCGAAGTGTGCTTCCTGCAGTTGGCCCTGTGCTGTCCAGAAGCCAGATGCAGACAACCTGAGGGCCGAACGACCCTGAGGCTGTTTGTCCTACTGAAGAGCACCTGTATTTCTGTTTTCTCTGGACAGGTTGGTCTTTTGGCAAGAACAGGAAGCAAAGGTTTGGGATTTTGTTTTTAAAAGGGATGGGTTTTCTATGTGTGGGTGTTGAACTATGGGAGGAGACAGTGGGGAGAGAACTCCTTAGCGCTCTTAAGAAACTCATTTTTGTTAAACACATTGATGCTTTTTGAGGATTCTACCTTTAACCGTCACACATGTCCGACATGTGGGCAAGTTGTAGGAGATGGTGCTAAGGCGCCATTGTTTTCATCTGCACATTTTATTGAAGGAGTTTTTCTCTATGAATGTGGTCATAATTCAAAATACAGGCAGTATACTTAACCACTGTGATTAAAGACTTATACTTTTAGTCAGCACATGTCACATGTCTGCTTTGCTTGCCAGGAATTAACAAATTTTGACATAAATTGTGTTATTTTAGTGTGTGCAGAAGTCTGGGGCCATAAATAATTTCAGATTAAATTTGCCTCTGTAAAACCTGTAATTGTTTCCTTCCTT
Source organism: Homo sapiens (assembly GCF_000001405.40). Lineage (NCBI taxonomy): Eukaryota > Metazoa > Chordata > Mammalia > Primates > Hominidae > Homo > Homo sapiens. The sequence goes on along the minus strand of NC_000024.10, from coordinate 10,034,661 downwards.
GTATGACAGTATTTCAAACATGTGTCATGTGTCTCTAGCACCGTAAATAATTTCAACCTATTAAGTGGGTGTAATCAAGATAAATGGAGTTAGCCTAAAACAGGAACAAAATAGATGTGCTTTAGTTATTCTGTTAACCTGGCACACTGACTTACTCTTGTAATACTAGCATTTTGGGAAGTGAAGGTAGGAGGATGGCTTGTGGTCAGGAGTTGGAGACCAGCCTGGGTAACATAAAGGGCCCCTTTAATCTATAGCCATTTTCTCATCAAGGACCGGTTTAGTGGAAGACAATATTTCCTCAGACAAGGGTTGCTCAGGGTAAGAAGGCGGTGAGGTGGACACAAATAATAAAAAGATGTCAGCCTCTGGAAGGGAATTGTACTTGAGTTTTCAACACAGTATGTAATAAAATTTTATCTTTTTAGCTTATTTATTTTCATCTAAATATAGATAATTTTTTACCGTTTACAGCACAATCATCCTGACTAGCTTTTCATCGGTGATCTCAATAGAGAAACCAATGAAAAGTTGCTTAAAGCAGTATTTGTGAAACACGGTCCCATACCAGAAGGTAACTCTTAAAACCGTGTGTGTGTGTGTGTATTTTCCTATGTATATTTGAATATGTCTATTAAAATATTTATATGTGTTTTGAAAAAATATATATTTTTTCAAAGTTCATTGTATACCTACATTAAAATGCCTTATCACTTTTAAACTCTTATTTTGAAGTATCTATTTGATATTTGGAAAATTCTCATAGCAGCTGGTGAAGGGTCTGTGGTAAAAATCACCTACTACTTAGGAAAATGAAGAAAAGTAAATGTGTTTTGGAATTAGGGAACAAAGTAGAATAAAATAAGCTGACTATAGGGGTGACTTAGTACTAAGAATCACAGCAATGATGTGAAATGCAATTATTTTTTGATTTGATGTAACTTTCAGATGGTTAGTACCTTGGTGAGTGCATTTTATAAGTGGAAAATGTTTTCATATATTTTAGTTCTTTTGATAAAGGATCAAACCAGCAAATCCAGAGGCTTTGCATTTATTACTTTTGAAAACCCTGCAGATGCTAAGAATGCCAAAGATATGAATAGAAAAGTAAGAGTCCCTTATTAATAATATTCTAACTTGGTTCTTGAATTAACAGTATTTCTAGGTCTTTTTAATATTACTAAACTTTTGAAGATAGTAGAATGTCATATGAAGCCATCCTCCTCTTTGTGCCATTTACATGCAAGTGTAGTTGGAAGGGTATTGGAATTACCATTAGAAACTTTAATATATGGTAACTTTTTTATATGTTTGTATTTCAATATGAGGGTAAATAGATTTTGAAAGGTTTTGAAGAACTTTAAAACTTACAAAGAACCCTCATGCAAATGAAAGGAATAAGTCAACATTTATTAAATACTGTTAATGGAATTATTTCCAATTCATGGAAATACTTCCATAGTATAGACAAACTGTGGAAAAAATCTGGATAGACTCATAAGAAGGAAAGAATCTCTCCCATTTTCTGAAAATATATTCTTGAGAAAGTATATTTAAATAAGACCTTTACATTTAATGAAATGTTAAGTACTTGAAAATGGAAAATAATATGAGAACATTGAAGTTGGATAACAAAAGTAACTGGCATTTTTGCCCCATCCTTGCTCTTTTCTCCTAAGGACTTTTTTTTTCTCCTGTCACCAGAGTGATTTATGTAACATGAATACCTAATTACTCATTTCCTCAGTGTGTTTAAGGACTTGTTTTGATCCAACCAATGGTCTCTTGTCCTATTGAGTCTTAAATCTAGGGATTGTGTGTTTGCTAAAGCTTCAAACTTTTATGTAATTCTATTAACTGTTGAATTCCTTTACATTGTAGTCAAGATCATTCCATTCTGGGCCCTGTAGAGCTTTTTGGCTTTATAACATTATCCCAGTCAGGCTGGGCGTGGTGGCTCACGCCTTTAATCCCAGCACTTTAGGAGGCCGAGGCGGGTAGATCACGAGGTCAGGAGAACAAAACCATTATGGCCAACATGGTGAAACCATGTCTCTACTAAAATACAAAAAATTAGTCATTCCTGGTGGTGTGTGCCTGTAGTACCAGCTACTTGGTAGGCTGAGGCAGGGGAATCAGTTGAACCTGGGAGGCAGAGGTTGCAGTGAGCCGAGAACACGCCACTGCACTCCAGGCCAGCAACAGAGCAAGACTCCGTCTCAAAAAAATAAAAAATAAAAATAAAATAATAAATAACATTATCCCAGTCTGTTTTTAGCTCCTGTTACTCTTTACGCTATCCCCAAAATGCTTTTTTGTACTTCTTGAGAATTATCCTTCCCTGTGTGTGTATACAAATAACAATTTATGCTTCAAAAACCACTTAGATTTCATATTTTCTTCCTCATTGCGTATTGTAGGTATTTTGTACTCACTGTACTATATATTAATCTATTGATTGTGAAATTGTATATATTGCTTATTTAAGTCTTCCTCGTTGCTTTTATTTCTGCTACATCTAGCACGCTTCCTGGCACATAGCAGAAAGTACATTTTTATTCACTCTTAAAAATTAGTATTTTAAGCTGTGGTAGAAACTGAGAGTAGCGTTTGGTTCATGGCTTTGTGGTAGGTATGGAGATAATTTTGACTTATGTATAGTAATCTATGATAATTCTTTTTCTCCCTAGTTTTCAAGCAAAAGAGCAGGTAATTTGTGCACAGTTTTCGTTTGTTTGTTTGTTTGTTTTTTAACACAGAGTCTGTCTGTGTCACCAAGCTGGTTTGCAGTGGGGCGATCTTGGCTCACTGCAACCTCGGCCTCCCGGGTTCAAGCAATTCTCCTGCCTCAGCCACTGAGTAGCAGGGACTATGGGTGAGTGCCACCACACCTAGCTAGTTTTTGTACTTTGAGTGTAGACGGGGTTTCACCCTATTGGCCAGGATGGTCTCTATCTCTTCACCTTGTGATCCGCCTCCCAAAGTGTTGGGATTACAGGCCTGAGCCACCACACCTGACCAACGTTATTTCTAAATTACTTCATCTTACATATTTTATTGTGTTAAAATAACTATGAATGTTGTATGCACATTAATGTTACGATGGCCAATAAAGGAGGTTCTTCGAGTTTTCAGGGGGAATTAACAGTTAAGGAATTTTGGCTGACTTCACAACACTGGGAAGGAAGCAGCCATGGGCAAATCTGGGGAAAATATTTTGAGCCCAGAAATAACAAAAGAAGTTTCAAGGTAGGAACAACTGGCGATGTGGCTGCAAGGGGTCTTGTCAGGGATTTAAGTCCTTCCTCCAAATAACAAAAGCCATGTAATTTTTAAATCACATTATTAGCTGAACTGTTTTCAAAAATTGCTGTGGCCTGTAGAAAAGATTACAGTGAAAAATGTTATTATGAAATTAATTAGGATATTTAAGCATTTCTGAGCAATTACCTGAAGTACTATATTAAGATTCTTTTTTTAGGGGCACGTGTAAGGCAATATAAGAAATGAGTAAGGCAAGAAAACTTAACGAGATCAAACAAGGATCACATTTACAGAAACATTTTTAGAGTCAATATAGAATTGTAAATCATATGGGGACATTTTATCTAAGTGTTAGCAAATCCAACAAGAAACAACTCATAATGAGTAATGTGACTAATCACTCTGAAAAAGTAAGCTCATTTTTTTTTAAAATGACACAAGTTTCATTGGGACACTGCAACTTTCAAATCAGTGATGTGAATACAAAGATGAAGTGCATTATATATTGTAAAAAACAGATGTGCCACATTCTTCCATAGAATGTGTGATGGGTCAATCTTTTTTTTTATGTTTGAGGTTTTTTTTTTAATAATGGAGGAGTTTTCAAGGAATTTGAATAATAGAATTTGTGTTTGATCCCTTAATGGAAGGCATGTGCTCAGTAACTATCTCAAATTTGGCATTGCGAAAGATGTGTTCATTTTAGGAGAAAAAAAATTTCCTGTTGGGAGAAAATACCTCGAATTGAACTACATTTCATGTAAAAATGTTTGTAAAATGCGCTTACGTTAAATGTGCCAGTGTTATTGATAGTACCCTTAATACTTCTAGTCTTTGCATGGAAAAGCAATAAAAGTAGAACAAGCCAAGAAACCATCTTTTCAAAGTGGTGGTAGACGGAGACCACCAGCTTCTTCGAGAAACAGAAGCCCTTCAGGAAGTCTGAGATCTGCAAGAGGAAGCAGTGGAGGAACAAGAGGGTGGCTTCCCTCACATGAAGGACACCTGGGTAATGTTTTAAAATATAAAGATGGAACCATAGGACTGAAAGAAAATAAGTTTGAAGATATCGAAATTTCTCAGTTTTTTTATTTCCCTTAAGAGAAAATTAGCTTATTGATAATAAGCAAAATTATTTCTAAGTACTAAAGGTGTATTATGAGAATCATTGAACTAATACTTAAATTTGTTTTAAAATTATAATAAGTTTGCATTGAAGTAACACACATTTCAAACTGAGTTGTGTTTATGAATGCTGATTGCCTGTACTCAACCAATTTTCTGCAGAACTCATTTATATTCATTATACTTTAGAGTTTTCTACTTTAGGGCCCAGAACTTCATGTCAGTTGTATTATCAAAGTACGATGTCATATTTAAAATTTTCCAACAGGAAAAAGGAACTCAATACTTAAGATTGATTTTGCAGTATTTGTTTTCTTGTGTATACATGTGCAAACATCTATGCAAATGTATTACTTTGTAATTTTGATACAGAGAGTTTGTACATTGGCCTGCCATAAAGCATTTTCAATTTAAGAAATGTAGAACTTTAATTTCTGAAAAAAGTCTGTGACTCTGGAAAGGTCTAAAAACCACTGCTTCACAGATATGTATGTATCTTTCTTTGCTGGAGGCTGAGTCACTGAAAATGATATTTATGAGTGATTCGCTTAATAGAAATGAGGGTCTATTTTTACATATAAAAGAAAAACAAACCATATATTTAAAAAAAAAGAAAAAGAAAAAACTATTGGATGGGCTGTGCGAGGTGGCTCACGCCTGTCACCTCAGCACCTGGGGAGTACAGGGCAGGTGGACCACGAGGTCAGGAGTTCCAGACCAGCCTGGCCAACATGGTGAAACCCTGTCTCTCCTAAAGGTACAAAAAAATTTGCCTGGGCGTGGTGGTGTGCACCTGTAATCCCAGCTACTCAGGAGGCTGAGGCAGGAGAATCACAGGAACCTGGGAGGCAGAAGCTGCAGTGAGCCAAGGTTATGCCATGGTACTCCAGCCTGCGTGATAGGGCAAGAGTCCATCTGAATAAATAAATCAATAAACCTGTTGATTAACTTGTATTATCTATTAACCAACCTTCAAAACTCTAACAATTAACTTGGAGTTTTAATAACGAGACGTGTAGTTAATTGGAGATTTTTTTCAAGTTGAAATTGCAGTGTTTGCTCCATTTTAAGATGCATAGCTTCATGGCTGTTTTGTCTCCACTGATCTTGAGGGTGAGGTTCAATTATACTCTGCCGCGGATGAGAATGTATATATAAATTCTAACCTGTAACACCACCTGGCAATTGGCATATATCTACGTTTTTGTAGATGTATAAAAATATTTTTATATTACCGAATATGCAATTCTTAAAAACTGTTAAAATTCAGCATAGTCTAATCTGAAAATTAGTGTCTCATAAGGGAATTTTAAAAATTCTATGTTGTGTTAACACATTTTAGAGACAATGTATTTTCCTGATATGTCACTTCTTGGTATTGGAAATATTTGAGTTTCTTTGAATGGAAATTAGTTTATGATGTGCTTTGAAAATTTTTCCTCATTACAGAATGATATAAACAGTCATTTATCATTTTTCTTTTAATATTTTTATACATATTATATTTAGATATTTCAGTGATAGATTTCTGCCCCCGTTCACTCCCCATTTTCCCACATCTCTCTCTCATACCAATATATTATGATACTTGAGTTTCTTTCTAGATTTTCTAAGTGAACTTTTATTGCTTGAAGTGTACTAATACCATGTAGGAATGCTAATTTTATTAGTTTAGACAAAATGTGAATTTGTTATAAAATGTAGAAAATATTTGTAAACAAGTAAAACTTAGCCATTTAAGAAACAGTGATGTTAGCTAACTAAAAAGATCTTGTTTGAAATATAGATGATGGTGGATACACTCCTGATCTCAAGATGAGTTATTCTAGGGGACTCATTCCAGTTAAAAGAATGATTGAACTAATATCTAAAATTTGTTTTAAAATTATAATAACTTTGCATTGAAATAGCGCAGATTTCAAACTGAATTGAGTTTTATGAATGCTGACTGCCTGTACTCAACTGGTTTTCTGCAGAACTGATTTATATTCATTATACTTTAGAGTTTTCTACTTTGGGGCCCAGAACTTCATATCAGTTGTATTATCAAAATACAACGGAATATTTAAAACTTTCCAACAGGAAAAAAGTAACTCAGTACTTAAGATTTATTTTTCAATTTTTTTTGTGTGTATACATGTGCAAACATCTATGCAAATCTATTGCTTTGTAATTTTGATACGTAGAGTTTGTACATTGGCCTGCCATAAAGCATTTTCAATTTAAGAAATGTAGAACTTTAATTTCTGAAGAGTCTGTGGCTCTGGAAAGTTCTAAAAACAACTGCTTCACAGATATCTATGTATCTTTCTTTGCTGGAGGATGAGTCACTGAAAATTTTTCAGTGATAATTATGATAATTTATCATATGATAATTATGAGTGATTTACACAATAGAAATGAGGGGCCAATATTTACATAAAAAACATGTATTATTAAAAAAAAAAACTATTGGATGGGCTGGGCAAGGTGGCTCACGCCTGTCATCACAGCACTTGGGGAATACGGGACAGGTGGACCATGAGGTCAGGAGTTCCACACTAGCCTGGCAAACATGGTGAAACCCTGTCTTTGCTAAAGATACAAATAATTAGCCTGGCGTGGTGGCATGCACCTGTAATCCCAGATACTCGGGAGGCTGAGGCAGAGGAATCACTGGAACCTGGGAGGCAGAAGCTTCAGTGAGCTAAGATCACACCATTGCACTCCAGCCTGGGCAATAGGGCAAGAGTCCATCTCGATAAACAAACAAATAAATAAATAAATAAACCTATGGTTAACTTGTATTATCTATTAACCAGCCTTCAAAAATCTAACATTTAACTTGGAGTTTTAATAACCAGATGTGTAATTAATTGGAGATTTTTTTTAAAGTTGAAATTGCAGTGTTTGTTCCATTTTAAAATGCATAGCTTCTTGGTTATTTTGTCTCCATTGATCTTGAGGGTGAGGTTCAATAATACTCTGCCATGTATGAGAATGTGTGTATTCTAACCTGTAACACCACCTGGCAATTGGCTTATATCTACATTTTTTGTAGATATATGAAAACGTTTTTATATGCAATTCTTAAAGATTATTAAAATTTAGCGTAGTCTAATCTGAAAATTAGTGTCTCATAAAGGAATTGTAAGAATTCTATATTATCTTAACAAATTTTAGAGATAATGTATTTTCCTGATGTGTCACATTTTGATATTGCAAATATTTCAGTTTCTTTGAATGGAATTTAGTTTATCTTTATGATATACTTTGAAAGTTTTTCATCATAACAATGATATAAACAGTCATTTATCATTTTTCTTTTAATATTTTTGTGTATATTATACTTAATGATTTTATTGATATATTTGTGCTCCCTGTTCACTCCCCACTTTTCCACATCTCTCACACAAATGTATTATGATTCTTGAGTTTCTTTCTAGATATTCTAAATGGACTTTTATTGATTGAATTGTACTAATTTCATATAGAAATGTTAATTTTATTAGTTTAGACAAATGTGAATCTGTAAGATTATAATATGTAGAAAATCTTTATATACAACTAAAACTTAGCCATTTAAGAAACAGTGATGTTAGTTAACTAAAAATATTTTGTTTGAAATACAGATGATGGTGGATGCACTCTTGATCTTAACTTGTGTTCTCCTAGGGGACCCATTCCAGCTAAAAAGTTCCATCTTCAAGACGTGGAGGTCTTCCTCCTAAGAAATCTGTTCCTTCTGCTGTGGCAAGAAGCAACAGTGGTATGGGAGGCCAAGGTAAATGCTACGTGATAGAAAGACCATTTTTTTTGTACAACTAAGAATGAGCTTTTTTAACTGGGTGCTTAACTTTAACTTCATTGAACAAAAGAGAAGTAACACATACATGGGCATAATTACTGATCGATAGCTTTTATTATAGTTTCTGTCTCACTAGATACATTTCAGATTTATGGTGAAGAAATACTGGAGCTTCTCATTGCCGATCAAAGAAGTGATTAGAGTGAGGCCAACATTCCTTTTAATCCTGTGTTTGCTAGAAAATTCCCTTTAATTTTTCTGAAAGTTCTTAGCAAGCAGTATTCTTTGATGGTATGCTTCTTCATCTAATGAATTCTTCCATTTCCTAGTGTCCCCTGGTAATGGTCCCCTGGTGTCCCAATCTAAAAATTGCTTGTTCAGCTTCTATGTCGGGTTGGAGTCTTGCCCTTACCATGTCAGAGTTTATTGGTAAGATGAAGGCCTATTACAGCCTCAAATTCCTGGGCTCAAGCAATTTTCCTGTTTCAGCCTCCCAAGTTTCTGCAACTACAGGCATGCACCACCACAACTAGCTAAATTATTTTCCCTATATTTTTGTAGAGATAGGATCTCACTACATTGTCAAAACTGACATTAAAGCCCGGGCCTCAAGCAGTACAGCTGACTCAGCCTTCTACAGTGGCTCACAGTGTGAGCTGCTGAGCCTGGCCTTCCAGCTTCTGAGACCTCAATAATGCTTATGTGCAAGTCATTCTTACTGCTTATATGAAGATTCAAAAGAACTACATGAGGACTTAGCAGACAAGGAGTCACTGGGCTTAAATATTATTAAAAAATAAATTTAAGGCTTTAAAGGTAGACATGAAGGAGTCCAATATTCTTAAATTAAGTGGATATCACAGAAGTGCAGAGTTGTGAAATATAAGGAGATGTAAATCAATAATTGAGATCATACCAGGATGTTTAAACATTAACACAAGATCCTTACTGTAAGATTTGAATTTATTTGAGGAGAGAATTTAGAACTAAGCAACATGAGGTAACCACTAGGATTGTATAAAAGTAATATTTTTTAGAAGGAGAATTGTAAGATTGCAGACTGAAGAGAAGAAAGCAAGATAATAAATAAAAGTTCTTAACCAAGAAGTTTAAGCAGAACAAATTAAAATTCTTACTTAGTCCTCCACCCTAATATGGAGGAAATTGAAAACTGCCATTTTCAATTTTACATTTGATATGTAGAGTATTGGTGAAGTTAGGTATTTATGGACTTCAGGATACACAAGGCAACACATTTTCATTTGAAAATTAGCCAGTGAACATATCATAGGCAAAACACTGACCTCTAATGAGTAGCACGTGAATAATATATTAAAGGAGAACCTTTTCTATTTTGAAATAGCAACAATGTTGTAATGACCCCTTTAATAGTACTGTTTATTGCAGTAAAAGTAAATGTTGGCCATCTTCAGAAAATCTTCACTAGTACATTTTAATTTGTCAACATTTAGGATAGATGCAACCACTCAGAGATAAAGGAGAACTTTTATGTAAACATTTAGCATGCAGTCGTTCAAAGGTATCAGTATTTGTGTGTGTGAGATGGATTGAACAACATAGGAAAATTTACCTTCTTCAGCTGAGAAAGGACAATGTATGTAAACTTTAAAATACATTTTTAAAATGTATTTTACATTTTGAAGATGTTTGATGAGTTTGATGGCTTTACATGTGTTCCCTGTGTCATTAGTAGTCATCAGTAATTCATATGAAAATGAGAATAATAACTAAGTAGTTATTAACCATTACAAATGAACTTTTATCTAAGAATTAATGTTGGGCTTCAGCTTCATTAGAAGAACTGGCTTTGCAGGAGCCATGGGATTATCCAAAGCTGTAAGAAATATTCACAGTGTTATGACTGTTTAGTAATTTAGGGAACGAAGAATGGAGTCATAGAAGAAATAAGTGTAAAAAGTTGTTTGAGAGAAGAGAAAATAGTGTTTCAGGTTTGGTTTTCTATACATAGTGGTCCATCATTTTAATATTAAAGGTCCTGTATCACGTGGAAGAGAGAATTATGGAGGTCCTCCACACAGAGAGCCATTCTCTTCTTGGAGAAATGGCCATATGTCACCCAGAGATGATGGTTATGCAACTAAGGATAAAGGAAAAAATTTTTAAAAGCAGTTGATTTTTTTTGATGTGGTGATGAAATTCATATAACAAAATTAAATATTATAAGGTAAACAGTTAAGTGGAGTTAAATACATTCTGTGTTGTGCAGCAACTACCTCCATCAAGTTCCAAAACATTTTTTTATCACACCAAACTAAAATTCCAACTACCAGTTAAGCAGTCCCTTTCATTTTCTCCGTTCCCTCAGCTGCTAGCAAACACCAATCTGTGTTCTGCCTTTGAACTTACCTGTTGTGGGCATTTAATGTTAATGGGCTCAAATACTACACGACTTTTTGTATCTGTCTTCTTGCTTTTGCATGATGTCCTGAAGGTTCATTTACATCATAGCACTTCACTCCTTCCACAAGCTGTTAACTCATTATTTTCTTTGGGTTGCTTCCACCACAGTGTTTCTATGCACCAATATTTGTTTGAGTATGCTTATTCAATTCTGGATGTTTATACAAGTGGAATTGCTTGGTCCTATGATAATTATGTTTGTTTTCTTGAGGAACCACCACATTTCTCCATAGTAGCTGCATCATTTTCTATTCCAACTATCATTGTATCAGGGTTCCAATTTATCTATATCCTCTCAAACACTTGTTATTTCCTGCTTTTAAAATATATTGCCATTCCAATGTGTGTGTGAAGTATGATATCTCATTTTCGATTTGAAGTTATTTTCTGAATCACTGAATGTGAGTATCTGTTCCATGTGCTTTTTGGGCATTTGCCTATTTTATTTGGAGAAATATCTATTTAGATGTTTGGCCTTTTAATTTTGTTTAAGTTATAATAGTTATGGTTTGGATACTAGAAGTTGAAAATTTAAAATTTATTGCTTAAATTTATGCACACAGAAATCATCCAAGTTCCGGAGAAACCAGGGATTATGCTCCACCACCTAGAGACTATGCATATCGTGATTATGGTCATTCTATTCAGGATGAACATTCCTCTAGAGGATATAGGTACTGTAACTTTTTCTGGATTTATCTAATAGATTTCTTAAATTGTTCATTCTGACATTAAAAAACCTTTTTTTTTTTCAATTTAGTTACCGTGATGGCTACTGTGAGGCCTATGGTAGAGATTATTCTGAACATACAAGTGGAAGTTCTTACAGAGATGCATTTCAGAGATATGGTAAGGGTCCAGGATGGATTTGTAAATTTTACAATTTTATTTCATAGATCAGAGCATTATTTTAATGAAATTCAAAGGAAAATTATAAAGGACAAACATAACATGTTTAAATATGGAGTATTCTTAACAGTATAAAGCATGGGAACGATATGAAGTTGAAAACTTCACATTCAGAAAATGAGACTCAATGTTTAGTTTAGAAATAAATTTGTTAAGCTTCAAAATGCTACCCTTACACTTCTTTTAAATAAAACCTTCTGACTATTGCAGGCATAATTAATATCCTTTCAACAAAGGCAGAGGAAAGCAGATATTTCCAGATAGTACTTTAACTAATTCATGCTTTAGTGATGGCAGTAAAAATGTTTAAATGTAGTCCAACATATTATTTTACCAACCCTGCAGGGACCTCTCATGGTGCACCACCTGCACGAGGGCCTAAAGTGTCTTATGGTAGAAGCAGCCACTATGATTATAACAATATATGAGATAGATATGGCAGAAGTCGGGAGAGTTACTCAAAGGGCTGTGGTGATTTTTATTCCTGTGGTCATGAGCACATTGGCAGAAAAGACGAAAGAAATCCATCTTCCCTCGATAGGGTGTACCTGCTCCTCATGAAGCATATGGTAGCTGAAGTTATGTGGCATCTACAGGAGATGGTGGGGAAAGTCAGTATGATAAAGGAGACTGAAGCACATATTAAAGCAAGTATTCAAAATAATAGTTATTGCATACCAAACCTTGTTTGCAAATCAAAAATTGAAATGTTCTTTTTTCATTGTTACTTGCATATTACTAAAAGAAACATACTGGTTTTGTGGAGAGAGGTCGATACTGACTTACTCCATGAATTTTTTGAGTTATTCAAAGGAAAAGGAATTTTTTTCCAAGTAATTTTTTACTGGTTAATGCTATTTGAAAACTATCTGTTTAGATGTCATATCTACATTAAAATTTTCTAATAAAATTTTACATGTACTGCAAAATACCTGATGTTATTGCTTAGCTGCACATGCTTAAAAACAAATTCAATAGGAGAGTAAATTGTGGTGTTTGCTGAACGTTTTTCTTTGTTTCTTTCAAATAAATAGATACAAAATTAGGCATATGTTACATCTCCCTTGCAAGCTGCACAAGTTTTCTAATTATGCTGTTTCTCTTCAAAAACTTACAAGGTTAAAATGTTTGAGAAATCTTCAGAAAGGCTGCAAAACTATCTGCCTCACACTAAAATGTTTATTTATTAGAGGAATAGTACAGGTGAAAGGAAATAATTACATGTGGTTGATACTAAAGTTTAAGACATCCAGAACATTCTACTTGAAGCATTTTGTGACTGAAGGGGGATAATAGTAATGAATTTATTTCTTTTTACCTAAATCAATAGTGAACCAGCTAAGTTTCTCAAGTGCATACATAGCATAATGAAATTAAATGTTCCTAATTTAAATACTGAAAAGTAAGTGTTTTGTCTTGGGACGTACTCATGTTAATTTTTTGTTGTAAGTTTTGACAATGGTTGTTGCAAGTAATGGTTTAGTAATAAGTTCTTACAAATAGGAATAATCTAGAATGGTTGGGATGTTTTCAATTTTTTTTTTTTTTTTTGAGATGGAGTGTAGCTTTGTCACCCAAGCTGGGGTGCAGTGGCTCCATCTTGGCTTACTGCAGACTCCACCTTCTGGGTCCAAGCTATTCTCTTGCCTCAGCATCCTGAGTAACTGGTATTAGACATGTGTGCACCACAGCCGGCTAACTTTTTGTGTTTTTATTACTGACAGCGTCTCACCATGTTTGCCAGGCTGTTCTTAAAATCCTGATCCACCTTCCTCAGACTCCCAAAGTGCTACAATTACAGGCATGAGCCACTGATCTCAGCCTATCAGATTTAATTGATGATATGAATGGAAATGCTTTAAACCTCATACTATTGTTAAAGTGAAGTGTATAAAACATAAACAACAGCATAAAGTTTAAGATGGAGTTGCTTAAAGGTTTAACAAATCATCAAATGATAAAAATAAAAAGATTTGGACCTAAATAACTAAACCAATTAATTTTCCTGATTATACAACCTAAAGAAATAAAATACATGAAGTTCCAAAAGTTTTACGGTCCATAATTCTTACAATTGACAGACCAATCTGCAAGGAGGAAGTATTTTCTTGACAAGATCATCATTTTTATAGGGTAAGGGTGCAAATAATTTTAAAGGGAGAAGTTACAAACTTTGATTTTCAAGTGAGTTATTCATGTTATGAAGTTGTGTTTTCATTACCTATAATGTAACATTGTGAGGATGGAGTGAAAAGATAAAACTCCCTAGTCTTGTGTATCTTACTGTCCAAGTGTGATGGCTCAGGTCTTTAATTCTAACACTTGGGAAGGCAGAGGCTTGCAGATCCTTTTAGGTCAGGAGTTGAAAACCAGGCTGGCCAAAACCATGAAACTCCATCTCTACCAAAAATACAAAAATTAGCCGGCCGCATTGGTGCAGGCCTTTCATGTGTATCAGTTAATTGGGAGGCTCAGGCAGGAGAATCATCTGAACCTGGGAGGCTGAGGCTGCAGTGAGCCAATATTGTGCGATGCACTTTAGCCTGGGTGACAGAGCATGACTCCAATTCAAAAATAATTATATAAATCAACAAACATGTAAATATTAAATAGGGTATCCTTCAGTTCAAGCACTTATTTCTTTTTTTCATTTTTAGAGGCAGGGTCTCACTCTGTTGTCCTGCCTGGACTGCAGTTCCATCACTGTAGCACGCTAGCCTTGAACTCCTGGGTTCAAATGTGTGAGCCTTCCATTTCAGCCTCCCAAGTAGCTGGAATTACAGACACACACCACCGTGCCCAGCTTTTGTGTATGTGTGTGTGTGGTAGGGACAAAATAGGAGGCTCTAATTTGTTCCTCCATCCACAAATGCAATAAATAAAAAGCCACACCCACATTAATTCCCTATGAGATAAACTCAGAAACTAGTTGTGATACTCTTGCACATAGGATTATGAAAATACTCACTTAAAAGACATAAGAAAAACTGAAGCATGGTTTTGTTCTAGAGTTCATGTCTGACACAGTGCCCTAGAATCCATAGGGAACTGTTAATTCACAGCTTCTCTCAGAGGACTGAAGTATTAATCCACATATGTAATGCCCCAACTCTTACAGATGCTTCTCAATGAAATGATTCCTAACTTGCCTATCTCTGGATTCTAACACAGACTGGCATTCATAACTCTCCTAAGACCTCCCAAGATAAAAGAGAGATTTAAGTAGACATTCAAGCCCTCCCGAAACTTTCCTCCTGGCTTACTGGATCTCAAGCAGTCAATGAAGCTCAGCTCTCACTTTGTACCTCGAAGAACTTAGATTGTAAATCTAATGCCTTGACTTTTTTTTCTTTTTTCTTTTGAGACGGAGTCTTGCTCTGTCTCCTAGGCTGGAGTGCAATGGCATGATGTTGGCTCACTGCAACTTCCGCCTCCTGAGCTCAAGTGATTTTCCTGCCTCAGCCTCCTAAGTAGCTAGGATTATAGGCACCCACCACCATGCCAGGCTAACTTTTGTATTTTTTAGTAGAGACAAGATTTCACCATGTTGGTCAGGCTGGTGTTGAACTCCTGACCTCAGGTAATCCACCTGCGTCGGCCTCCCAAAGTGCTGGGATTACAGGAGTAAGCCAATGCTCCTGGCCATATCTTGACTTTTATAGCTTTTGCCTAGGTATTTTGCTTCTAATTCTGACTTTTGGATATGTCAAGGTCCTCTGAGAGCAGGCAAACAGGCATTTCTCATCGGTCTTCATCATCACTCACTCTAGCAATATACTGAGCTTCTAAATTTTCCTTCCAAGAAGTCAAACTACCCAACTGTGGCCCTGACTTCTCAGTTTGCTGCCTAAGTGTTCCAATACTAACTTGCCAATCTCTGGAAGCTAATGAAGCCCAGCTTTTTGTAGTCCCAGGAGTCTAAAGAGGAAAAATGATTGTTTTACGATAACTCTGCGTGATTTTTAAACTTGCCTGTTGATACAGTTTGGACATTTGTCCCTCCAAGCCTCAGGCTGAAATGTGGTCCTCCAGTCTGTAAATGGCAGCTAGTGGGAGGTGTGTGTTTGTGTCATGGGGCTGGATCCCTTATAAATGGCTTGGCACCTTTGCCATGGCTAATAAGTGAGTTTTCTGCTGTATTAGTTTTCATAATGCAGCTTTTCATTCCAAATAGTTTGTTGAAAAGAGCCTGATACCTTCTCCCCTTGTCTCTCTTGCTCTCTCCACATGTGACATGCCTGTTTTCCTTTTACCTTTTGTCCTGAGTGGAAGCCTCATGAGCCCCTCACTATATGCAGATGCTGGCACCACACATCTTTTACAGCCTGCAGAACTAGGAGCCAATGAAAGCTCTTTTCTTTATGAATTTTCCAGGCTCATATTCTTTCATAGGAACACAAACAGACTAAGACATATTTCTCTGGCTGATAACTTGCCTATATCAGTAAACAGTGGAGCTCCGCATTCACTATTTCCTGTGTTCCATAGAGGACAAAGAGGTGGTTTTCAATGGTCCCGTGAGGTCTTCCTTAAGTCCAACCCTTGGCTCGCTCTAGCTTTCAGCTTCTCCATGGAAGCACCTGAAACTTGTAAACTCCTCCCTTAGGACCAGTTTTATTTATTTATTTATTTATTTTTGAGATTGAGTCTCACTCTGTCACCCAGGTTGGGGTGCAGTGGCATGATCTAAACTCACTTTGACTTCCACCTCCAAGGTTCAGGAGATGCTCCTGCCTCAACCTTACAAGTAGCTGAGACTGCAGGCATGTGCTACCAGGCCTGGCTAATTTTTTTTTGTATGTTTAGTAGAGAAGGGATTTCACCATGTAAGCCAGGATGGTCTTGGCCTCCTGACCTCATGATATGCCTGCCTCGGCCTCCCAAAGTGCTGGGGTTACAGGCATGAGCCACTGTGCTCAGCCTGTGACAGTCTTTTAACTTGCCTGTTTCTAGGATCCAATGTGGCAGAATAGGAATTCTGTGATTCTGCTAATTCCCATGCCCTCCACAAAAAAACAACAACAACAACAACAACAACAAAAACAACTCAACTCACAACTATCCTTAGATAAGGACACCTTAGTGAATGATTCTATAACTTGGGATTGAATCTGTGACACCTTCTTCGACCATAGAACTGAGAATAGCCACATACATAGGATAAAAGAACAGTTTTAATTTGACGCTTTTTCTCCTCCCCAAGCCAGCACAGGGTTGCATAGAAAAAATTTCCCCAGACTCGCAGTTTATTCGGAGAGGAGAGTGTTGAAATTGTACATTCAGCCTTTTATTTTCCATTTTGCATTTCTTCACATGATGTCCTCTCTAGTCTTATCCTGTGGGAAACATTGGGAGTAACATTGGGAGACAACAGGGGGTAGTTAGAAACAAAGTACATGGATGGGGCTCACAGGGACCATAACAGTAATCTTACTGGTGGTTTTATATTCCAACCAGCAGAGGTACACCATCAGAGAAACTAGGCAACAGCATCATTCTGCAGGAACCAACCATGGTTGATGGGTCTGCCAGGCTCAAGTCACTGGCCAACTGCCAAATCCCACCCTGGTTTTCTCTGCAAAACTTCCAAGGCTGTGACAAAGAGGCAGCTTGGTGATTATCCACAGAAGGGTCATGTGACCCCACCCATTCCCAACTGCTATACTTTTGACCATCCTAGTCCTATGTGCTCCACCCATCCCCAGGCTGAAAAGCAGAGGCAATTTAGTAGTGAAGGATGAAGTTTCTGGCCCTACCTGGACCCAGTGGGCAAGTAGTTTATATAATAAGCCTTAGTACCCCTGGAAGGAAGATCACTTCTGATATATCTAATGGAAATCACTGGGGCATTAGAATCTCTAGAGCACATGACTTTATTCAGAAACAGAGAATCCCAGTCTCAGCTCCAGCCCCTCCCACTGCTGTTGGGAATCAACTACCCTGCTGGGGAAAGTGCCTGTCTGGGCTAATGAATATAGTCTATCCAGGCTCTTTCCAGCAGAAAATTGGATTTAGACTCTCCAGCCTCTGTCCCCTATAGGGATGACCCACTCTCAGCTCCAGCCCTTCCACTTTAGTCAGGGAACTATATAATCTTTGAGAAACTTTTTGGGCAATATGCAACTTTTTTAGCAGAGACCAGGCTCTAAATGATCTGTTCAACTGCAGATGTCAAGGGAGCTGATTGTCAGCCCCTGGCCCTCATGCTGCAGCAGACAATTAGCCCATCTGTGCAGAGACCTTCCAGTAACCATCACAGCCAAAATTACAGGCATGCCATTCTCTGTTCCACAACAGAATCTAAGTGGACCCAGTCTCAGCTCCAGCCTGTCCAATTTCAATTTCCAAAATGGAATCACTGGTAATAAGTAACCAAGAGCCAAAAAAAAAAAAAAAAAAAGATCCAGGAACCGATAGATTCAGGATGAATTCTGCCAGATCTACAAAAAGCTGCAATATATTCCACTGTGTGGGTGATCCTAGTTTGTTCAGCCTGTTTATGTATGTATGCTTACACACACACACACAAACAACAACAAACAAAGGACAACTGCACACACCTATGTTTCATGTTCTCTCAAAAAGCTGCAGTGGAAATACCAAGCTGGCCTCTGGTATCATCTGAAGACTCAGTGGGGAAGGACCCACTCCTTTCCTTGCATTACCTTGTTGCCAGCAGCCTTGTCCACAATGGCAGTTTTTCAGTGGTTTCTTAAGCTCTCTAGAGAAACTGCAGTTGTGTTTATTTATATGGTTTACGATATATTCATTACCGTTTATCTCTAAACTTGAGGCTGGGTACAATGGCTCAAGTCTGTAATTTCAGTACTTTGGAAGGCTGATGTTAGAGGATCCTCTGAGCCCAAAATCTGAGACTACAATGATGTGTGATTCAGCCTGGTGACAGAACAAGACTTCCTCTAACTAAAATAATTAAGATACATCTGATAGTAATATTTTTGTTTTACACTTTGGAAACACAAATTTCCTTGATCAAATATATGAATATTTGATAGTCACTAACACAGCACATTTGCTTTTGTATAGGAACCAATGCAGGAAAGCAGTAGGATTGGATGCTCTTTCCCCTTAATGTCTGAACAGGTATATACTGTGATGATAAGGGTTGAGTTTGGACCAGGAAGGCTTTCTGCCACAGCCATCAACACTGGGGAAACAAAACCCTCCAGAAGTCAGGAAACAAAACAGCCTTTACTGGTAGTAGTAACTATAACATCTCTTGCAGATTTGATTTCATTTTTAATTTAGTGTAGATTAGTCAGCATAACACAGACTACCCTGCCCCTATTAGTATGAGATCTGATGACAAATGTCAATTAGATTTGGTTTTCAAAAACTACAAGAATCTCAGCTAACACTGTAGTTACATGAGTAATTTGACAATATACATGACCTCATTTTAAAGTTTCAGCTAGACCACTAGGGACCAAAATATTATTTTAAACATAATTAAAAATTCATGTGGATAATGGACAAAATGACGTTTTTATTTTTATTTATTTCCTTTTAGTTTTATGCCTTTCATTCTCCCCTCCCTCCCTCCCTCCCTCCCTTCCTTCCTTCCCTCCTTCTTCCTTCCCTCTGTCCCTCCCGCACCCCCCGGCTCCTTCCTTCCTTCCTCTTTTTTTCTCTCTTTTCCTTCCTTCCTTTATTTTCCTCTCTCTCTTTCTTTCTTTTTCGTTCTCTCTTTCTCTTCTTCTCTCTTTCTCCCTTCCCACCTTCCTCCCTTCCTTTCTCTTTCCTTCCTTCCTTCCTTCCTTCCTTCCTTCCTTCCTTCCTTCCTTCCTTCCTTCCTTCCTTCCTTCCTTTTCTTTCTTCTCTATCTCTGTTTCTCTCTCTGATTCTTTTTAATGGAATCCTGCTCTGTCACCTAGGCTGGAGTTCAGTGGCATGATCTCAGCTGACTGCAACTTCCGTATCCCAGGTTCAAGCAGTTCTCCACTCAAACCCTCCCAAGTAGCTGTGACTGTAGGCATGTGACATGAATCCTGGCTATTTTTTTTTTTTGTATTTTTAGTAGAGACAAGGTTTCACAATATTTGCTCAGGCTGGTTTTGAACACCTGTCCTCAAGTGATACACCCACCTCAGCCTCTCAAAAGGCTGGGATTCCAGGAGTGAGCTGCAATGCCCACCCAGTTTTATGCATTTCTCTCCTTAGTCATCTCTCCTATCTATTATTTTATCTTATTTTTATTTCTGAGACAGAATCTCGCTCTGGTGGTCAGGCTCTGGTGGTGAGCACAGTGGTGCAATCTCACTCCACTGCAAACTCCGCCCCCAGGGTTCAATGTATTCTCCTGCATCAGCCTCTCAAGTAGCTGGGATTACATCCATGGGCCACCACGCCTGGCCAGCTTTGGTATGATATTAGACATGGGATCTTGCCATGTTGGCGAGGCTTGTCTCAAACTCCTGACATCAAGAGATCCATAAACATAAAGCATTCCAGGAAGACAATATTGCCTCTATGCCCTGCCTCATATCTCTTTTAAAACTCAGTTGATAAGCAATATTGTCTTCCTGGAATGCTTAATATTTACAAAACAACTATAGCACTATTATTTAGCCCCTTCAGATAAAATATGGTAACACAAAACATACATACACATACAAAGACACAGTCAGTGATCAAAAGATCAGTGTAGGCCAGGACCTAAAATGAAAGATGAGTTGCTGCAGTTGACTAGAATTAAAGCAGACCAGAGTTGACCCATATGCAGCCAAGAGATGTGAATAGAGGCTTTCAAAAGACTCTATCAGATACATGTTAGATAATTCCCCAGCCATAGCAAAGGGACATAAAAATCTGTTGTGTTTAGAAGAGTCTTGGTGGTTTGACATTTCCAGGGTATTGGCATTTATGATGTTGGCCTTTAATGCTCTCCACAGTACTCAAATCAGTAGATGACTCAGTTTTTCTAGGAGAGTAAAGTGGTTTTCAAAATTATCTAAAACTTAGTGGCTTAAAACAATAATTATAATTTATTAACTCTCAGTCTCTTCAATCTTCCAGAGTCTCTAAGCCAAATGATTGTGGTTCAGGGGCACTCAGGAGCATGCAATCTAGTGATGGCTCAGGATGGGGACATTGTCAAGTGCCTTCTCATCTACCTGGTGCTGTGGGTAGCATGACTCAAATAGCGGGGGCTGGACTGCTGAGGTCCTCTGGTGTCTCCTTCTATTTCAATGAGTCTTTCCATGGGACATCCCTTCTGCATAGTGTTATCAGGGTGTTAGACTTTGTGATGTACTGGTCCGGTGCTCCTGAGGGGTTTGTCCCCATGAAAGCAGGAGACTTAGGCAGAGCTGTGTCACCTTTTCTAACCTAGGCCAGAGGTGGCCCAATATCCAGAAAAAGCTTGCACTGTTTTCTATTCATTAGAAACAAGTACTGTGTTCAGTCACATCAGGAATATTTTCAAATGGGTTTGCGAAGAATTTCAAAGTGTGTTTTAGACCACTACAGTGGCCATGCCTAATAAATACTTATTTTTAGAAGCACTAGATGGGTTTTACCCAAAATAATAGCAGATATAGACTTTTAAACTTGAAATCTATGTATCATAGCTCCTAACATTTGGATATATGTTGAAATAACTCTCAAGCAAAAATTGATTTTGAAATGAGATCTATAAATAAATAAAATATATGAGATAAATTCATAAATATCTGGATCAAATGCTTATCTTGGTCAGCCTTAAAAATGTTATGAAGCCTAATATGCCACTCTTTTACTATTTCTATGGATATTACTTGGACAGGAGGAGAAGGAATCAGAGGACTGCTGGTCACTCTCTGCGAAACAGCGGCTGGAGCCCCAAAGATGTTCGAGTCTGCTATATCCCAGAAAACAAGATTGTCAAAGTTGTAAATATTCAGTGGCTATCTGTCCAGATTCAGAGTGAGCATAATGAATGACGGTACAGGTGTCAGTCATGGACACTATTCTTGGCATAAGGCAGAACTAGTTGGACATAAACTCTGAATCTAAGCTTGTCCACAAGCAATATACATCTAATCTCAAAACCTTTTAGCTGTGTATCATGGGGCTGGCTACTGTCTTGCCTATGTCAAAGGAATAGTATGATTTCACACACCCTACAATCCAGGGGGGCATAAGAAGAAAGACAGTGAGTTGGGCATTCATGGAATTGAGAAGCACCTGGAATCTCTGGTTGCACTGATAAGGAAATGAAATTTCCTACATAGGATGAGTTAAGGACAACAGAGAAAGATGGTTGTCTTCACCGACTTGCAGAAACCAACTCATAGTCAAGAAAAGTGGGGCTGGTGGTAGGGGGTACGGGGGCAGTGAGGGAGTGCAGTGGAGAGGAAAATATGTTCTGAGGTAAAGAACAAAAGAAATAAACAGAATTGGACTCTCATAAAATGAAAATATGTAATGTCCCTGTCAGGGAAATCAAAACAAAAAGCACTAAGATAGTAACAGAAGTCAGGAAAGCCATGCATTTAAAAACTGAGACGTTTAACAAAGAGGTAGAAAATAGTTCAAGGTATCAAACAAAAATCAAAGAAGTGAAAAATATAGGAACCTAAGTCAAAAATTAGATACAGGGGACAAACAGTAAACTGGATCGAGCAGAACAGAGGATAAGCAAAATTAAGCCAAGTGTTTGAAAATAATCAAAATGGAGGATAAAAATGAAAGAGAGAAATAAGGAATCATGAAGACAGCCTAAGGAACTTACGAAACAATATGAAGTGGGATGATAATATATGGAGTACTATAAGGAGAAGACAAAGATAAAAGGAGAGAAAAATAATTGACATTTTTTAAACAAATAAAAAATCAAAGGCTGGGCATGGTGGCTCATGCCTGTAATCCCAGTACTTTGGGAGGCCGAGGTGGGCAGATCACCTGAGGTCAGGAGTTTGAGACCAGCTAGGCCAATAAGTGAAACCCCATCTCTACTAAAAATACAAAAAGATTAACCAGGCTTGGTGGTGGGGGCCTGTAATCCCAGCTACTTGGGAGACAGAGAGGAGAATCACTTGAACCTAGAAGGCAGAGGTGGCAGTGGTCTGAGATTGCACCACTGCACTCCAGCCTGGGTTACAGATTAAGACTCCATCTCAATAAATAAATAAATAATAAAATAAACAACAACAACAAAAGGATAAAGATGACTGCTAGAGTCACTCAAGACTCACCTCCTCCACAAAGAATGTCCACAATAGCAAATAGATAACTATGCATTAATCGAACATCTTTGGGAGAATGCTAGAATTCAGCAGGGAAGTGACTGTGACTCTCTGAGGCATGAAAACTGGGGATGGCAGTAGTGTAGAGAGGGACCAAAGCAGCCAGCTGGAATTGGCTCAAAACCAAAAGGAGTTCTCCACTGTGGGAGAAAGAAAGACCACATTTGCAATCCTAGATGGAGAGAATCTCCTTGGCGCTGTGAGGACAGGTCCTAAGCCTAATACAGAGACCTGCCTGATGTCCACACAACTACAGTGTCCCAGAGAGGGAACTCATGCAAGACCCTGTGCCCACAGAGGCCCACACTGCTGGTGCATGGCCCAATATTCAGGGTGATATTGGGCAAAAGGCTGTCTAGAACCTACATCAGAGAGCCTTTTGCCCAGGGGTCCAATATCCCCTGCATCTCCAAAACCTGGGTCCTTGGTGACATGCCCTTTTGTCCACCCAGAGGCCTCAGTGTCACGATGTCAGCTGGATGCAGCATTGTGGCTGGGTCCATGGTAATGGAAATTATGCAGCATGCAATACCCCAGGGAATAGGCATTCCAGCATATTTGAGAGGCTGCTCCAAAACATAGGGAACAAAAATGTGTGATCCATAGGGCATGGGAAATACCTGCCTGCAGTTGCTGCCACTGAGGCACCAACTCCTCCTAACCCCTCAGCAGTAAGACAACCAGACACCAGTGAGTGTCATGTCAGCACCCACAACCCAGAACCTAAGCTGCTACTGCCACTATAGTCACCCACATGTACCACATGGAGGACCAAAGACTGGCCCACCCAGCCCACAGCCACCACAGTGGGGCCCTTCCATACTGCCTGGGACCGCTAGGACTTACCTGCCCAATGCAGCTGCCACAGCTGCTGTCTTCTGATGCTACCCAGGAGCCTGAGTACAGGCCTGAACAGTACACCAAACCCCAGCAAAGTCTCACCCCAGGCTCTTAAAATAACTACAACCTAGGTCATTAAGGCACTCTCATACATATCAGATATTGAGTATAGCTAAAGAAATAATAGGAAGATCATGCTATGTTTCTTACCCAGAAACAAAGTCAAAGTACTCTGCCCAATTAACATTATAGATGTGTGTACGGGGAATAGTTTTGTTCCAGTGCTTTCTTTTAAACTTCAAATAATTTTCTCACATGGATATGCAGATTAACAGCCAGCAGAACACCTGCAAGAACTCTTTTGCCTCTCTGGGGTTTTCTTTTTGTGTAAGTCTTCTTTTTTTTCAGGCATTTTGCTCTACAAATTCTAGTTTTCTAGGTATAGTTGAACTCTGATTTTAGTCTTCTCAGTCTAGTAAGACCCCCTAAGTTATGGCCTGGTAATAAGCAGGGTTCATCCTTATACTGTCTTTGTTCATCTTTTCCAAGAAATGATTGGTGCTGCCTATAATTGAATCTAGAAAAATATTTGTTTCATATTTCTGTCTAGTTTTATACTTATTTAACCTGGGAGGGTAAATATGGTCCCCATTACCCCATTAGAGTTAGTGGCATAACAGATGCCATGGAAGGTTTTCAGAAGTCATTTTTGAAGACACAGCACAAATTCTGTTGGCATAATGAGCTTAGATAAAATACAGCCAAGAAAATAATGTTAGGAGAAACCAGGCCCTACAGAAATCTTTTTAGGGAGTTATTATGCTCAGACTTAAAATAATAAAAAAAACAGACCAAAGGGTAAAATATACGTATTCTAACTTTAATCTAGGGTATTAAAATTATTCAGACAGTTGTGCAAATAAAATTCAAATATAGTTGAAACATTTGTATAAGCTTGTCTATATACTCCTTTCTGTGTGAAAAGAATAGACACAGATAAAAATTTCAGAAATAACATAAAAACTGGCTTATTATGTTTTCAAAAAAATCCACATTTATTTTATTGTATTTTACTTTTTTGAAACAAAGTCCAATTCTCTGGCGCACGCTGGAGTGCAATGGCGTGATATTGGCTGTCTGCAACTTCCACCTCCTGGAGGTGATTCTCCTGCCTCCTGAGTAGCTGGGACTACAGGCATAAGCCACCAGACCTGGCAGAGGTTTTGTATTTTTCATAAAGATGGGCTTTTGCCATGTTGGCCAGGCTGGTTTCATTTGAGATACAGCAGCCTCAGCCTCCCAAAGTGCTGGGATTACAGGCATAAGCAACCTTGCCTGGCAAAAAAAAAAAAAAAAAAAAAAAAAAAATGGAACCTTTTAAAATAAAATAGAGTACAAATTATTATGGACATTACCATTTTTATATCAGTCACTTGAAAAATGGCACTTCTCTCAAATGAGTATCATTTACAGGAATCAATTTTGCCAAATCAGAAAATGTGTTTTATTTCTGGGAATTCTAGGCATATTAGATGTTTTTGCTGGTTGCATTTAATGTGGGGAAAAGAACTAGACAGAGAAATTCTTTGACTTAATCCAGCTAGGCTATGGCTGCATAGGACAAACCTATAGCCTGATAAAATTGCATTGACTTGGTAGAGTAAGGTAGACCATACCTGTGTGGCAACTAAAGTAATAAAACTAGGTACTGTAGGATTTATGGGAAAGGTGGTGAATAGATATTTAAACACAGCAGGTTTTAGGTGGTGAATAGATATTTACCTAAATAGGTTCAAGGTAAAGTACACCGATGTATGAAAGGCCAAAACATCGTGTTTATACTGTGAGAGAATACAGTGTCTTTATTCCTTGTAGATCACAAGTTGACATTTGTGTGGAAATTTGAGTGCAAATGCCTGTTACTTGAAGCTATGCACCTAGGCTGGAAATCAGTTTTTCTTCTGTGGAAAGTGACATAAATCAGCCGGACAAAAGTGCTAAGTTTTCTCTTCACTGATAACATTTCAAATAGCAAATACTCTGTTTACAAGTTTAGAACATAAAGTTTCTCATTGAGTAAGAAAGCAGAAATCATTCAGAGATGATAATTTTTGTGACCCTTTATAGCTGCAACCAGACTTCGGCAGAAATATTGATTTCCATGAAGTCAGGAGATGGCTTTTGAGTTCTTCTCCCCTCAGCAGGATGGATTAAGTTGGTAGATTTTAACCTTCTCAGCTTTGTTTTATTTTCTGACCTGTTTAGAATTTACTTATCTCAGCATTATTCCTATTTCCAGTAACAAAGCTGAACTTGCTTGTTTATACTATATACAATTTGAAGTAAAGAAAACTACTACATTAGCTTCTACGTTTCAAAGTAAAATTAAGTAAAATTTGGTCATTTTTACTACCGTGAGTGTCCGTATACTTTTACTGCATTTGTATGTAATTTAATGTAAGTAGTTTAAATTTAACATTAGTATTAATGGTCTTGACTATGGGTGCCCTTTTTTCTATTGGCCCTTTTTTGTGCACACTTAGGTGATTTCTTACATTTTGGTATTAAATACTGTTTCAGATAACTTTCTTCTGCGTCCCTACTTTCCTAATGTACAAGGAAATTTGTCAGTAGGGATTTTATATTGATAGTCATGCAGCAACACACATGTACACTTGTACATGTTTAATATAAACAGACCAGTTAGATAATATAAATTGCAAAATAAAACAAGTACATATTGCCCAGTTCTCAAATGAAGAAACCAGTCTTCATGGCAAAATCTTTAGTATGAAGTCATTTGCCACTCTACAAAATAAACAAAGGTCGGTAGCTGTGGTTCAAGCTTGTAACCCAGCACTTTTGGAGGCCGAGAAAGTCAGATCACTTTAGGCTAGGACTTCAAGACCAGCCTGGCCAACACCAGGAAACCCTGTCTCTACCAAAAATAGAAAATTACCCAGACATGGTGGTGCATGCCTGTAGTACCTTAACTTGGGAGGCTGAGGCGTGACAATTGTTTGAACCCAGGAGGCTGAGTCTACAGTGAGCTGAGACTGCACCATGTACCCTAGCCTGGGTGACAGAGTGAGTCTTCAACTCAAAAATAAATATGAAAATAAACAAATAAATAAATAATAGGGCATCCTTCACTTCAGGCAGTTATCATTTCTCTCTCTCTCTCTTTTTTTTTTTTGAGACAGTGTCTCACTCTGTTGTCCACACTGGATTGCATTGGTATCATCATAGCTCACTGCAGGCTTGAACTCCTGGGTTCAAATGCTCATGCATCCCATTTCAGCTTCCTGAGTAGCTGGAATTACAGGCACCCACAACCATGTGCAGCATGTGTGTGTGTGTGTGTGTGTGTGTTCTTTTTGTTTGTGAACTATATTTTCTTTTGAATCACATCTTTTTATAACACAACCTTTCTATTCATTATTTCAGTTAATCTCTGGTTCAACTGCAGTGTGCTTTTATATTAACTTTTTTTTTTCATGGGGTAGCATGGTTTACACTTTACAAGCTCTGGTATATGTAAAGTTGTCTTTCCACTAATTTTCCATGAGTTTGAAAATTTAGGTGTAAGAAATTTTGGGTCATGCCATATTTTTTACCAAGAATTCTTTAGACATTGCCAACTATTCTGGAGTTTTGTTTATAGAACAGACATTAGAGGCCAATTTGACCAGTGACTTCTATTCAGGAAAATTCTTAATTTTTTTTTGTTATAAGATTTTTTAACACATTAACTTCAAAAATTTGACCAGGATAAGCTCAGTGCCTCTCCCAGTTTATATAAGTGAGGTTAACACAAGAACATTGTGTACTGTGCTGTTTGTTTATGCCATTAATTTACCTTGCTGAATGATCACTACCTGTTGACCTGCCTGCCTCCTTGCCTCCTCATAGACTCCACTTACCTCTTTAGCCACATTAATGTTGGCTTTTTAAATGCTGTATCTTTAGCATGTTGCACAGTACTTGATAAAGCATAACTCTCAATAAATATCTGTTGAGGAAATGAGTAAGCCAGCAAATATAAACCTTTCATAAAATTCCAGAATTTGACACCATTCCTGTAAGTGAAGTTGAATGCAATCCATGGGATAGACATGTTTAGGAATGAGAATTAAGAGTCTATATATTTTTAGATAGAAAATTGAGGGAAGATTAAAATATTGGTATGAAAATTAAAAACATTATTTGATAATGTTATTTAATAATATTTGATAACACATTTTCAAATACTATTAATGAATTCAAGTCGGCTTATCTTTAGTGCATCTATTGGCTTTTTCATGGAGGTTTACTTCATTATGGTAACTTTTAGTGACTTCTGATGCTGTGATTATTTCTAGTGGGCACTGTCTTTTCTGGGAGCACTCTGCATTTTGGATGCTAGTACAGACACGCATTTCAATTTACCTCTGAGAGGAGGCAAAATTTACTGTCAATGAAGTAGATGCCCATCTATAAAGTAAAAATTCTAATTTGCATGTGGGTGAGCTTGTGTTCCAATTGCTGACAGGCCACTCCCTCCCCCACCACCCCTGAGTGATATGCAGAAGGAATGTTGCCAATGCCATTCTCCAGGAGAATAACCAGATCATGTCTCACAGTTTCTGAGTTTATATGGAGGTTTTGTACCTTTCAAGTTATGAGAGCCTCATCTTGCACCCTTAGTTGGGAATCAGAACTAATGATCTCACCCTGCACAGTATAAATCTGTGTTGGAAAACAGTAAGCCCACCTTGGCTTCAGCTCTAGCTTACTGCATGAGCTTTCTGATCTTGCTTCGTATCCCACATGTGATTTTTT
The DNA here is from genome assembly GCF_000001405.40 of Homo sapiens. Classification (NCBI taxonomy): domain Eukaryota; kingdom Metazoa; phylum Chordata; class Mammalia; order Primates; family Hominidae; genus Homo; species Homo sapiens. The sequence continues at coordinate 10,006,227 of NC_000024.10, read as the reverse complement.
TGAGTTCCATTGTTAATATTTAATAGTTTTCATTTACACGGAATTCCTGTGTTTTTGGAGGAAAAGTTCACTCTGCCATGTCAACTGGATGTCTTTATATTTCCAGGGTCTTCCCAAATCCATGGGCCATGGTTGTGTCTCCTGAATTAACCACTTAATAAATGAATAAAGCAGATGTGAATATCCTATGAGAGTCACAATGCTGATGTTCACTGAGAGGGTGGACAATGGACCCCAAAACATTTCAGGAAAAATAATAAGAAATAATGGGAAAGGGGAGAGTATAAAACAGTAGGCAATCTAAAACTAAGGAATAATTTCTGTGACTTGCAAATGCTGCCTGAGACCTGATTTCTGTAGGAAAGTATTTTTAAAGTCACCATAATGACCTTAGTTTTGCCATGCTGATACTTTACTTATTTCATTTTATTAAGGTTCTGTAGCTCTTCACTAAATACGTGCTATAAAACTTCTGCCCAAACAAAGGAAGATGTCATCAAAAATAAACAGTTTGGAATAGTGGAAATACCATCTAATGCAAATTTCTGGTAGCAAATTCCTTTCTGTAATACCCCTGGCTTGAAAATTTGGATCATACTACAGATGAGTTTTTTTTGTTTTGTTTTGTTTTGTTTTGTTTTTTTTTTTTTTTGGCAATTATGTTAGTTTTCTCCCAAATAGGAACTTTGTGTTGATTGCTTTCCAGACATGCTCCCCCTGGCTAATTCTTACAAAAATGTCTTTCATTTTTCAAATTAAAAAATAGAACAGATTTCTCAGTGTATTTATTTTGCATTTGATTAAAAAAATAGTTTAACTAACTAGGACATGGATTCCATACTCTCAGCCGCTGTGGTAACAGAGCTTTTTTTTTTTTCATCTGCATTTGCTGAATATAGTATGAACTTGATAGGAAAGTAGATTATAAAGATAAATGTAAGAAGCATTATGTTATATCCCCAACCAGTTCCAAATGTGCCTTTAGACCTATTATATCCCATAAACACCAGGACAACTACACCAGCTGCTCTCTACTCTTCCAGGGCATGATGTTTCTTCTTCTGGCACCAGCCAGTACTCTCAAAGGAAAGAAGCTCTCACAAGTCTGAAGTAAGCAGGTGGAGCTTTCACCAGTGCTACAGATAGAACAGTAGGTCCTGATAGTCAGGTGGAACTTTCACCAGTGCTATGGATAAAACACTAGGACCTGATAGTTCTCCGCTGACAGAGTGTTTCCATTAAAAAAAAAAAAAACCTAAAGTATAAAAGACATGAAATTCAGACATTAAAAACAGTTCATTGGATATTAAAAATTGTAGTTTTCTGATATTTTGTAACAGTTATATCTATTTCTCTTGGCAATGTTTCATTCAGTGTGAGTGAAAACAAAGAGACTTAACCCCCTAGATAGACTGAATAATACAAGGCTTACTTCCATTAGTATGTACACTTTCTTTTGTGTTATTGCATTTTTGTACAAAGCAATAACGCAAAAGAAAATTGTGTTATTGCATTGGACAACATGCACTGTACAAAATGTGTTGTGCAAAATTATGTACATTGTGTTAGCTTATGTTAAAATCAGAAACACTATTCAAGTACCATTAAAAATATGAGATTTATATTATTATTTATTTTATGGGTTTTGTTATATTTTATCAAATGGTGAGATTAGACATTTTCTTTCTCTTCATAAAAACGTAAGACTACACTGTCAAAGAAAGAAGACAGAAATCAAAATATCTAAATTGTCTCAGTGGAAACAATGGACTTTGGCCATGGAGGAACAAAGGATAGTGATAGTGACCTCCTCTTGAACAGCCGTTAACTGTGTAAGTTTGGGCCCTTCGATTGTTCTTTGTTAGTATCATTATCATAGTACTTGTAAACAAAAGCAGAATTAAAAATGTGGCAAAGAAGTATTTGAGATATGATACATCCTATTGGTGAGAGCAAGATGATGAAATGAAAATGTTACTAAATTAAAATGAGCAGAGGAAAGATGGGAATACAAAGAAGTATCACCAAATTGCACACATACTGCAGAAAGAGCTCAAATAATGCTTCAGAGTAATTCTACACATAATATACTCTTTGACTAGAACAACATGTCCTTAAGAGCTAACCTTAAGTAGGGAGGGCACTAACAATACTTTTGTGGGGAAAGCAGAAATTTAGATGCATTTACAGAGTGTGTTATGGGTTATATGCGACTACCCTTCACTACTCGATCTCTCTCTCTGTTTTTTTATGATGACTTTTTTAGCGATTTTAATATTGCTCCCCTACCAATTACCTAATCATGTAACATTAGTTTCTAGCATGCACTTTAGCTGCCAGAAGGAGAGATGACTCTGGTAAGGGGGCATAGCTAGTTTATTTGTGATCTATCACTGAGTAACAAATTATAGCAAAACTTAGTGGCTTTAAAAAACACCATTAATTATTTCACAGTTTCTGTGGGTCTGAAAACTGGGCACAGTTATCAGGGTATGTCTGGCTCAAGGCTTCTCACGAAATTACACTCAAGGTGTTAGCGAGGATTTCAGTCATTTTAAAACACGTGGGGAAAGATGTGCTTCCAAGCTTGTTCACCTGACTGTTGGCAGGATTTAGTTCTTCATGGGCTGTTGGGCTAAGGACTTCAGTTCCTAACTGGCTATTAAGTAAAGGTGGTCTCCACTGTATTGACACATGAGTGTGCTCATTATGAAACTCAAACATGAGCCAGCTGTCTAGGAAACAGCTTGGACAGGGGATGGGTGAGGTGGTCCACGTTTGGGCTTCCATAGGTGACATGTATAGGCAAGGTACTTCAACATATTAGTAAAATAAATCATTAAGGGGACCCTGCATGGTGGCTTATTCCTATAATTCCAGCACTTTGAGAGGTCAAAGCAGAAAGATTGCTTGAGACCAGGAGTCTGAGAGTAGCCTGGGCAACATAGCAAGACCCATCTCTACAATAAGTACATAAATAAAATATTCACTTTGCATGGTAGCGTGCATCTGTTGTTCCAGCCACATGGGAGGCTGAGGTGGGAGGACTACTTGAGCCCAGGATTTCAGGACTGCATGGAGCTATAACCATGCCACTGCACTCCAGCCTGGGCAACAGAGTGAGACCCTATATCAGGAAACAAAATAGTTAAGAGAAAACAGTGAAAGATGATGGCTGAACTAAAGTGTAAGAGAAGGTCTTTGGAAACTAGGAATTTCAGGAACTGCTATTATTTAGTGGGCCTTTGTGTGAATGTTAAAGTCTCTGTAATCATTGTCAGGAATTGGAATGGACAGGAAGATTGTGAGAACAATGGGAATGGGTTGTAAATTTAGGAAAGTGTACTTGATATGATATTAGAAAGGGAGGAAGAAGAATCTGTGACCTCACTCAGGCCTTGCAGTATATGGAGTGTGAGGGAATAAGTGGCCTCTGCTTGGGTGGGCTGCAAGAGAAGTAGTGACCTCTATGGAGAACCTGTGTTATTTCAGGCACAAAGGTTGAAGGTTATTAATTGAGGTTGTTGTGCATACAGACAAGTTTCTTTATCATAAAGTATTAACTCTAGAATTGCCCAAACTCCCTTTTAAACTGGCCTACTTGATAAAATGTTATAGTAAATCTTCTTCCTTCTATATATCACTTGTCCTGTATCTCATATACCCCCCTCTTTTATTTCAGGCTTGTTTTCTGGGGGAACTCAAGCTAGGACAAAGGGAAAGGCAAACGTGATACTGTTTATTCAAAGGGGTTTGTGTGTGCACATGTAATATACATGATGTACACCAGAGAATGTTAGAAAATTATAATCAAACAAAAATTAAGATATGAATTATTGTATTTCTAGTAATCACCATCATTATCATCACCATCATCATTGTTGCTCTCTTAAATTCACTGCAGGGTGACAAGCCATATGATTTATTCTGGAATGCTTAGAGGAGGAGGCCCAGGCCAGATTGCAGGAGAGAAGCAGGATGTTTTTCTTTACACAATTAACACTGATTTTATTAAGAAGACTAAATGTGTTTTTCCCTTTAAATTTACATATTCTGTTCAGAAATCCTTAAGATTACTAGAAGTTTTCAAAGATATAGCAATGACCTTCTATACAAAAAGTTGATAATTATATGTTTTTATTAGCAATGAGAAAATGTTGAAAAAGATAACAATGAGTAGATAATTTATAATCAGGAGAAAATTACAGTTCTGAGAATGTATTAGATTCCTAGAGCTACCATAAAAAAATTACCACATTTCGAGTGGCTTTTTTTTTTTTTTTTTTTTTTTGAGGGGGAGTCTTGCTCTGTAGCCCAGGCCTGACAGCAGTCGTGCTATCTGGGCTCACTGCAAGCTCTGCCTCCCGGGTTCAAGCCATTCTCCTGCCTCAGCCTCCAGAGTAGCTGGGACTATAGGCACCTGCGACCGTGCCCGGCTAATTTTTTGTGTTTTTAGTAGAGACGTGGTTTCACCATGTTAGCCAGGATGGTCTTGATCTCCTGACCTGGTGATGTGCCCACCTCTGCCTCCCAAAGTGCTGGGATTACAGGTGTGAGCCACCACATGTGGCCTCGAATGGCTTTTAAAAACATAATTTTTTTTCCTGCATTCTGGAAACTAAGAATCTGAAGTCAATATGTTGCCGGACCTCTGAGATTTCTGGAGGAGAATTCTTCCTTGCCATTCCCAGCTTCTGGTTGTTGCCAGTAATCCTTGATATTCATCAGCTTGTAGCTACATCGCTTCAGCATCTACCTGTCTTCACATGGCTGTCTTCCCTCAGTGTGTGTCTCTGTGTCTCTAAATCTCTCTTTCTTTATAATGATACAAGATATTGAATTTAGGGCATACCCTAATCTAGTGTGACCTTACCTTAACTTGATTATATTTGAAAAATTTATATTTGCAAATAAATTTACAGTCACATGTCCCGTGGTTATCATTTCAACATTTTTTTTCTAGAAAAGTCAACCAACCAAAAGGGTTATTATAAAATAAGTATTGGAATTTTGACGCTAATTCCAGAAACCAAAGCTTCTACTAAAACAAGTAAATAAAGATGAGTTAGCAAGGTAACAAATACATTACTCAGGTAAACCGCCAAATCTCAGGACCTGGAAGCAGTCATGAGATTTGGCAGTTTACCTAAGTAAATAATTCCAAAGAAATTATATCCCTAACCACAATTAAGATAGTTCTTAGATTAGGCATATCCTTAGTCCTGCTGATGTTGTAGCTTTGCTTTGCTCTTCCCAATTACTGGAGTTGAGAATACCTTAGGGGCCTTATCCATTAAGGAAAACAAAAATAAAGGGGACAGTATATCAGAGTTGTTTTCCTACTTCCAGTGACTGGATTTTGAGCTTCCCCACTATCTCAGGGTTCTCTGAGGTGGAGTGCTTAGCATCCAAACAACGTGCAAATGCATACTGGGAAACACTAAGCTTCTTTCTTACTGGAAACACCACAGGGAAGAACAAAAGAGAGTTTCTCTATATTTTGCTACAAAGGATACGTGAAAGCAAAGAGATTTTGCTCCACTCTCACAGCCTTCAGCACTGCAAATAAGTGCTATCATGCAGACCAGCTCTCAGTTCTAAAACACAGGACGCTCTAGGAGACTGGCTATCTACAGAAAGTACAAAAGTTGTAAGTCTTTTTACATGGCCTCTTTAAACACACATTAGATTTGTTGTTGTTGTTTGTTTCTTAAGGCCACCGTGTTTTATTAATTTTATACCATTCTGAGCAATAATTTTCAAGGAAATATGAATATGGAGTTCTCTTAGTTTAATATTTATGTTACACCCACAAAAAATTCCAAATTGCAGATATTTTACACCTTAAAGCTCTTTGTCACCTTTGATAATGGTTTTCCCACTTTATATATAATATTTATTATTGTTAAAAAATTAAGCCTGATTAATTTTAGGGCCAAGAATGAAATCTATTATTAGAATTTGAATCATTTATATGAATATATGACACAATCCTTTTGTATTTTTCTTTACCCCATCCTACGGACTCACTTTATTCTCTTCATTTGCATTACTGTAGTCTTCCTCCAAAACCAAGTAAGTTTACAAATGGATCAAAAATTGTTTTTGGTTTTTATTTCCTCACAGGTGTTTTTAGTTCCATTCTTTCTTCATTAGTTCATTTTGTCAACATTCATTGTCACAAACTATGTAATTGTCACATTGTACTTTATGCCATTTTTCAACTGACTCCCCATCTTCTAATACACAAACCTGAAATTTATATTTGCTTTAAAACCTGCTACTTGTCCCCCCAGTACTCACCATTATTGAATTAGTTATTAATACTTTTGGTTTATGCATGTTTACCTTCCGTTACACCGACTTGTTTTCAAAGACCCCGTTCAGAGCACATTTCTCAAATAATTTCTGAACCTAAATACGAAAGTTCCTTCAAAATAATTCCTGTTGACAAGTTTGCCTTTTCTGTATGAGCTTTAGTTTCTTCATCTGTAAAATGAGTGATTAGATCTTTACTATTCGAGTCTACTACATATTTTGTGGCCTCTTAAGGTTGACACAAGCCCTATTTGCTAAGTGCTACTATAAATTAATATTGCAAAAATCAGTTAGAAATTACATATGATATAATAATATACTTAATCATATTTGATAATGTTACTTAAGTAATCCAAGTGAAAAGATAATGTGAAGATAAACTTAATAAGTAAGAATACATAATTTTTCCAAAAAAATACATTTGAAGACATTTGCTTACACCCTTTGACCTCGTATGTTGCTGGCCAGCAGCTAAGGGTATGTTATTCAATTTGAATTTCAATGTAAAAACAACTCAATAATTTTTATTGTTTGTAATTGATGAGTGATGGGCAATATTATTTTTAGAGCCAAATGGAAAAACAGCATCTGGTTAGACAGAATCCAGACCAAAAAAAAAAAAAAAAAAAACACACACAAAAGTTCTAATGTGTAAAAGAAGAAAATCTACAAAATGTGTTTTCTTTTTCCTTCTCTTTCCTTCTATTGCTATGTGAACAAAGGGAATCAGAGGATCTTGGAGCAGAGGAGCAAAGGGGAAAGGTCCAGATATTTGGGTTGATAAGAATATGTGTAATGCTAAAAATACAATGAACAAATAAACATTGAAAATATCCATTATTAGCATAATTGTTGCAATAAATACTTAAAATAAGTATTCATAATGCAGAAACTTTTTCAGCATCTGAACTAAATACAATATATTGTATCTTATGATAATCTGAGACCAGAGGGTCAGCCCAAAGGTGACTCTAGTGTCAGTGTAGAAATTAATAGTAATAAATATCCAATCCATGCTTAAGTATATGAATTAGGTCTGATTCAAGCTAACAGAGGAGAAAAAGTGAGGGAAAATATTCAATTCTACTTATTTACTAAAGAGAGATCTTCCTAAATAAGATTTACCTGCTTAACTTGTAATATTGCTTAAGTTTGATTGTTTAATTAAAATACTAATTTTTAAATAAGAAAGACGGGGGTAACTAATATCTTGTATGTCAGACACATCTCTAACCCTTAAGTTTTGCTATTCACATAGTGTGATGTGACCACTGTTGAAAGTAAGCAAGTTTATTCATTCATTAAATCAATCTTATTGAATCAACAAAAATGTATTGTTTATCTAGGTGTTGTCAGAGTTAAATCTTGAAGCATAAATAAACAATGTTTATTTATTAACATGCATGGTATTCTACTGGTCATTATGACTGTATCTGCCTATGTGACAGCTTACAATTTTCCAGACTTATGGTATTATGGGCTGATTTCCCAAGCCCCAACCCATTCATATTAAAGTCCTAAAACCATTACATCAGAATGTTACTGTATTTGGCTATAAGGGCTTTAAAAATGTAATTATGTTAAACGAAAGCAATTGGATATGGCATTATTCCAGTCTCGCTGGTGGCCTTATAAGAGGAGGACATTTTGACACGCAAGGGTACACCAGGAATGCCTGAGCACAGAGAAAAGACCATGTAAACACGAAAAGGGTGGGCCCCCATCTGTAAGCCAAGGACAGAGGTCTCAGAAAAAAATCAAAGGTGATGACATCTTGACTTGGACTTCCAGTCTCCAGAAATATGAGACAATAAATTTCTGTGTGTGTGGTTTTTTGTTTGTTTGTTTGATAATGTTACCAAGTGTCACCAAGAAGTGTGTGATGTTTTGCTATGGCACTAACCCACATAGGTCAAGGGCTGAAGAAAGCTAAAGGAATTTCTTCAAAAATCTTTCCATTTACAACATTATATTGCTGGGGCTTTTAGCTCTAGGGAATAACAGAATGAGTTTGTGTTTCAGATATTTGGTGACTCATTATACTACAGTAATATGCTACCAAGGAAGGCATTTCCACTGGCTTTCCTCTACTCTGCCTTCTGGACTTCAGTTTTGTTTTCACCAGATTGATTTTCCAGGCACTACATAGGATCTCTTCGGGCAGCCAAATCAGTGGTTATCAGAGTCGAGAACTAAGTTTGTTGAACTTCATTCAGACCGTTTCAGTGAGTTAGCCATCCACCAGCTGCTATGGGCTGTCCGGGGCCAGGAACCAGCTAAGCTGACCCAGCACTGGTGAAGTCCAGACAATGAGACCTCCTGAGGTTTTGATGGCAGACACCTTAGTCTCTTCACTCGAGTTCCAGCCCTATTGATGCCACGCTCCTCCCAAGCATTTCTTGACATTGCTTCAGAGCATTTATAGTTTTGTGGGAAGGACACAGGAGATAGTTACAGGAGATTAGAAAAATGTATTAGCTTTGAAAATAAGTACTAAATGCATGATCGAAGTGAATTCTTCATGAGTTCAGGACATAGATTGCTTTGCCTCAATGCTATAAATAGAGCTTCAGAGAGAATGGGAAGCTTGGATGATGTATAAAATTTTCACAATGACTGGAAGCTGTTATCTTCAAATCAAACAATTTAAAAGGACAGAAAATAAGTATTATATATAATTTAGAAGCTTCAGAGAAAACATGAGTGAGAAGTCTGGCTATGCCAGTTACCAACTGTGTAGCATGGAGCAAATTACAAACTCTCTCAACTTCTATTTCCTCATGTGGTTGTTTAAATGATTAGAAATAACCTGTATAAAATGACTTACTTTTTGCCAGGCAGATGGCCTGAACTCACTAAATGGTTGTACACTTGTTAACATTGTTTAATGATTAATGCCAGTCTAACCATGATCATCTCAGCCATCCTTATTTTATCACTCCTATGAGTGAAGGATGTCAGAAATCAAAATAGACCTCAGCAATGATTTAGTCCAGTCTGCTCATTTTCTGGAGAAAATGAATGCCCAGAGAAATTAAAGGACTTGGCCTAGGATACAGAGCCAGTTGGCAGCAGAGACAGCATCAGCCACAAAACATACAATTTTTTTACTCTGGATCAGAATACTTTTCATTTTAGATTCCTTTACTGAAAGCAGTACACATATCTTAAGTATGTATTTTTAAAACCGTACGAATTACATATGAAATGTGAATGAACTGAAGTAGATGGAAAGACATTAAATCTAAGTGTTGTGGTAGTGCTACAAATTTACGCATAGAACAACTGTGATGTAGCAGTACTTGAAAGTTGTTGGGTGTGATTTATCAACCTAATCTTCCTCACAAGCCCTGACCCTGACAAATTTATGGTGGAGGTTTGAAGTGGCTAATTAATAGTATCTAACACTGTTGTTTATTTGTTTTTGTTTTTGTTTTTCAGGAAAGAGCTTTGTTTTACAGAGTGCCCCTTATAAGTTCCAAAGTAGCAAATGAGAATGTCAGGAGGGTCACAAATGGAACACTTGCCCTTTAAAAAGTGGAAAAGAGATGGGAGGCTCCTGGCGTGACCTTTGTGCACCTGATTTCACCCAGATCTTTACTGTAGGATTTCTGGATCATTTCTGAAATTCTCATGCTCTGTTCTGAGTGACAGCATAAATTTGTGACTTGTTGTATTGGATGATTCAGGAGTTAGTTGTGCTCTTCTTTTATTTTCAAAAGTTTGAAAATAAATACATAAATAAATAAACCTTCTATTAGATGCCCAACGAGGCTGTTTATACTGTGGCTTCAGCACCATGACTACCTTATCTCTTGTCAGGGTAGCCCTGGGAATGCCTCCTAGCACTGCGCTGAGTTCTCTTCCATCTCTTCCAGGAGACACGGGAGCACAGTGGAGTCCTATCTTTGGCCCCCCACATAAGAGCATCTCTGAAACTTATCTCAGCATTCTCTCTCTGCTTAACAATGCCATACCCTTATTTTACTTTTTCTGTGCCATAGGTGACCTATGTTGCCACAAACACCACATGGTGAAGTTCTTTTTTAGCGATCAAATCGCAAGGGGGCAAAACTTTCCTTTAACTCCATACCTCTGCCTCTGGGATTTCAGAAGGGCAGGAAAAACCTATGCTCCTTATGTTTTACTCTTTTTTTTTTCCTTTATTTTTGCATGTTTCACTCATTTGCCCAGGCTGGAGTACAATGGGACAATCTCAGTTCACCACAACCTCTGCTTCCTGGGTTCAAGAGATTCTCCTGCCTCAGTCTATGGAGTTATCTGCGATTACAGACATGCACCACAATGCCCAGGTAATTTTGTATTTTCCGTAGAGATGGTGTTTCTCCATGTTGGATAGGCTGGTCTCGAACTCCAGAACTCAGGTACTCCACCCACCTAGACTCGCAATGTGCTGGGATTACAGGCATGAGCCACTGCACCTGGCCTGGGATTTGTGGAAAATTTTCTATCTTCCTACGGATTCCTAGGCCATCAAGTTATTCTGGGGTCTTTTATGCATGCACCAAGAGTGGCAAGACAGAGTGAAGAAAAGAAATTTTGACTGAGAAAAAAGCCTTTTTTAGGAAAACAAGATTTATGAAGAGAAAATGATAAATGACTTTTGAATATACTTATAGCTTAGATATCCATTTTAATTAAGCTGAGCACTCTTTTTTTTTAAGGGTAAGGGTGGAGATAGAATTATATATATGGTATGCCAAGTTAAAGGCCTGGGTTATGTGCAGGAATTTCCTGTGCTAATGAGAGGGTTTTTTTTTTCTTTTGAGGAATTTTACTATTATTATTATTATTATACTTTAAGTTGTAGGGTACATGTGCACAATGTGCAGGTTAGTTACATATGTATACATGTGCCATGTTGGTGTGCTGCACCCATTAACTCGTCATTTAGCATTAGGTATATCTCCTAATGCTATCCCTCCCCCCTCCTCCCACCCCACAACAGTCCCCAGAGTGTGATGTTCCCCTTCCTGTGTCCATGTGTTCTCATTGTTCAATTCACACCTATGAGTGAGAACATGCGGTGTTTGGTTTTTTGTCCTTGCGATAGTTTACTGAGAATGATGATTTCCGATTTCATCCATGTCCCTACAAAGGACATGAACTCATCATTTTTTGTGGCTGCATAGTATTCCATGGTGTATATGTGCCACATTTTCTTAATCCAGTCTATCATTGTTGAGAGGGATTTTTAGAGAAAAATCCCAGAAGCCGTTCGATTTGCCACAAATTAGACATGGAGAAGGGGGCATGAATGCAAGGACTGCCTTTAACCCTAGCCACTTCCTGGAGAGGGAGAATGGCAGAGAAGATTTAACTGGTTGGAGTAGTTTTTGAACAGGTAGAAAAGGAGGAGGGGTGAGGTTGACTGTAGCAGAAAGCCTGAATCTGAGGAAACCTCTTGTCATTTGTCATTTCTAGTAATAAAGTTGTTAAATCTCTGTTGAAGTAGAAAATTAAATACTTCGGCTTTAAGGTCTGCCATAAGCCAAGCTTGGCTAGGTTGTGAATACAGCAGTCCAGTGGGGAGGATGTAGGGATATGAGATTGTTTGGCACCCATGTGGACTGGTAAGTGGAAGCTAGGTGTGTCTGTTTTGTTCTAGGCATCCCCAGACAAAAGACAGAGACCGAGAGTCCTCCTTCCAAAATAGTATCCTTAAGCTGAGAAGGAACTGGGTGCCAAGATTTCCTCTAGCTCAGCCCCATTAGTCCCATTGGACCTCCCAAGACCTGGACGGCAGGCCCGACTTTCTCCAGCAAGGGCAGAAAGCCAGGAGAAGGCAGATGTCACCAGTCATCCGAATTAGTATCTGATATTGGATTTTCTGGATGGAATTGGCAAAGGCCCTCCCAGATTGTAGCCATTTCAGGAAGAGAGAGAGAGAGAGAGAGAGATGGAGAGAGAGAGAGAGAGAAAGACAGAGAGAAAGAAGACGAAGAGGTTGCGAGGGAGGGTTAGGGAACAAAATACTCATTGCAGGTGGTCAGAAGTGGATTCCTGAGACCTGAGTGTTTTGAGAGCCCACTGGGGAGTAGCCTCAGCCTGGCCCTCACAGTCCCTTCAAGTTAGTTGTCCTCCTCACACAAATCACTTGAAAAGTGAAGTGAGAGAAAAGATGGGGCATGTGGCCAGAGACCTTTAGGATACAGGAGTTAACTCAGGATGAGCTACCATTGCTCACTGCTTCCTGGGTTGCAAGAAAGCCTCTGCTCCCAACACCAGTCAAAGGTTTTGGCATCAAACCTAGGAACTGAAGAAAGAGGAAAGAAACAAGAAAGGTGGCTTGACGGTGAAGGACAGGTTTATTTTAAAGAAAACAAATATGAGAGGTTTTTCTGGCTGAGTGAGTTAAAGGGACAGTTTCTTACACACTAACAGTTTCTAAGGATTCAGGGTGGAAGAGTATGTCAGAGGCTTGGACTACGTCTCTGTCTCTTTGTTGTGCTTATCTGGGAGTGAGAGTTGTGTGTGTTCCCATACATCTTCCTGCAGCTGCAGCATATGCCCTGAGACTGCTACCTGATATCATCTCTCTCAAGTTCAAAGTTTCACAAATCTGCAGGGCAGGGGCAATATGCTGCCAGTCTCTTTGCTAAAATATAACAAGAGTCACCTTTCCTGCAGCTCCCAACAAGTTTTTCCTCTCCATCTCAGACCACCTCAGCCTGGACATATTGTTCATATCACTATCAGTATTTTTGTCAAAGCCATTCAACAAATCTCTAGGAAGTTCCAAACTCTTCCATATTTTCTTTCTTTTTCTGAGCTTTCCAAACTGTTCCAGTATCTGCCTGTTACCCAGTTTCAAAGTCGCTTCCACATTTGCAGGTATCTTTTCGGCAGCACCCCACTCCTCATAACAATTCATTGTATTAGTCTGTTTTCATGCTGCTGATAAAAGACCAATGCTTATTGAAAACTTTAATTAATACATGAGTATATAATAAAACAGCCAAAGTTATTCACTTACCATTTTTAATTGCTCTCCCAGAGGGCATAACTGAGAAGTCATTATGTAAACTTTCATGATATTTATTTGAATATACATTGACACATTCATACAAATGTACATGAATATATAAATATATATTTCTAAGCAAAAACTGTATCATAGAATACATATTATTGTTAAATGAAAGTTTTAAAGTCAATAATTTTATAAATATGTTTATTCTTAAATTATTTTAAAATTAAATTATTAGAATAAGTAACATATATATTATATTATATAATAATTATTGAAATATTCTCTTTTCTTTCACTGCTGAATGGAGAATAAAAGCAAAAACCAAAACCTAGGCATGGTTCAGAGGAAATTGTGTTAAGTTTTAATTTGAGATTTATTTTATATTCTAGCATTTATCCGTTTGTCATCTAAGTTGACAAATATGAGATGGGGATGGCAAGATACCAATCCAGTTGGTTTCTGATAACCTGTCATGATAACTTTATTTGATTCTGTAGTAAAGGTTGCCGGTACAATAGTGGTAGGGATAATAGCAACAGTGGAATCAGTGAGTTCTGCTTCATTAAAATATAATTGTAGTTTCAAATGAGACAGAAGTTAACTTTTCTCTTATATACAATTCTAAGCTGATGTGGTTGCTGTAATCCTCAACGTTTTTAGAGACCTATGTTCCCTCTATTTTGTTGTTCTGCTCTCCTCAACAGACAACATCTTATGGTGCAAGAAGGCTGTTCCAACTCCTGTAGTCATGACCACATTCTAGCCAGCCAGCCAGATGATTTATAAGGACAATGGAATGACAGTTCCCTCCTTTGAAAGGCACAGCCCAGAAGTTGCACAAACCTATTCTGATGTATTGCACCACACAGAAATTTATAACATGGTTATGTCTGACCTCAGGCAAAGCAGGAATATAATGTATTGATCTGTGCAGTTATACAATAAGCCAAAAATTCTGTTGTATAAAAAAATAAGAATGGACATGGGGGAAAAGGGATATCATGGTTAGCCAAAAGTTAAGAATAATTAATTCTTATACAGTGTATGATTTGATGAAGAAAAGTGGTGTCTAAAAGATTCAGGGATTAAAAATGAGTTGAGGAACCTGAGGCTCAATTGTAAATAATGATTTACACTCTATGCCAGTTCCATCATGATCAGGCTTTGGTATTTCTGGATTTTTGGAGTTTTCCAGTCTTTACACTTTAAAGGAAAAGACGGGTAATATCTACCTGACTTGATTTACCGTCTTGAATAAATAAACCATTTAAAGTGTTTGTTGAGCACCAATGGCCCTCAAACTGTTGTATTAGTTTTGTGGGAGGAAAAAGTAAATAAATTAGATAAAAACCCCTCCCTCAAGGAATGTTTGTAAAGCTGATTAACCATGATAGAAAATAAAAAGTGAATGGTGCTGTGAGAGAGATACAGAGGTATATTAGTATTATGAAGGCTGAATGGAGAGGGAGATTGAGTACAGCAGAAGATAATCATTTCTTTCAGAGAAGAGATGGCATAGGAAATGAGGAAGAAAGATTTAAAAAGATTTACACAGAAAGATGGAGAGATACATATCTCTTGATTAGAGAAGGCAAGAAGAAGAGAAACTGTATGGACACTATGAGCAAAAAGTGAAAACAGATTTTTTTTTTTTTCTGGCCAGGCATGGTGGCTCACACCTGTAATCCTAGCACTTTGGGAGGCAAGGCAGCTGGATCACCTGAGGTCAGGAGTTTGAGATGAGCCTGGCCAAAATGGGGAAATCCCATCTCTACTAAAAATAGAAAAATTAGCTGAGCATGGTGGCACATACCTGTAATGCCAGCTACTCAGGAGGCTGAGGCAGGAGAATCACTTGAACACAGGAGGTAGAGATTGGAGTGGGCTGAGATTGTACCACTGCACTCCTGCATGATGGGATCCAAACTCCATCTCAAAAACAAAGTATTCACAATGGAATGGGCAATGCGTTGACTTTCTTGGTGCACAAGATTACAGATGAGATAGAGAACATGTTTAGGAATATATTCACATTTTCAGGAACACAGCTGATTTCCCTATTCAAACCCCTAGTAGACCGGGGCAAACAGCATGAAATAAAGAAAAGCTCTACGTTTTTAGAAATAGATATTCAAGTAATACACATAAAAATTATATTTATGGAGTAAAATGCATATTTAATCAATCTAATCAAATACAACCTCAGCTAAATTCTTCCCTGAGACATACACACACCCTCTAAGTGAAAGGAATAAGACGTCTTATCTCTGGGAATCTACGGAAGTTAATTAGCTTCAATAATACTTTATATTTGCCATTAAAAGTGATTTTAAATTTATAGTAGCACCTCATTAGAACATAGAACATGGTGATGCCTTGGACTATTTTATTAAAAATGGCTATATTTGGTCCTTATCTCAACTTTGTCTTCCTATATATAGCTGATTAATAATGTAAAGTAGTTCATTAAGAAATATATTTTCATATTACTATGAAATCATAGTGTATTAAATGGACTAAATGAAGCCTATAATGCCCAGGAAAATATTGCATACTGCAAATATAATATAAAGTTCAGTTCTTTTATCTATAGTTTTATTGTTAAGTTGTATATATAGATAGATGATAGATAGGTAGACATCAACACACACATGAATTTTTACAAATTACTGAGTTTACAAATTTAAAACCCATAATTTTTATCTCAAAATAACAAAGATTAAAATGTTAGCAGTGTTCATCAATTGGTCAAAATTTTGCATCCTTGTCTTGGCTTCTTGCTCATATTCATCAATTTTAATCTGGATCAAAACACTTAAATAAATGAAAATAACATATTAAATAAATTTGTTTATGCACTGCACTTCTTTTCTAATGGTATCACATGCAGCAGTGGAATGCATGATGCAATAGAATTTATGATACTGTTCGAGTGTTTCAATGCCCAAATTAAAGTTAATAAAATTCTATAACAGAAATACTGAAAATGAAGAATGATGATGAATTGAGCACTGATATTAAAAAGACTAAAAATGGTTCAACTTTTTATAAGCAAATTAGATATATATTTTAAGAACTTTATAGGAAGACTTACATGTATCTGCATTATACTCCGAGGAATAAATAAATTATAACTTCTTTATTATGTATTCAAGTTACCTGATGTTCCTCTTGAGCATCTCAAACCTCAGGATCAGGAAAAATTGTATTCAAAAAACCAAGTAAATACATACAGTGACTGTGTATTCACAAAAAAAAAATTAAAAAAGGAAATCAAGTAGTCTTAGCTCAATGCAATAATAAAAATAGTCCCTTAAGAACAATGCTCATATGCTCAGTTTTCTCATTTCACTTCTCTCTTCCTTTTCTTATCCAAGATTGTATCTCATGTATGAGATGGACTTTACTAATAACACAGGCAAATGAGGAGACGTTGATTGAGAGTGTATTGAATCCATAAATAAATTTAGAAAAATTATAAATCTTAAAAACATTGTTTTTAATCTGTGAATATGTTATATTTATCCTATTATTAAACATTTTCTAATTTATCTCAATAATAACATGTAGTTTTGGTAAAACAGCTTGTAATTCCATTTACATCTAGGTATTACATAATTTGTATAATAATATAAATTCCTTATTTTAAGAATTTTGTTTTTGAAATTTTCTTTAGTGATATAGAGAAATGACATGGGAGATGGCCTCCATTTTTCCCATTGTACGGTAAGTCTTTTGAGTGAAGGACTGACTCCTCAATCCTTATTGTATCCACAACACTGAACAGTATACGTATACCAAATAAAATTTGTTGAACAAAAGAAAGAAAATTTTGTAGGACCACATGTACGTATGCATCCAGAAAACTCACTTCTGCATTTTATGTTTGCTCCTTCTCGTGACTTCAGACAGTAAGTACTTAGCAACAGTGTCCTCTCATCCCAAAATGGATATGATATGGCCCAAGTGCATTCTGCTAAATTATTTGATCATAAATTGGGAGTCTCCACTCTCAGTACTAAAGAAAAGCATTATCTCCAATACTAACCATATGCAAAAAGTGTAAGGAGATTACATTTAGAGATTGTTCAGAAGCCAAAACCACAAATAAGGCAAAGATTCTCAGTTTAATTTTCTCAATAAGGTCCTTTTAAAAAAATTATTATTATACTTTAAGTTCTGTGGTACATGTGCGAAACAGTCAGGTTTGTTACATAGGTATACACTTGACATGGTGGCTTGCTGCACCAATTAACTCGTCATCTACATTAGGTATTTTTCCTAATGCTATCCCTCCCTATCCCCTGCCACCGACAGGCCCCTGTGTCTAATGTTCCCCTCCCTGTAAGCATGTGTTGTCATTATTCAACTCTCAATTATGAGTGAGAACATATGGTGTTTGGTTTTCTGTTCTTGTGTTAGTTTGCTGAGAATGATGGTTTCCAGCTTCATCCATGTCCCTGCAAAGGACATAAACTCATCGTTGTTATGGCTGCATAGTATTCCATGGCAAATATATGCCATATTTTCTTTATCCAGTCTAACATCCATGGGCATTCGGATTGGTTCCAAGTCTCTGCTATTGTGAACAGTGCCATAATAAACATATGTGCACATGTGCCTTTATAGCCGAATGATTTATAATCCTTTGGTTATATACCTAGTAATGGGATTGCTGGGTCAAATGGTATTTCTAGTTGTAGATCCTTGAGGAATCACCACATGGTCTTCCACAATGGTTGAACTAATTTTACACTCCTACCAACAGTGTAAAAGCATTCCTATTTCTCCACATTCTCTCCAGCGTGTGTTGTTTCTTGACTTTACAGTGATCATCATTCTAACAGGCATGAGATGGTATCTCTTTGTGGTTTCGATTTGCATTACTCTGATGATCAGTGATGATAAACTTTTCTTCTTATGGTTGTTGGCTGCATAAGTGTCTTCTTTTGAGAAGTGTCTTGTCATATCCTTCGCCCACTTTTTGTTGAGGTTGTTTGTTTTCTTGTACATTTGTTTAAGTTTATTGTAGATCCTGGGTATTAGCCCTTTGTAAGGTGGATACATTGCAAAATTTTTCTCCCATTCTGCAGGTCACCTCTTCAATATTATGATACTTTCTTTTGCTGTGCAAAAGTTATTTCATTCAATTAGATCTCAGTTGTCAAATTTGGCTTTTTTGCCATTGTTTTTGGTGTTTTAGTAATAAAGTCTTTGTCCATGCCTGTGACCTGAACGGTATTGCCTAGGTTTTCTTCTAGTTTTTTATGGGTTTAGGTCTTAACATTTAAGTCTTTAATGCATCTTGAGTTAATTTTTGTATAAAGTCTAAAGAAGGGGTCCCATTACAATTTTCTGCATATGGCTAGCCAGTTTTCCCAACAACGTTTATTAAATAGGGAATCCTCTCTGCATTGCTTTGTTTTGTTAGTTTTGTCTAAGATCAGATGGTTGTAGGTGTGTGGTGTTATTTCTGAGGCCTCTGATCTGTTGCGTGTGTGTGTGTGTGTATATATATATATGTGTGTGTGTGTGTGTGTATATATATAAATTTATAAATTACTTTGGGCAGTATGGCCATTCTCACCATATTGATTCTTCCTATCCATGAACATGGAATATTTTTCCATTTGCGTGTGTCCTCTTTTATTTCCTTAAGTGGTGGTTTGTAGTTCTCTTTGAAGAGGTCCTTCACATCCCTTGTAAGATGTACTTGAAGGGATTTTATTCTCTTGGTAGCCATTGTGAATAGGAGTTCACTCACTATTTGGCTCTCTATTATTGGGGTATAGGAATGCTTGTGATTTTTGCACATTGATTTTGTACTCTGAGACTTTGGTGAAGTTGCTTCTCCGCTTAAGGAGATTCCAGGCTGAGATGATGCGATTTTCTAAATATACAATCATGTTATCTGCAAACAGAGACAATTTGACTTCCTCTCTTCTTATTAGAATACTCTTTATTTCTTTCCCTTGCCTGATTGCCCTGCCCTGGTCTTGTGCCAGTTGCCATAGGGATTGCTTCCAGTTTTTGCCTATTCAGTATGATATTGACTGTGAGTTTATAACAAATAGCTCATTACTTGGAGATACATACCATCAAGACCTAGTTTGCTGAGAGGTTTTAGAATGAAGGGGTGTTGAATCTATTGATATAATCATGTGGTTTTTGTCATTACTTCTCTTTATTTGATGAATTATGTTTATTCATTTGCCTATGTTGAACCAGGCTTGCATCCCAGGGATGAAGCTGACTTTATTGTAGTGGTTAAGCCTTTTGATGTGCTTCTGGATTCATTTTGCCAGGACTTTATTGAGGATTTTTGCATTGATATTCAGCAGGAATACTGGCCTGAAATTTTCTTTTCTGTTGTGTCTTTGTCAGGTTTTGTTATCAGGGTGATGATGGCCTCATAAAATAAATTAGGGAGGAATCCATTCCCTCTTTTTCTATTATTGTATTTTATTTATTTATTTATTTTTGAGGTGGAGTTTCACTCTGTTGCCCAGTCTGGACTGCAGTGGCATGATTTCAGCTGACTACAACTGCCTCCCAGGTTCAAGTGATTCTCCTCCCTCAGCCTCCAGAGTAACTGGAAATCCAGGTGCATGCCACCACATCCAACTAATTTTTGTATTTTTGATAGAGATGGGGTTTCACCATGTTGGCCAGGAGGGTCTGGAACTCCTGACCTCAGGTGATCCACTCTCGTCAGCCTCCCAAAGTTCTGGGATTACAGGCATGAGTCACCATGCCAGACTGGTACTTTTTTTTCAACCTAAAGAAAGAAACATACTGTTATACTTTACTCCTGCAAGAAAGTCCTACACAAGAAAGAATCTAATAACATCCAAATTTCCATTTTTTTAAAAATAAACATTTTCACATGGTGAAACCCCATCTGTACTAAAAATCCAAAAAAAATTAGCCGGGCGTGGTGGCATGCACCTGTAGTCCTGGCTACTTGGGAGGCTGAGGCAGGAGAATTGCCTCAACCCAGGAGGTGGAGGTTGCAGTGAGCTGAGATTGCACCACTGCACTGCAGCCTGGGTGACAGAGTGAGACTCTGTCTCAAAAAACAAACACACACACACACACACACACACACACACACGAAATAGACAGTGCAAACAAATTTGTCATGGGCATTAAAGTGAGACCGTTTCTATGTGCTAATTCAAATCAAAGATTTGGCCTTGCTAGTCTCACTCCTTGGAATGAAGTATCTGCCAACTGTCCCATGTCAGGCTACATGAGGTTGAGGGAGAGAAGTGGAAGAGCAGATTGGGAAAGAGATTCCTTCTGCTTATGTTCTCACATTTCACAGCATCCATACATGCTTTTAATTAGCTATCAGTGTCTTTGATATAATATTCAGCCCAGTCCTGCCATCGGGAAGGTTGAATACACTTCTACCAAATAAAAACCCAGTGTTTTTCATTATAAGTATGTTTTTGTATTTAAAGATGATTTCCCATATTTTGTCTGATGAAATAGTGAGTAGTTGTTACTCTTATTTCTGCTATTCTGGATTTCTACACAATTAGTACACAATAGTCAACTTGCTTTCTAAGATATCTTTCGACATTTCATTAAATATTTTTCTTTTTATTTATTTATTTATTTAGTTAGTTATTATTATACTTTAAGTTTTAGGGTACATGTGCACAACATGCAGGTTTGTTACATATGTATACATGTGTCATGTTGGTGTGCTGCACCCATTAACTTGTCATTTAGCATTAGGTATATCTCCTAATGCTATCCCTCCCCACTCCCCCCACCCCACAACAGTCCCCAGTGTGTGATGTTCCCCTTCCCGTGTCCATGTGTTCTCATTGTTCAGTTCCCACCTGTGAGTGAGAATATGCGGTGTTTGGTTTTTTGTCCTTGCAATAGTTGACTGAGAATGATGGTTTCCAGTTTCATCCATGTCCCTCATCATATTTTATGGCTGCATAGTATTCCATGGTGTATATGTGCCAATTTATGTGTTTCTTAATGACATGTTACTTGACTTAAGATTTGGGATAATATCACCATTTATGATTTTGTGCATTGCATTTTCCTTGAAAATTTCTAAGCTGTAAAAATTTGAATTTGCCAAGACTTCATTTGATTAACAAATATGAAAGATATATGGCAGGCATTTCTGAAGTGAAACACATTGATTAATGCTTTCCAATATTTAGATATTTAATGAAATAATATCCAAATAACATAAATTAAACTTTAGATGTACATCTTACATGAGTGTCTGGCAAAGCCAATATTCATTACCAAAATTGAAATCTAAAAATTGTAAGTAGGTGCCTCTCATTACATTTCATAATATGATACTGTATAAGCCAAATGATTACTTATATTTTAATAAGAGCATTGCCAGTGGAGAAAGATAGTGAAATGTTGCTTTAAAGCTCAACATCAGTATTTTCTTAGCATTACATATAGGACACAAACAGAGAGGAGCTACTGTCTCTGCTGACAGTTTCAGAGGTCTGCAGAGACTTGAATGACTTTGCCATGGAGAAGAGCCACGCTCTCCAGGGCCTCCTCTCTGCTAAGAGCTGAACACTCGACTGGAAAACCTGCCTACAGAGAGGAGCAAACCATTCCTCTGAGCTGTACTAACACTAAGTAGAATGTTTCTTCTTGTTCACCATTCACTTGTCTGCATACCTCATTCTACCTCATTCTTCCTGACACAGGACAAGATCTCAGGCAAAGGTGTCACAGCCACAGACGTTTCTGGCTAGAAAAACAATCAACATCCTAGAGATCAGTAACAATAAAACAAAATTTCCAGTTCTCAAAAAAAAAGTGAAGTTAAGATAATAGATAAAACATTCATTAGTTTACAAAAATAAAAACTAATAGTAGCATCCATTGTTGATGAAATTGTAAGTGCTAGAAGAAATGTGATTACTACAAGGGTTTTGGAAAGTAATTTGATACATAAATAGTTATAATTTTATTTAATATTACATAAATTTAGTATTTAAATAATTTCAATGCACAGTACTTACAGCACTTGGCCAAGTTTTCACATTTTGTACCACTTATTAAATACAAATAACATCACCAAGAATAAAAGATAAATATACCACCATGTTTATTATAGCATTGTTATTAATATAAAAGATTTGGAATGTTAGAACTGTCCTCAAAATCAGAAAGATTAAATGGTGCATCAATTGAAACCTTGG
The DNA here is from genome assembly GCF_000001405.40 of Homo sapiens. Lineage (NCBI taxonomy): Eukaryota > Metazoa > Chordata > Mammalia > Primates > Hominidae > Homo > Homo sapiens. The sequence goes on along the minus strand of NC_000024.10, from coordinate 9,983,709 downwards.
TATAAATATAATATTGATTATTATGTAGCTATTAATGCAAATAAGATTGATACATGTGTTGCTTTGGAAGAAAATCTAAAATGTGTATTTTAGCAAAGGCAAATTATAGAATGTGCATGTATTATGTGTGTACATGGATGTGTGTATAGCAGTTTCAGTTTTGTAAATGTGAACATAATCTTTGCAGATGTTTTATATGCAAAATTAACTTCATGAAAATTATTGTCAAATTGCTATGAGTGCTTATATTTGAAATTGGAAGAAGAAAAGAAAAGTATTAATTTATCTTCCACATCTTCTTATTTTCAAATGTTATAATGATTAATTTTTTGTAAGAGCACTGAAAAACCAACATGTACTTCTAGTTTTTAATTTTACGGTCAAATATAATTTGGTTAATATGCTTACAATGTTGTGAGTATTAATATATGCTTTTATTTATTAAAAAACTGAGTTTCATAAAGGTTAAATGACATATATAATGACACATGTCAGAAAGTGCTAGTGCCGAGACTCAAAAACAAGTGTATTTGTGGTTTCAAGTTTTTTTTGTTTTGTTTTGTTTTGTTGTGGTTTGGTTTTGTTTTTTCTTTTGAGATGGAGTCTCACTCTCTCTCCCAGGCTGGAGTGCAGTGGTGCAATCTCAGCTCACTGCATCCTCCTCCACCTCCAGGGTTCAAGTAATTCTCTGCATAAGCCTCCCGAGTAGCTGGGATTACAGGCACCCGCCACCACTCCCAGCTAATTTTTGTATTTTTAGTAGAGACAAGGTTTCACCATTTTGGCCAAGCTGGTCTTGAACTCCTGACCTCGTGATCCACCCACCTCAGCCTCCCAAAATGCTAGGATTACAGGCATCAGCCACCATGCCCAGCCCCAAGTTCTTGTACTTTACAATATATTTCATTATTTCTTGGCTATGTGTATGTCAATGTGTGTGTGAGTGTTGAATTTGTTAGATGAACACATTTGGGTAACAAATTGGATATACATTAATTCAGTTCTTGTTTTTTGATTTGCAGACCAAGGAATTGAGTAAAAGTCTCAGAGAATTACAAAACTGAGATAAATCATATTGGTTTCACAACTTTTTTCCTTTTTTATTTTTTATATATAGAAATCCTGGGACCAAGTAGGGATGATTTTTCAGCTTGTAAAAAACAGGAGCTTTGCATTCAGGCAGTCCCATCATCAGTTTCCAACTGAGTCTTTTATTAACAGTGGCATTCACTGCTAAAAACCTGTAAGCCACTATCGAACACTCAAGACAAAACACCAAAGTGTTATCCTCAATTTCTTTCTTCCTTAAAGCTTTACATCAAATCCATAATTCAGTCCTGCTAAACTTAGTTTCGGAATATCCCCAATCAAAGTATGCTCTGCTCTAAATATCCACCGTAAATCCAAGCCACGATTATATTTTGCTTCATCTACTGAAATAGCTTTCCTAAAATTTAACACCTTCTCACTCTTGCCTTCTCAAATTTATTCTCTGTAATACTCCCTTTTTTAAAAATATAAATTATATTAAGTCACTCTTCTTAAGGAATGTGTTTGTGGAGGATATGTCTCAGAAAGTAACTACTTGCTTTACCAGCATCCACAAGGCCCTCATGGTGTGCCTGCTCTCCAATGCTCTAACCTCATATCTCAGGCCCACCCCTTATTCCAGAGTCAATAATATTTGATTCAAGTTGCCCATGTTTTCAAGTTCTGTCTTGGTTCACAGCTTTTCCCCTTTGCTTTTTTCCCATACTGTTTTCTGTTAGTCTTCTCAGACTGACACTTTCATTTTCTTCAGATCTTAGATTACACTTTATTTTCTCACAGCTATGGATGTCAGAAGTCTGAAACGGGGCCAGTAAACTATAACCAAAGTGTAGGCAAGGCTGCATTTCTTCTAGAGTCTCTACCAGAGAGTCATTCCCTTTATTTTTTCTAGCATCTAGAAGCCATACTGCTTACCACATTCTTGAACATTGACCTTACTTATTTTCTTCTCCAAGTCTTGCTAAAAGCATCCACTTTTAAAATTTCTCAGATATTGAATTCTCTCTGCTAATACAGCCTTTTTATCTTTTAAGTCCTTGAACACACGGTTTTAATTGTGTGTTAATTCCAATATCTGGGTCATGGAGCAGTCTGACTTCTTATTTATCTCTCCTATCTCAATATGCTCTTGTTTCTTTGTATACGTAACAACATTTTTCTGTGAATTGCAGTTGCATGTTTAGAGAATGGATTTATTTTCTTTCTCTGAAAAAGGCTGGCATTTGTTCTAGCAGAAATTGTTGGCTAGTCATACAGATGTTGTAGAACCTTTGTCTTATACTTTATTAGGATGAGATTGTTGGGATCTTATCCTTATTCTCATTTTGAATTCTTTATTCCTGGCTTATAGATTTTCTTCCTGAAGTGTATCCCTTCTGCAATTTCAATAGGAAGCCAAAGGTTTTTGTCTACTCTCTCTAAATTAGTGGGACTCAAACTCAACTACCCTGAGTTGAACTACCAGTAGTTTGAGTTTCCTAACTGAGTTATTCCTCCTCACAAAAGGGCATTAGCTGTGGGGGTCTGCCTGCGGGTCCTGACCCAAACGATGGATGAATAAAATGTACACTGATACAAAGATATTCTGTTCTGCCAGTCCTGCTGTATCTGACCGCCTGCACACCAAGAAAGGTTTGTCACTGCAGCCAGCCCTGAGCAGCTGGCACTCCAGGCATTGATTTAGTATACAACGACCAACAGAAGCCTTGAGTAAATACACTTGAGGATAATAAACATGGTTAAGACAGCAGTTCTATGAATAATTAAAGCTCAGGTACCCTGGTCTAAAGTAAATACCATTAGGGGGCAATACCCTTGGTTGACCTCCTTCTGAGAGGGCTGTCTGGCTCAAAAGTTAGTTGATGGAGGTAGGATAAACAGACTTATCTAGGGAAGCCTCTATTGTCCCTCATATTTACCCTATGACCTAATATTCTAAGGTAAGAACTGGCTGCCTTCAGCCTGCTCAATTATTACAAGCTATGTGACCTTTTGGCCATCCAAAAGTTTTGTGACTATTCCCTAGAACTTTTCCTAATATTTCCCTTTAATATTTCTGCGACCATCCTGAATGAATCCCAACATTTCTCCATTTTTGTTTTCTTTATTAGGGTTTTTTGATTGCAGAGCACAGATATGTGCAGCCACAGGATTTTCAGATGAGGCAGTCACTGCTCTTATTTAGACTTTGCATCCTAGGATTAGCAAATAACATAAGACAAACATGAGCATAATTAGCAAAATTTTTTTCCAGTCAAAGAGTGTCCCCCAGGAGTGAGCATGGAACTAGGAGAGATGATCTTGTACACCCTTCCACATGGCTGTTTGTTGGGTCTGCAGATCTAAGGTGTGAACAGATTCCAAAATTTTAGTTTTAAGTTGCTTCATATCTGCTGTTAAATTGTTATGAAAGTTGCCCCAGAGGTGTTGTTTCACCTCATCCCAACTATGCATTGATTGATTCAATGGTAGAGAAGTGACACAAGTGTGTTTATGTTCCCAGTCACAGTTTAACTGTTGACAGAATGCTAGTGCATCTTGTCACTCTCTCACACATTCTTCCCTTACTGTAAGAGAAGTTCATTACTTACATTTCTGGCCAGATTATCTACAAAAGCAGCTGTTTGTACTGATTCAGTTATAGATGCAACAGCAACACTAGCCATTGCCAGAACGCCTATGGCTGAGACTATAAAGGCCGTAAGTGTAAATGTGAATCTTTTGTGTCTGACCTGGGACAGGGCACATTCTAAGGTAACAAGGGCAGAGGCAGCTTGTCAATCAGTTGTCAGATTGACTGGTAGAAATGCCTCAGATTGTCTCCTTAATACCATGACACTAGAAGTTTTTAATTTAGATACATTGTGACTAGTGATACATGAGGCAAACCAAGCCTGTCCCTGCACCCAGGTCATAAATGTGGAGTTTCCAGTGGTAATGGAAATGTTAGTTCCCATAAGCAAAACATATGGATGGGTAGTGCAAACCAGCCACTGATCAGTGTGAATATGAATAAAGACTATAGTGTAGTTGCAGCTGGAATTATTTTATCTCCCATGGCAGGTGTTAAGGTAGGTACTAAGATGTCCCAGGCACCATAACATGCCTTGGATTGGCATGGACTTTACTTGGGATCTGGGGATATCCCATCTCCCCATCAGCCCAAATTAGAGGGGAACGAGAAGTGGCTATGAAACAGTGATTAATGCTATGATGGTCAAAGACATTTGTAAGGCTGCCCTGCAATTGGCCATGGGGACTCCAGTCTAAAATGTTTTAATTGCTAAACTGGAGGCTATAGGCTTGTTTCCCATGACCGACTTCACAGCTAAAGTGAAATTCATTACTCTCTCAGCTCTGCTCTTTGGCACAGGAAGGACTACTTGGGAAAGAAGCATGGATTGCATTGCCCAGTTTGAGGCTACCTATAGCTAAAAATGTTAAGGCATTTTCTTTGCCATGATGTAGCCATACTTGTCTTTGGCCAGGTACGCAGTAAGGGTTAGAGCCTTTATAACTTACATGCAGTGGGAGGATAGTGGAGTGATATGTAGTGTTATCTGGCACCTTAGTCCAATGTTTGCCATTATTGAGGGACCCTGCTGGGGGGTAATTCTATCCTTCCTTGCCAAGCGGTCACATTATTGTAGACTGGGAAGGGAGTGTCTGCCCAGGTGACAGGGTGAAAGAAAAGTGGGCCTAATATATGAGCCCAATAGAGTGTAGCAGGTACAGGTTGCAGACAAAGCAAGAGGATAAAAAGGATCAATACCCTATATGAATCCCAATGTACAATAGAAAGCATAGCAAGAAAAAAATTATCTGGAGTAAATGGTGTCTGTGTCCAGAGCAGGATTTGTTCAGTCTCCTGAGTTGTCCTCTTCAGCATCCCCAGCTAATGTCCAGGGCTGTGTTGTCTGTGGAAGCCGCATCCTCTAGAACTGTGGGTCTTGCAGGGTTAACTCTTTCAATTCTGGTACTGGGTTGGATCCTAGCTACACCATGGTATGGTTTGATGCCTCATGCTGGAATCCAAAGAGGACCTGATGGAATGTAAACACAAGCATACCGTCTCCCCAGTGTTAATAATTTGCTAGGACCACACCATTCATTACTGTTTACATCTTTCTATAAAACTGCAGGTTTTATGCCTTGAGAGGTTTTAGCAAAGTGCTTTTCTATAGCTGATTGCAATTTGACACCAAATTTTAAACATTAAGGGTAAATAAGGCTTGTGCCAGTAGTGTTGCAGGAGCCTTACCTATATTCCCCTTTTTCTGTTCTTTGTCCATATTTTTAAGGGTGAAGTGTGCATGTTCTACTATTGCCTGTCCTTGGGGGTTTTATGGGATGCCTGTGGAATGTTGAATATTGCATGTGTCACAATTTTTTTTAAATTTTGAGCTGGTATAAGCTGGGCCATTATCCATCTTAATTTTTGTGGGTCACCCCATAAATGCAAAAGTTAAAAGAAGATGTTTAATGACATTTCGAGTAGGCTCTCCAGGCAAAGCATCTGCACTAATTAAATGAGTGTTGGTATCAAGGGATACATGCCATATCTTAGCTTCCCAAATTCAGGGATGTCTGTAACATCTGTTTGCCACAACTGATTAGTTTCCAATTCTCTAGGGTGCACATCTCTAGAAGGAGGGGACGTGCCTGTGAGTTGACAATCTGGGCATTGTAGGATAATTTGTTTAGCCAGTCTCTGGGCTACTTGAAATTGTTTAGATAAGTTTCTCCAATATTTGGTGGAAAAATGGATGTGATTGAGTGGCTTGGTCTAGCAGTGATGTCATAACCTGAAGGTCAGCTTGTTCATTGCCATAAACCAACGGATCAGGCAGTGAGCTGTGAGTTCGCATGTGGGTAATAACAATAGGATGTGCACATTGATCTAGCAATTGCTGAAGTCAGAGAAAAAGAGTAAACAGGGCTGGCTCCAGAGTGGACTTAATCAGTGCTGTTTCAAACTTTTGTAATAAATGAAGTGAGTATGCAGAATCACTAACTATATTTATGGGCTGAGTGGAAAAAGTTTCTAAGGCCAAAATCAGAGCCCCAATTGCAGCTCTCCGAGTGCTAGTTAACCCAGATTGAGTGATTGAATTCTGGGGTCTCCAGGCTGCTGCTTTTCCATGTTTAGCCGACCCATTGATAAACAGTGTTAAAGGATTATGCATGGGGGAGTAAATTATTTTTATAGGCAATATTGTCGGAGTGTGAGATAAGAAATGAAGGAGTTTATCAGCAGAGAGGATGTGCTCTATTTGCCCTGTGTAATCAGAGAAAGCTATTTGCAGGTGTATTGACAAAGGTAATCCTGCTTCTAATTGCTTTTTAAAGGGATCCTGATGACATCAGGGTCATAACTTAGTAAATGATTGCAACGTTTGCAACCTGAATAGATGACTCTAGTAATTAACTGAATATCGGGAGACAGTATTTTAGTCTCGGTTATGTGAGCAAAAAACCATTGTAGGAAACGTAGCCCAGGGGTCATTTGTCCTAGTAACCCTGCATGGGAGTGTTTGCTGGGAAAGATATACAACTGAATTGAATACCATGGATCAATGCGATCTAGCCGTCTCTCAGAGATGGCTTGCTCAATTTCCTCGATTTCTCTTTTTGCTGCAGGGATTAAATATCTGGGAGAATCAAGAGCTGGATTGCCCTTTAAGATAGAAAACAGGTTTTGTAGTTTATTTTTAGGAATTCCCAAAATGGGATGGAGCCAGGTAATATCACCCAGTAATTTCTGATAATCATTTAGGGTGTATAAGTTGCTAGTACTTAGTTTAACCTTTTGAGGTCTTACTGACCAGGAGGTTAACAGATATCCAAGGTATTTCCAAGGAGAGGACATTGGACACTTGTAGTTTTCCAGGTGCAATGACTAAACTTCTCAGCTGTGTATTCTTTAGGACAGAGGTAAACAAATGTAAAAGTATTGATCTGTTCAGGCTGCTAGTACAATATCATCTATAGGATGAATAATTTTACAGTCAGGAAATTCTTTTCTACTAGGGAGCAGAGCTTGATTAACATGATACTGACTCATGGTAGGACTATTTAGCATTCCTTGAGGAAGCACTTGCCAGTGAAATTGACAAGCTGACTTTTCATTATTGACAGCTGGTATTGTAAACACAAAGTTCTCTCTCTCCTGTTCTGCTGGAGGAATGGTATAGAAGCAATCTTTTAAGTCAATAACAATTATAGGCCAATCTTGAGTAATCACTGTGGGGGAGGGGAGGCCTTTTGAAGGGGTCCCATGGGCTGTAAATTAGCATTAATATCATGTAAGTCATTTAAAAACCTCTGTTTCCAAGACTTTTTGGGAATGACAAAAATAGGCGAATTCCAGGGGCTGGTAGAATGTTCAAGATGTCCAGCCTTTAATGGCTCCTCAACAAACTCATGAGTTCCCTGTAATTTCTCTCCCTTCAGAGGCCACTGTGCTACCCAGACCAGGTGTTGAGACATCCAAGTCAGAGGTAGTGGAGGAATAACAAGAGTGGCCATTGTTAGAAAGGGGTCTGCAGAGTGCCCCCCCGCCCCACCATTGGGCTAATAGGTCCCATCCTGAAAGATTAGCAGGGATGGGCACAATCAGAGGTTGTATAATGCCTTTTTTCCTTCTGAATCACAGCAGGTTCAGGGGCATGTGCTCTGTTTGGCTGTGTATGCTTTCCTGTTGCTGACAGTTTTCTGTTTCTGAGTGACCCAAGGACAGATTTTTGACCAGTTCTGATCACTAATGATTGAAATGTCCACCCCTGTGCCCAATAAGCCAGTAAAATTCTTATTACCAATTTTTAAGGTAATCATGCATCTCTGATCAGTGATTAATTGATTCCAATATGCTCCTGTGCTTCCAAAACTTCACTTTCCCCTTTCCTTCTCATGGGCATTAGGGACCCAGCATGGTAAAATCTTTAACTAAGCTATTTTTTGATCCAGGGGGAAGAACATGCAGACCTTTACATTCCATCATAACCAATATCTCACCTTGGTCATCACTATCAACTACCCCAAGGAGCACATTAATTCCTTTACAGATAGGCTAGACTGCCCCAGGCATAATCCTGCTGTTCCTGGAGGCAGCGGGCCACAGATCCCAGTCTCAACCCTTGCAGGGCCTTCTTCCTCTTGTAGCACTAATTTGGCAGAGCAGAGTAAGTCCAGTCATGCACTCCCAGTAGTGACTGCTCTGAGAGAGAGGACTGTGGGCTTTCTAGCCAACCGAGGAAAGCTGTTGGCATTGCCCCAGTTGGGAGTGGGGCCTGGGGCCGTCCCCTCATGAAGTTTCCCAACTGATTTCCTATGAGATGGCTATTTTTATCAAATTTAGACCTGCATTGATTTTCCTAACGTCTCCCTTTCCTACATCCAGGACATATAGAAAAGGGTCCTTTCCCTGAGTTAGCTTGCTTTTTACTATGGGGGCATTTCCTCTTCACATGACCTTTCACTCCACATAGAAAATGATTTTGCTTTCTCTCCCTTCTCACTTTAGGAGGCCTTAATGCCATAGCTAATATTCTGGCCTCGTTTGTCTCAGTTCCTACCAGGTGACATGCTTATATCAGCTCCCTGACGGTGCCTGCCTTTCCTTTGATTGCCTGCATTGCCTGCTGGCAATCCACATTAATGTTTTTGAAAGCCAACTGCAACAATAAGATAGGAGTGGACTGGGTGTGACTGATTTGCCTCTTAATTGCCTGAATTAAGTGATCCATAAACTCAACAAATTGCTCCTGAGGCCCTTGTCAAATATTTACGAAAGACACCTGCTGAACTCAGTCAGCTCTTGGGAATTCAGTCCCAAGCTCTGAGAGCACACAAAGACACTTGATCATAGGCCTGGGGATCAAAATTTAGTTGTTGTTGTACATCAGCATGAGGACTTTTCCCTTGGAGCTTATCAGCAGTTATATTTTGCCCCGCCGCCTGATTCTGGTTGGCTTCTTGTTCACACAGCTCATCATATTCTGCCTTCCAGAGGAGGTATGGGCTAGGCTCCAGAGTTGCTTTAGCCAGAATTGACCAGTTCCATTGGGCCATACAGAAGTGGTCTGCTAAGGCCTCAATCATTCCTTTTGTAAATGGTCTAGTGGGAGCGTTTTCTTTAATGCTTTTTCTTAGTTATTTGTAAGTGTGAAAGGAAACGGGTTCATATACTTGATTACCATGTCGGTCTTGCATTACTGGACAGGCTAAGAACTCTCCTTCTAATGCTGCTTGTTTAAGACAAGGTCCCATAGCTGAAGTACGTTTCTTGTCTTTTTTTCTACTTATAGTAAGAGGGGGTCAGGCAAACCCTCCATTTACTTTTTGTTATTTTATCCCGGTGATAGTGGGACTGAGGGAAAAGGAGGTGATAAGGCAGGTCACCTTTCTCCCTCCTTCTCCTTTTTAGGCTCTTCTGTGTATAATGGGACTAAAGCCATCCTTAGTAAAGCCCATCGTGTTAAAGCTGATGCTGGGACCTGATGCCCCTGTGCATAATATTGTTTAAGATTTCTCCCTACTTGTTGCCACAGTTCTACGTGTAGGGTTCCTTCTTCTGGAAGTCACGGATTATATGTGACCACAGTTTATAATTTCCTTAATTGAACCTGTGAAACTGAAACTCTCCTAGACCTAAGCAGCTGCTTCAATAGTTTTATATACTGTTTCTGTGGTGCTGATAACTGTTGTCCCATAATGAAAACTCAGCTTGAATGAACTTCCGCCAGAACGTGGTGACCTCGAGTGCAGACCAATGACTTAGTGATTACTCACTAACTTGACCGCATGGTGCCTTTCTTCATCTTATTTTTTGGGGGTCCAAGTGTTTGCTATTGTGAATAGTGCTGCAATAAACATACGTGTGCACGTGTCTTTATGGAGAATGATTTATAATCCTTTGGTATATTCCCAGTAATGGGGTTGCTGTGTCAAATGGTATTTCCAGTTCTAGATCTTTGAGTAATTGCCACACTGTCTTCCACAATGGTTGAACTAATTTACACTCTCACCGACAGTGTAAAAGCATTCCTGTTTTTCCACAAGCTCTCCAGCATCTGTTGTTTCCTGACTTTTAATGATTGCCATTCTAACCAGAGTGAGATGGTCTCTCACTTTGGTTTTGATTTGCATTTCACTAATGACCACTGATGAGGAGCATTTTTTATAAGTCTGTTGGCTGCATAAATGTCTTCTTTTGAGTAGTGTCTGTTAATATCATTTGCTCTTTTTTTATGGGGTTGCTTGTTTTATTCTTGTAAAATGGTTTAAGTTCTTTGTAGATTCCAGATATTAGCCCTTTGTCAGATGGAGAGATTGCAAAAATTTTCTCCCATTCCATAAGTTGGCTGTTCACTCTGAGGATAGTTTATTTTGCTCTTTAGTTTAGTTAGATCCCATCTGTCAATTTTGTCTTTTGTTGCCATTGCTTTTTGTGTTTTGGACATAAAGTCTTTGCCTGTGCCTGTGTCTTCATTGGCATTGCCCAGGTTTTCTTCTAGGATTTTAATGGTCCTAGGTCTTACATTTAAGTCTTTGATCCATCTTGAGTTGATTTTTGTAAACGGTGTAAGAAAGGGATCCAGTTTCAGTTTTCTGCATATGGCTAGCCAGTTTTCCCAAGAGAGTCACAGTCACTTCCCTGCTGAATTCCAGCATTCTCCCAAAGATGTTCAATTCAGTGCATAGTCATCTATTTGCTATTTGGACCTTCTTTGTGGAGGAGGTGAGTCTTGAGTGACTCTAGCAGCCATCTTTGTCCTTTTGTTGTTGTTATTTTATTATGTAAGTCACTTCTTATTAGTTCTCTTTTCTGACTCTCTGGCTAGGTATCTCTTCTTTCTGGTCTCTTTGTTAATGGGTAAAATTTTCTGACTACCTGATTGTCTCTCGCTCTCCTAAATGAGAACAATTCTCATGTGATTCTGAGCTCAAAGTCACTTCTTGGCTCCCTGTCCTAAACTGGTATTATTCTCTGAATCCTTGGACTGAACCTCTTTTTTTCCCTTTGTTCTTTTCTCTGAGGTAAATATTAAATGATCTCTGTGATGAAAGACTGTTTTTCTACTTCTTTTCATGATTGAAGATTATTCCCTGGCTCTCTCTTTTTCCTGATTTGAAATTTTTCTCTGACATTTGGGCTCAAAATTCTTCTTTCTGACTCTAATTTCCTGATTGGGATTATACTCTGACTTTTCTTTTAAAGCTGTCTTTCTCTCTTTTTTTAAAAAAATAAGGATTATTCTAACTTTCTTAGGTAGAAGTCCTTCTTATGGCTCTCTCTTTCCCAAGTGGTATTTATTCCTAATGTGCAGAAAGTATTTTCCTCCTGATGTTTCCCTTACTAGTGATTACTGTCTGACTCCAGGAGATGGACATTTTCTTGTTTTGTTTTGTTTTTCTTAACTTTTTTTCCCTTATTACAGATTATTCCAATTTTCTGAGGATTATTTCCTGATACGTTAGTTGGAAATCTCATCTTCCTGGCTCTTTTTCTTTATTGGGTATTATTCCCTGTCTCCTAGCATGACATTTTCTTTTCCCAGGTTATCACTTTTCTTATGATTATTCCCTGACTCCCTGGGGTTGTAAGTCTCTCTTGCCTTGCTCTCTAATCTGACTGGAAATTGTTTCTTGATTTCCAAGTCTGCAACTCTTTTTTTGTCAGCTTTTCTTCATGTTTGAGATTATCCCTTTAGGTTCTGTGTTGTATACCCTTCTGCCCAAGAGTGGCTTATTCTCTGACATTTTTGGCTTGAATTTTCCTCTTGGATGTCTATTCTCAAGTAAGATTTTTTCCCTGATTCTCTATGCTAAATATCTTTTTTCCTAGCTACTCCCTGAGTGGGGTTTTCCGTGACTCCATTGGCTGGGTTCCCTTTTTCTAGTCTCTTTCCTGAGTGAAGATTATTTCCTGATTCCCTATGTTGGAGACCTTTTTTCCTTAATGTGAATTTTCCCATCTTTCTGGCAGGTTAGGAAGTTTGTCTCTATCTTTATCTAGCTCTATCTCTCTTTATCTCTATCTCTAGCTCTAGCTCTAGCTCTATCTATCTTTCTGTCTAACTATCTCTATCTCTCATCTCCATTGAAGCTCTTTGACCCCTCTCTGTTCTTATTTGGATTCTTCCCTGTCCAGTGGAAGTCTCCTAGCCAACTAAAACTCACCTTCTTGAACCCTTGTGGACTTTGGGCTTTGGTAACTCTATATCCTTGTTGTTTGAATGCATTTTTCAAGGATAATTTGGAACTTCAATGACCTTTGAGAAACTTAACATCTCCCTACACTGGTGCTCTTTGACATCTTCCTTCTTATTACTCATGTTTCTTGTTTCTCCTCTCACCACCTTTGATCCTCCCTTTACCTTCCTTGAATCCTTTGACATATCCTCCTTCAAACATCTCATCATCCATTATTCTGTCTACCCCTAAACAAACATTTCCCTTCCTATTTCAGCCTTTCAACTCTCTATAGTCAACAGAAATTTAGGCCCACTAAATCAGAGGCTCTTGAGGGACTTGAGTATCTTCCCCACCCTTCAAAAAATTACTGGCCTAAAGTTGAAATGAAAAAATGGCTAATTCATTAGAAGAGATTGAGTATTTTATCCACCCAGCCTTTGGAGACATCCAGACTGCAACTAGATGTATTCTATGCCTAAAATGTAGTCCTCTGGCTCCACAGATAAAATATTAGGGCAAAATAATATCATAAAATTCTTCTTCATCAATACAGACAAAAGATATTAGACCTGCTATTGAATAGGCGACCTTGTCTCATTTGCCAGAACAATTCAGATACAATATGAAATGGATATAAACTAGTGAGTTTTATATTAGTCTATTGCCTCATTCATAACTAAATTTTAGGACATCTATAAAATATGTTTGCCTCTATAGTTTTATGCAAATATGCTGTGTGTGTGATGTATTTCTACCTCTGGATATTATTACCAAGTTAATTTCTAATATCACTTAAAAAGGTGCTATTCAAACTGGCTTAGAGATAAATGAGCACTATTGTGAATTACATACTCCTAATCTTCCTAGAAATATGTATTCAGGTTCACATGACTCATGCAAATATTTAATAACTAAGATTACTTTAAAATTGTTTAATACAGACAGCTACATATTACAAATTGTGGTTATTATTAAGTATAAAAAGACATTTGTGGGCCAGGCATGATGGCTCATGCCTTTAATCCCAGCACTTTGGGAGGCTGAGGCAGGTGGATCATATGGGGTCCAGAGTTTCAGACCAGTCTGGCCAAAATTACGAAACCCCATCTCTACTAGAAATACAAATACAAAAATTAGCCACGAATGGTGATACACAGCTGTAATCCCAGCTACTCAGTAGGCCAAATCAGGAGAACTGCTTGAACCTGGGAGGCAGGGGTTGCAGTGAGCCAAGATCATGCCACTGCAGTCAGCCAAGATCATGCCACTGCAGTCCAGCATGGGTGAGGGGGCGAGATCCAGTCTGAAAAAAAAAAAGAGAAAGAGAATACATTTGTCGTTTGTATCCTTCTTAGAATTACTAATTTACTAGTTAAGCTGTGTTATGTTCACTGGACATTTAAGATTTTATAAACATTTGTATGGCAATAGAGTCATTTATGAAGTAGTAAGAATGTATTATCCTTTCAACATAACCTAATTAGAACCTGGTTTTATAACAAAGCTTTGTCTGAAATATCAAATACATTTAAGAATGATTTTCAGAGAATCAGAGATAACCAGGCAGCTTTAAGAAGTAAAGTTGACTGTGGAGAAAATACTTATACAGCCCTCTTGGAAAAACCAACCTGGTAATTGGTTAGAGTTCCTAGTCTAAGAGGTGAGAAAGACAGGTCACTTCTGGGCAAGCTCTGGAAAACCTCATGATATTTGGAGACTTTGAAAGGAAAGATATTCCACCAAGTGTATAGGTTCTGAAAGGGAAGCCTGGTGGCAAGTTCCTGGCTTAGGTCCTAGTCGCAAGGCATTAAAAATTATAATCTGAAACTAATTATATAAAGTTCTCACCACGTATACTGCCAAGGCGTCTGTGGCCAGGCATGGTGGCTCACACCTGTAATACCAGCATATTCAGAGACAGAGGTGGGAGAATCACTTGAGCTCAGAAGTTCAAGACTAGCCTAGGCAACATGGTAAAACCCCATCTCTAAAATCAAGCAAACAGACAAACAAACAACATACAAAATTAGCCAAGCATGATGGTTTGCACCTACGGTCTCAGCTACTCAGGCGTCTGAGGTGGGAGGATCACTTGCGCCCATGAGTTTGAGATGGCATGGAGCTGCATATTGTCTCTGATTTTAAAAATAAATTATATAAATAATTTATTTTATATTATATATGATATAATATAAAATGTATATTTATAATTTATATAAATTTAAATATAAATAAATAAATACAAATTTATAAAATAAAAATAAATATAAATTTATATCTTTAAAAATTTATATAATTTATATGTGTGTGTATATATATAAATTATATATACATATATAATTTATATATATACACACATATATATATATGTATATATATATGTCTTTGTGATCAGTGACAATTCTTACCGCAGTTAGGTAAAAAATGAGGACAAATTTAGTCAGACCAGACTTATTTTGTGAATGAGAGTCAAGAGAAGTAACTTCAGAGAGAATTTTGTTTCAATGGAAAATTAAAACACACCCCCATCTGAGTTGCCTTACATATTTTATTAGTCTACAATTTCAATTCTCCTTTTATCCATTATACAGCTACCCTTCTCTAAACTAAAATTTCACCCCTGGGTCCCACTTTCATGATTTAGCATCACTGAAAACCAAAACTGCCCAATTGTCCCCAAACCTTGTAAGCTGAAAGTGGATGACTACATATGAACAATTTAAAAAATCATCTTCATGCCTTTAATACCTGATGCCAACACTGAAGTCATTAAAAACTGGAAACCAAAGAATTCATTAAATCATCACTGCCATCCTCACTCTACCATCTAAAAAATACTTTATGATCAACATGTGGTAGTGTCAATTGGCTGCCCTCTGGAGGTGGAAAAGGGACTTTGATGGGAAGTAATCAGGTCAGGAAGGCAGCACCTTCGTAAATGTTATTAGCACCCTCCTAAAAGACTATAGAGTTCCCAACTCACTTCTATAAGGTGTAGCCTCAGAAGGAGGCGTGTTTAAAATCCAGGAAGTGGCTGGGCAAGGTGGCTCATGCCTGTAGTCCTGGCACTTTGGCAGGCAAATCACGAGGTCAGGAGATCAAGACTATCCTGGCCAAAATGGTGAAACTTGTCTCTACTAAAATATAAGAAATTAGCCGGGCATGATGGTGCACATCTGTCATCCCAGCTACTTGTGAGGCTGATACATGAGAATCACTTGAACCCTGGAAGCAGAGGTTGCAGTGAGCCGAGATCATGCCACTGCACTCCAGCCTGGCGACAGAGCGACTCTGTCTCAAAAATAAATCAATAAAAATAAAATCCAGGAAATGACCCCTTACCTGAACACTTTATTAGCTGATGCCTTTACCTTGGGCTTCTCAGCCTCTGGGATTACAAGAAATGTTTGTTATATACCACCAAGTCCAGGTATCTTCTCATAGTAATGCCTGTGGACAAAAATGATAAAAAGTTAATCTATTACTCATTCAAAAGCATTATATTCCTTTGAAAAATGATGCAATAAGGCTTTTGCTCTTGTTATATAAAGAGTTTTTAGCATTTATTCCATCTTGCTGAAACAGAATCCCTATTCCAAGGTTGACAAATTGTATCTTACTGGTTACTCTTCTGTTTTCCATACCTTTTAATCATTATGACAGAATGCCTCATGGAGATAATTAGAGTTAAAAAAGCCTAGGGCCTTTTTGGCAGCCAAGATGGCCAAATAGGAACAGCTCCGGTCTACAGCTCCCAGCGTGAGCGACGCAGAAGACGGCTGATTTCTGCATTTCCATCTGAGGTACCAGGTTCATCTCACTAGGGAGTGCCAGACAGTGGGCACAGGACAGTGGGTGCAGCGCACCGTGCACGAGCCGAAGCAGGGCGACACATTGCCTCACTCAGGAAGCGCAAGGGGTCAGGGAGTTCCCTTTCCTAGTCAAAGAAAGGGGTGACAGAGGGCACCTGGAAAATCGAGTGACTCCCACCCTAATACTGCGCTTTTCTAACAGGCTTAAAAAACAGCACACCAGATTATATCCCACACCTGGCTCAGAGGGTCCTACACCCATGGAGTCTCACTGATTGCTAGCACAGCAGTCTGAGATCAAACTGCAAGGCAGCAGCGAGGCTGGGGGAGGGGTGCCCGCCATTGCCCAGGCTTGCTTAGGTAAACAAAGCATCCAGGAAGCTCGAACTGGGTGGAGCCCACCACAGGTCAAGGATGCCTGCCTGCCTCTGTAGGCTTCACTTCTGGGGGCAGGGCACAGACAAACAAAAAGACAGCAGTAACTTCTGCAGACTTAAATGTCCCTGTCTGAGAGCTTTGAAGAGAGCAGTGGTTCTCCCAGCATGCAGCTGGAGATCTGAGAACAGGCAGACTGCCTCCTCAAGTGGGTCCCTGACCCCTGACCCCCAAGCAGCCTAATTGGGAGGCACCTCCCAGTAGGGGCAGACTGACACCTCACAATGCTGGGTACTCCTCTGAGACAAAACTTCCAGAGGAACGATCAGACAGCAGCATTCGCGGTTCACGAAAATCCACTATTCTGCAGCCACCGCTGCTGATACCCAGGCAAACAGGGTCTGAAGTGGACCTCTAGCAAACTCCAACAGACCTGCAGCTGAGGGTCCTGTCTGTTAGAAGGAAAACTAACAAACACAAAGGATATCCACACCAAAAACCCATCTGTACATCACCATCATCAAAGACTAAAAGTAGATAAAACCAAAAGATGGGGAAAAAACAGAGCAGAAAAACTGGAAACTCTAAAAAGCAGAGGGCCTCTCCTCCTCCAAAGGAACGCAGTTCCTCACCAGCAACAGAACAAAGCTGGATGGAGAATGACTTTGATGAGTTGAGAGAAGAAGGCTTCAGACGATCAAACTACTCTGAGCTACAGGAGGAAATTCAAACCAAAGGCAAAGAAGTTAAAAACTTTGAAAAAAAAATAGATGAATATATAACTAGAATAACCAATACAGAGAAGTGCTTAAAGGAGATGATGGAGCTGAAAGCCAAGGTTCAAGAACTACGTGAAGAATGCAGAAGCCTCAGGAGCCAAAGCGATCAACTGGAAGAAAGGGTATCAGTGATGGAAGATGAAATGAATGAAATGAAGTGAGAAGGGAAGTTTAGAGAAAAAAGAATAAAAAGAAATGAACAAAGCCTCCAAGAAATATGAGACTATGTGAAAAGACCAAATCTGTGTCTGATTGGTGTACCTAAAAGTGACGGGGAGAATGGAACCAAGTTGGAAAACACTCTGCAGGATATTATCCAGGAGAACTTCCCTAATGTAGCAAGGCAGGCCAACATTCAGATTCAGGAAATACAGAGAAGGCCACAAAGATACTCCTCGAGAAGAGCAACTCCAAGATACCTAATTGTCAGATTCACCAAAGTTGAAATGAAGGAAAAAATGTTAAGGGCAGCCAGAGAGAAAAGTCGGGTTACCCACAAAGGGAAGCCCATCAGACTAACAGCGGATCTCTCTGCAGAAACACTACAAGCCAGAAGAGAGGGAGAGACAATATTCAACATTCTTAAAGAAAAGAATTTTCAACCCAGAATTTCATATCCAGCCAAATTAACCTTCATAAGTGAAGGAGAAATAAAATACTTTACACACAAGCAAATGCTGAGAGATTTTGTCACCTCCAGGCCTGCCCTAAAAGAGCTCCTGAAGGAAGCACTAAATGTGGAAAGGAACAACCGGTACCAGCCACTGCAAAATCATGCCAAATTGTAAAGACTATTGAGGCTAGGGATGAAACTGCATCAACTAACGAGGGAAATAACCAGCTAACATCATAATGACAGGATCAAACTCACACATAACAATATTAACTTTAAATGTAAATGGACTAAATGCTCCAATTAAAAGACACAGACTGGCAAATTGGATAAAGAGTCACGACCCATCAGTGTGCTGTATTCAGGAAACCCATCTCACGTGCAGAGACACACATAGGCTCAAAATAAAAGGATGGAGGAAGATCTACCAAGCAAATGGAAAAGAAAAAAAGGCAGGGGTTGCAATCCTAGTCTCTGATAAAACAGACTTTAAACCAACAAAGATCAAAAGAGACAAAGAAGGCCATTACATAATGGTAAAGGGATCAATTCAACAAGAAGAGCTAACTATCCTAAATATATATGCACCCAATACATGAGCACCCAGATTCATAAAGCAAGTCCTGAGTGACCTACAAAGAGACTCAGACACCCACACAATTATAATGGGAGACTTTAACACCCACTGTCAACATTAGACAGATCAATGAGACAGAAAGTTAACAAGGATACCCAGGAATTGAACTCAGCTCTGCACCAAGCAGACCTAATAGACATCTACAGAACTCTGCACCCCAAATCAACAGAATGTACATTTTTTTCAGCACCACACCACACCTATTCCAAAATTGACCACATAGTTGGAAGTAAAGCTCTCCTCAGCAAATGTGAAAGAACAGAAATAATAACAAACTGTCTCTCAGACCACAGTGCAATCAAACTAGAACTCAGGATTAAGAAACTCACTCAGAACTGCTCAACTACATGGAAACTGAACAACCTGCTCCTGAATGACTACTGGGTACATAACGAAATGAAGGCAGAAATAAAGATGTTCTTTGAAACCAACAAGGACAAAGACACAACATACCAGAATCTCTGGGACACATTCAAAGCAGTGTGTAGAGGGATATTTATAGCACTAAATGCCCACAAGAGAAAGCAGGAAGGATCCAAAATTGACATCCTAACATCACAATTAAAAGAACTAGAAAAGCAAGAGCAAACACATTCAAAAGCTATCAGAAGGCAAGAAATAACTAAAATCAGAGCAGAAATGAAGGAAATACAGAAAACCCTTCAAAAAATTTATGAATCCAGGAGCTGGTTTTTTGAAAGGATCAACACAATTGATAGACTGCTAGCAAGAGTAATAAAGAAGAACAGAGAGAAGAATCAAATTGACACAATAAAAAATGATAAAAGGGATATCACCACTGATCCCACAGAAATACAAACTACCATCAGAGAATACTACAAACACCTCTACGCAAATAAACTAGAAATTCTAGAAGAAATGGATAAATTCCTGGACACATACACCCTCCCAAGACTAAACCAGGAAGAAGTTGAATCTCTGAATAGATCAATAACAGGCTCTGAAATTGTGGCAATAATCAATAGCTTACCAACCAAAAAGAGTCCAGGACCAGATGGATTCACAGCTGAATTCTACCAGAGGTACAAGAAGGAACTGGTACCATTCCTTCTGAAACTATTCCAATCAACAGAAAAAGAGGGAATCCTCCCTAACTCATTTTATGAGGCCAGCATCATCCTGATACCAAAGCCGGGCAGAGACACAACCAAAAAAGAGAATTTTAGACCAATATCCTTGATGAACATTGATGCAAAAATCCTCAATAAAATACTGGCAAACTGAATCCAGCATCATATCAAAAAGCTTATCCACCATGATCAAGTGGGCTTCATCCCTGGGATGCAAGGCTGGTTCAATATACGCAAATCAATAAATGTAATCCAGCATATAAACAGAACCAAAGACAAAAACCACATGATTATCTCAATAGATGCAGAAAAGGCCTTTGACAAAATTCAACAACACTTCATGCTAAAAACTCTCAATAAATTAGGTATTGATGGGATGTATCTCAAAATAATAAGAGTTATCTATGACAAAACCACAGCCAATATCATACTGAATGGGCAAAAACTGGAAGCATTCCCTTTGAAAACTTGCACAAGACAGGGATGCCCTCTCTCACCACTCCTATTCAACATAGTGTTGGAAGTACTGGCCAGGGCAATTAGGCAGGAGAAGGAAAAAATGATATTCAATTAGGAAAAGAGGAAGTCAAATTGTCCCTGTTTGCAGATGACATGATTGTATATCTAGAAAACCACATTGTCTCAGCCCAAAATCTCCTTAACCTGATAAGCAACTTCAGCAAAGTCTCAGGATACAAAATCAATGTACAAAAATCACAAGCATTCTTATACACCAATAACAGACAAACAGAGAGCCAAATCGTGAGTGAACTCCCATTCACAATTGCTTCAAAGAGAATAAAATACCTAGGAATCCAACTTACCAGGGATGTGAAGGACCTCTTCAAGGAGAACTACAAACCACTGCTCAATGAAATAAAAGAGGATACAAACAAATGGAAGAACATTCCATGTTCATAGGTAGGAAGAATCAATATCGTGAAAATGGCCATACTGCCCAAGGTAATTTATATATTCAATGCCATCCCCATCAAGATACCAATGACTTTCTTCACAGAATTGGAAAAAAACTACTTTAAAGTTCTTATGAAACCAAAAAAGAGCCCACATCACCATGTCAATCCTAAGCCAAAAGAACAAAGCTGAAGGCATTTCGCTTCCTGACTTCAAACTATACTACAAGGCTACAGTAACCAAAACAGCATGGTACTGCTATCAAAACAGAGATATAGATCAATGGAACAGAATAGAGCCCTCAAAAATAACACTGCATATCTACAACTATCTGATCTTTGACAAACCTGAGAAAAACAAGCAATGGGGAAAGGATTCCCTATTTAATAAATTGTGCTGGGAAAACTGGCTAGGCATGTGTAGAAAGCTGAAACTGGATCCCTTCCTTACATCTTATACAAAAATTAATTCAAGATGGATTAAAGACTTAAACGTTAGACCTAAAACCATAAAAACCCTAGAAGAAAACCTAGGCATTGCCATTCAGGACATAGGCACGGGCAAGGACTTCATGTCTAAAACACCAAAAGCAATGGCAACAAAAGACAAAATTGATAAGTGGGATCTAATTAAACTAAAGAGCTTCTGCACACCAAAAGACACTACCATCAGAGTGAACAGGCAACCTACAAAATGGGAGAAAATTTTCGCAACCTACTCATCTGACAAAGGGCTAATATCCAGAATCTACAATGAACTCAAACAAATGTACAAGAAAAAAACAAACAACCCCATCAAAAAGTGGGCGAAGGACATGAACAGACACTTCTCAAAAGAAGACATTTATGCAGCCAAAAAACACATGAAAAATGCTCACCATCACTGGCCATCAGAGAAATGAAAATCAAAACCACAGTGAGATACCATCTCACATTAGTTAGAATGGCAATCATTAAAAAGTCAGGAAACAACAGGTGCTGAAGAGGATGTGGAGAAATAGGAACACTTTTACACTGTTGGTGGGACTGTAAACTAGGTCAATCAGTGTGGAAGTCAGTGTGGCGATTCCTCAGGGATCTAGAACTAGAAATACCATTTGACCCAGCCATCCTATTACTGGGTATATACCCAGAGGACTATAAATCATGCTACTATAAGGACACATGCACACGTATGTTTATTGTGGCACTATTCACAATAGCAAAGACTTGGAACCAAGCCAAATGTCCTACAATGATAGACTGGATTAAGAAAATGTGGCACATATACACCATGGAATACTATGCAGCCATAAAAAATGATGAGTTCATGTCCTTTGTAGGGACATGGATGAAATTTGAGACCATAATTCTCCGTAAACTATCACAAGAAAAAAAAACCCAACACTGCATGTTCTCACTCATGGTGGGAATTGAACAATAAGAACACATGGACACAGGAAGGGGAATATCACACTCTGGGGACTGTTGTGGGGTGGGGGCATGGGGGAGGGATAGTATTAGGAGATATACCTAATGCTACATGATGAGTTAATGGGTGCAGCACACCAGCATGACACAAGTATACATATGTAACTAACCTGCCCATTGTGCACAGGTACCCTAAAACTTAAAGTATAATAGTAATAAAATAAATAAATAAATAAATAAATAAGTCTAGGGACAGAGAGTATCATAGACACCTTGTCCTTACTTTTTTTTTTTTTTTTTTTTTTTTGACAGAGTCTCAGTTTGTCACGCAGGCTGAAATGCAGTGGAGCAAACAGGCTCACTGCTGCCTGGACCTCATGGGCTCAAGCGATCCTCATGCCTCATCCCCCAAGGATCTGGGACTACACTGACGCACTACCACATCCAGCAATACTTTATCTATTTTATACAGGCAAGATTTCTTCATGTTGCCCAGGCTGGCCGCAGACTCCTGAGTTGAAGCGATATGCCCACCTCAGCCACCCAAAATGCTGGGATTAAAGTCCTGAGACATCACACCTGGACAGACACTGTTTCTTCTGTTGCTACAGTGAAGATGCACAAGACCAGGGAGTTGTATCATTTCACTTAATCCTCACAATCCTACATTATAGGTGAATGAAAACCTATATTTCATAACATAAATAACTCACTTCAAAAATCAAAGTTGGTAACTTCTCCCTTTAAAATTATTTGTCACCTTACCCTATAAAAAATTACGATCTTGTCAAAATTTTCTCATAAAAATATGTCCTTCTTACAGATTACTCTGTTAATTTTAAGAATTATGGACAGTAAAGTTCTGGATCTTCATATACTTCAATTCTTTAGCTTGTATGGTCAGGAAAATTAATTGGTTTACTCATTTGGGTCCAAATCTTCAGTTTTATCATTAGATGAAATTTTAAACCGCTAAGCAATCACCTATCTGAAACTTTATGATGTTGTTTCATGTTTTATACACTTCACTTTCCAAAAAACATAAGGTTTAAAGCATTCCTATTCATATCTTCACTTAAGTTTGATAGTCTGAGCCTAGTGCTCATGCCTGTAATCCTAGCTCTTTGGGAGGCTGAGGAGGGTGAATGAGGATTTTAAGACCAGTCTGACCAACATAGTGAAATGCTGTTTGTACTAAAAATACAAAAAAAATAGCCAGCTGTGGTGGCACACAGCTGTAAACCCACTTACTCACGACGCTGAGGCAGGAGAATAGCTTGAACCCGGAAGGTTGCAGTCACAGTGAGCCACGATCCAGACACTGCACCCCAGCTTGGGTGACAAAATTAGACTCCGTCCTGAAAAAAAAAAAAAAAAACTGATACAATCCCAAGCCTTCTAGATAGTTTCTGTTTTCAAGAACTTATTGCTAAACCATTACTTACAACAACCATTGTCAAATATTATAGGAAATAATTGACTTGAGTACCTCCCACGTAAAACACTTATTTTCCACTATTTAAAACTAGGAATACTTAATTTCATTAAGCTATATGTACTTAGGAAATGTAGCTGGTTCAGTTTTTATTTAGGTTGAAAAAAATGTTTCATCACCATTATCCCCCTTCGGTCACAGAATGCGTCAAGAAGAATGTTCTGAATGTCTTAAACTTTAATATCAACCATATCTAATTATTTCCTTTGACTTACATGATTCCTCTGAATGATAAACAGTTAATGATAAGGCAGACAGTTTTGTAGTCTTTCTGAAGAATTCTCAAACTTTTAAAACTTGTTAAGTTTTTAAAGAGAAACACAGCCTAATTAGAGAATGTGTGCAGCTTGCAAGGGAGACCTAACCTATGCCTACTTTTGTATCTATTTACATTCAAAGCTACAAAAGAAAATATTCAACAAACACCACAGTTTAATCTCCTATTTTATTTGCTTTTAAGCATGTGTAGCAATAAAATCAGGCATTACGCATTACATGTGTAATTTTATTCTGAATATTGTAATATAGCCATATCATCTAAACAGATAGTTTTCAAAAAGCATTAACAATTATGAAATTACTCTGAAAAAAGTTCCTCTTCATCTTCATACCTCAAAAAATTCATGAAGGAAATTAAGCTCTACCTCTCCCCCCAAAATCAACATTTCGTTTTAGTGGTACTCACATAATGATGCAGAAATGACATTTTAAATTTTGATTTGCGAGCAAAGATTGTATGCAATAACTATTATTTTTCTTTTCTTTACTTTTTTTCTTTTTATTTTGAGAGACCATTTGCTTTGTTGCCCGGGCTGGAGTGCAGTGATGAGATCTTGGCTCACTGCAATCTCTGCCTCCTGGGTTCAAGCAATTCTCCTGCCTCAGCCTCCTGAGTACCAAGGTAACTCTTATTTTTAATATCTCCTTTAATATCGCTTCAGTCTCCTTTTTCATATTGGCTTCCCCCACCGCTTCCTGTAGATGCCCCATAACTTGAGCTACCATATCCTTCATGAGGAGCAGGGTGTACCCTATCCAGAGAAGGTAGATTCCTTCATTCTTTTCTGCCACAGTGCTCATGACCACAGGAATATAAATCACCACAGCTCCATGAGTAACTCTCCCAGCTCCTACATATCTATCTCATGTGCTGTTATAATCATAGCGACTACTTCCACCGTAACTCATCCAAGGCCATCATGCA
The DNA here is from genome assembly GCF_000001405.40 of Homo sapiens. Taxonomy (NCBI): domain Eukaryota; kingdom Metazoa; phylum Chordata; class Mammalia; order Primates; family Hominidae; genus Homo; species Homo sapiens. The sequence continues at coordinate 9,959,133 of NC_000024.10, read as the reverse complement.
GGTGGTGCACCATAGAAGGTCCCTGCAAAGTTGGTAAAATATAGAACTTATAATGAACTACATTTAAACATTTTTAATAGTATTTCTAATGCATGTCTCAGTTAAAGCACTATTTTGAAAACTCTGCTTTCTTCTGTCTTTGTTGACACCATATTAATTATGCCTGAAATAGTCAAAAGGTTTTATTTAAAAGAAGTATAAGAATAGTATTTCAAAGCATAAGAAAGTTTATTTTAAACTTAAACATTGTCACATTTTCTGAAAATGAACTGAAGTTCTCACCTACATGTTCACTATGCATTATACTGTTAACAATTCTCAGTGTTTAAACATGTTGTATTTTTCCTTTATGATTTTCCTTAAACGATTATTAAAACAATGATCTAGTCTACTAAATATAATACTGTAATTTACAAATCAAACCCGGACACTTACCATAACTCTGATATGCATCTCTGTAAGAACTCCCATTTGGATGTTCAGAATGATCTCTACCAAGGCCCCCACTATAGTCATCATGGTCACTAAATTTAAAAAAGTTTGCTAATGTCAGCAGGAACAACTTAAAAAATCTATTTGACAAAACCAGAAAATATTATGGTATCTATATCCTCTAGAGGAATGCTCATCCTGACTAGAACGACCATAATCACGGTATCCATAATCTCTAGATGATGGAGCATAATCTCTGGTGTCTCAGGAATTTGTATGAATTCTGCTTACATAAGTTAAAGGAACAAATTTTAAATTATCAACTTCTAATATCCAAAACGTAACTTACAACTTAAACAAAATAAAGGGCCAAACACCTGAATAGTTATTTCCCCAAATAAAATATGCAAATGCTCAAAAAGCACATGGAACAAAGAAACATAATTAGTTATTCAGAAAATGCATTTCAAAACCAAAATGACATACCATACTTCACACATACTGGAATGGAAATAAATTTTAAAAAGCAGGAAATATCAAGTGTTTGAGCAGTTGTAGATAATTTGGAACTATGGTACAATACTAGCTGGAATGGAAAATGATGCAGCTACTATGGAGAAATGCAGTTGTTCCTCAAAAAAAATCAACACAGTTATCATAGGACAAGCAATTCCACTCATATATACTGAGAATTGAATAAGTGTACCCAAACAAATATGTATATATAGAAATACTGTGGTAGAAACAACCCAAACAAAATAATGGGTTGGCAGCTTATGTAAGGAGAGAAGTGCTACAACGTAAATGAAACTTCATTGCATCACGCAAATGAAAGGTGACACTTATGAAAAGTCATGTAATGTCTGGGCCCATTAACATGAAATGCCCAGAACAGGTAAGCTGAGAGGCAGAAGACAGATTGGTGTTTGCTAGTGGCTGACAGAAGGGAGAAAATGAAAGGAACTGCTTAACTGCTAGTGGAGTTGTAGTTTGGAGTGATGAAAATGTTTTGGAACTAGATGGAGGTAGTTGTTGCACAAAACAATATATTAAACGCCAATTAACTATTTATCTTAAAATGTTTAATTTTATTATGTGAATTTCATCACCACAACAAAAGTCAACTATTTTTTCATTTTTCCTTTGCGTATCCTTAGTTGCATAACTCTCATCTCTTGGTGATACATGGTCATTTCTCTGGTAAGAGACTGGCTCTCTGCATAGAGGACCTCCATAATTCCCTCATCCATGTGACATGGGACATTTAATGTTAAAATGATTAAATATTATGTAAAGAACACAAAATCTGAAACATAATTTTTTCTTCTCTGAAACAACTTTTTAAAGTTATTTATTGTTTGACTCCATTCTTCTTTCGCTAAATTACTAGACATTCGTGACAACTTAAATATTTCTTCTGGCTGTGGATAATCCCATGGGTCCACAAGGCCAGATCTTCTAACAAAGCTGAAGACAGACATTAATTCTTAGGTAAAAGTTCACTTTTAATTGTTAATAACCAGTTAGTTATTATTTTTCTTTTCATATGAATTACTGATGACTACTAATGACACACAGAAAACATGTAAAACCATCAAACACTTCACTGAATATAAAGTTTACATATGTTGTCCTTTCTCAGCTGAAGAAGGTAAGTCTTCCCATGTTGCTTAATTCATCTCACAAACCAATATTGCTACCTTTGAACTACTGCATGCCAAAATTGAAAATAACAGTTTTCAATTTCCTCCATGTTATGATGGAGGGCTAGGTAAGGATTTTAATTTGTTCTGCTTAAATGTCTTTGCTAAGATCTACTACTTTATGGTCTTGTTTTCTTCTGTTTAGTCTGAAATCTCACACTTCTTCTCAAAAATATTACTTCAATTCTACTGTTCACCTCATGCAGCTTAGAATTAAATTCTCTCCTCAAATAATTTCAAATCCTACACTAAGGATCTTGTGTTAAGGTTTCAACATCCCTGTACAATCTTAATATTTGTGCGCCCCCCATATATTTACACCCTCCATATATTAATTTACACCATATCTTAATTTAAACCCCCCATATATTTCACAACTCTGCACATTTGTGGTAAGCTCTTAACTTAAAAATGCTGGACTCCTTCAAGTCTACCTATCAAGCCTTAATTTTATTATTAATTATTATTTAAGCCCAGTGATTGCTTATCTGCAAAATGCTCTTTTAGTTCTTAGTATCCTCACATAACCAGTAAGAATGCCTTGCACCTAAGTATTATTGAGGTCTCAGAACCTGGATGGCCAGGCGCAGTGACTCACACTGTGAGCCAGTGTGGAAGGCTGAGGCAGCTGGACTGCTTGAGCCCAAGGCTTTAATGTCCGCTATGACAATGTAATGAGATCCTGTGTCTACAAAGATACAGAAAAAAGAAAAATAAATTGATCTATGTGTGATGGTGCATGCCTGTAGTCACAGCAATGCAGGAGGCTAAAACAGGACAATTACTTGAGCCCAGGAATTTAAGGCCGTAGTGAGCTATCATCTCATCAATGCACTCTGGCCTGGTGAGAGCAAGACTCCAACCCAACAAAGAAACTGAACAAACAATTTTTAGATTGGCACACTGAGGGACCACTACCATGGGACCTAGGAAATGGAATAATTCATTAGATTAAGAAGCCTACCATCAAAGAATACTGCCAGGAACTTCAAGAAAAATTAAAAGGAATTCTCTAGCAAACACAGGATTAAAACTAATGTTTGCTCACAGTGTGAATCCCAGCACTTTGGGAGGCTGAGGTGGGCAGATGATGAGGTTGAGATCAAGACCATCCTGAGCAACATGGTGAAACCCCATCTCTACTAAAAATTTAAAAAAAAAATTAACTAGGCCTCGTGGTGAGCAACTGTAGTCCCTGGTATATGGGAGGTTGAGGCAGGAGAATCGTTAGGACCCGGGAGGCAGAGGTTGCAGTGAGCTGAGATCACACCACTGCACTCCAGCCTGGTGACAGAAGAAAATTTAAAAAATGACACAAGAATCATTTTATATTGGTGTGACAGAGAGATTTGGGATAAATGCAGAGTGAAGAGAGAGCAAAAATCTATCATCAGTTAAATACATAAATACAATCTACATAAAGAAAAAATATATTAGGAGAGAAATGATAAATTACTGTTCATATAATTCTGGTATGAGTAAAGCTTTTTCAAAACATATCATAAGCTTACACCAAATCCCGTTCAAAGAAACTCAGTTATTTACAAAATCAAAAAATGACACCTCAGAAAAATACATTATCTGTAAAATTTGTATCATAATATACAATTCTTAAAAATCCATTATGAAATATTAATTTTTAGCTCAGGCTATGCTCAATTTTAATAATCTTTAAGAATTGTATATTAAGTAATAAAATATTTTCATATATCTACAAAAAATATGACACCACCCTGGTGGTGTCACAGGTAAGAAAATGCATATTCTCATACATGGAAGAGTAGTATTAATCTTCACCCTCAAGATCAATTGAGAAAAAAAATAAAATGAAGCTATGTACCTCAAAATGGAGCAAACATTGCAATTTCAACTTGAGAAAATATATCCAATGAATTACACATCTGGTTATTAAAACTCAAATGTTAGATTTTTGAAGGTTGGTTAATAGATAATTGAATGAATTTTTTTTAATGCATGGACTTTTTTAAGTAAAAATTGACCCCTCATTCCTATTGAGTAAATCATTAATAAATACCATTTTCAGTGACTCATCCTCCAGCAAAGAAAGATACTAACATATATGTGAAGCAGTGGTTTTTAGACTTTTCCTGAGTCACAGACTCTTTTCAATAACTGAAGTTACAGATTTCTCAAATGCAAAACGCTTTATGGCAGGCTAATGTTCAAATTATGCATATCAAAATGGCAAAGAAATATATTTGTATAGATATTTCCATGTGTATACACAAACAACAAATATTGCAAGATCAACCATAAAATACTCACTTACTTTTTTCCTGTCTCAGACTTCCTGAAGGGCTCCTGTTTCTCCAAGAAGATGGTGATCTCCACATTACCACCACTTTGAAAAGACGGTTTGTTAACTTGTTCTACTTTCATTGCTTTTCCATCCAAAAACTAAAAGTATTAAGTATCCTATCAATAAAGTTGTCACATTTAACCTAAACACATTTTACAAACATTTTTGCATCCACTATATTTCAGTTCTAGATGTTTTCTCCCAAAGCAAATATATTTTTTTTTCCTGAAACGACCATCTCTTTCACAATGCCAGATTTGAGACATTTACTGAGCACATGCCCTACATGAAGGGACCAAACACGAATTCTGTTATTCAAATTCCTTGAAAAGTTTTCTAGTATTGAAAAATAACACCTCAAAAAAAATTAACCCATCACACATTCTATTGGATAATGTAGCACATTTCTTTTTTACAATCTATAATCTTTGTATTCATATCATTTAATTGTTTCAGTGTCCCAAGGGTATATGAATGAATGTGTCATCTTAAAAAATATTATTTATTCAAAGTGATTAACCACATTATTGGTTACGAACTGTTTCTTGTTTGTTCTCCTAACACTTACATAAAATGTCTCAATATGATTTACAATTCTATATTTACTCTAGTTCTGTTTCTGTAAACGTGATCCTTCTTTGGTCTCATTCAGGTTTTTTGCCTTACTCATTTCTTATCTTGCCTTAGAAGTGTCACTAATAAGTGACTCTTAATATAGTACTTCATGTTATTTCTCAGAAATGCTTAAGTGTGCTAATTAATTTCATAATAACTTTCTTCAGTTTAATCTTTTCTATAGGCAAACGTGGTTTTAGAAAAAATGTCAGCAAATAATGTATTTAAAAATTACATTGCTTTGTTATTTTGGGGAAGAACTTAAATCCATTCCAAGACCTCTTGCAGTCACATAGTCTGTCTTTCCAACCTTGGGACTTCTTTTGTTATTTCTAGGCCCAAAATATGTTCCTCAGATTTATGCCTGACTGCTTCCTTCCCACTTTTCAGAAGTCAGTCAAACTTTCTGAAGCTGTCCATTCCGCCTGAAACCTCTAAGTACCTCCTTTATTTCCCTCCTTAACTTTTGTGTGCATATTACATTTATATTTATTCTTACACAGTAAGATATGTTGGATGAAGTAATTTAGAAATAACATCTACAGAAATCACCTGTTCTTGTGCTTGAAAACTACAGGGAAAAAGAAATTATCATAGATTACTATACATAAGTCAAAATTATTTCCATACCTACAAAACCATGAGCCAAAAGCAACTGTCAGTGTCTACCAAAACTTAAAATATGAAAGTATAACCTGAATAAAAATGTACTTCTGCTATGTACCAGGAAGTGTGCCAGATGTAACAGAAACAAAGGCAACTAGGAAAATTTAAATATGCACTAAAGACAATTTAACAATCAACAGATTAGTACTCTGTTCAGTGAGGCCAAAATACCCAAAATATGCAATAAAGAAGAAAATGTAAAATCTAAGCTGTTTTTGGAGCATAAATTCCTATTTGTGAGATGTACGCTGGGAAGAATAACTCTCAAGAAGTCCAAAAAAGCATATGGGTGATAGCATAAAGAGTAATGGGAACTAAAAACAGATTGGGATGATATTATAAAACAAAAAGGCTCCAAAGTATCCAGAATGCAATGATTTTGATGGTAATATAAACAATTTCAGTAGGCAATAGAATGACACAAAAGTTTAAAGCTGTAATAAACACACAATTCCTAGAATTTCAGATTCAATAAGACAGAGACCATTGGTTGGATCCAATAAGTGCTCAAACACACTGGGAAAATGGGTAATTGGTATTCATGTTACATAAATCACTCTGGTGACAGAATAAAAATGTTTTTAGGAGAAAAAGAGCAATGATGGGGCAAAAATGCCAGTTAGTAGTTCTGTTACCCAGCTTCAATGTTCTCATATTATTTTCTACTTTCAAGTGCTTAACACTTCCTTAAATGTAAAGATCTTGTTCAAATATACTTTCTCAAGAATGTATTTTCAGAAAATGTGAAATAATCTTTCCTTCTTATGAGTCTGTCTAGATGTGTCTCTATAGAAGATTTCCATCTTGTAGGTCTTTCTAGCTGACTATGCAGTTTGTCTACGCTATAGAAGTGTTTCCATGAATTGGAAGTAATTCCATTAATAGTATTTAATAAATACTAACTTACTTCTCTCATTTTTGTGAGAGTTCCTTCTAAGTTTTAAAGCTGCTTGAAAGCTTTGAAAATCTATTTACACTTGTATTGAGATACTAACATACAAATAGGATTACCATGTATTAATTTATGTAACATTTATTCCAATATCCTTCCACCTACATTTGCACTTATATGGCAAAAAGAAGATGATGGATACAGTATTTCAGATCATATGACATTATGATATCTTCAAAAGTTTAGTAATACCAAAAAGACCTTGACATGCTGTTAAGTGAAGAACAGTTAGGATATTATTAATAAGGGACTCATCTGCAACATTCTCAGAATAAATGCAAAGCATCTGAAATTGCTGGTTTCCCAATCATTTATCAGAAAAAGTAAAATACATGAAAACATTTTACATTTATATAGTGGACACACCATAGTACTAACAAATGAAAAAAAATACATTTCACATCATTAGTATGATTCTTAATACTAAGTCACCTCTATAGTCAGCCTATTGTATTCCAATTTGTTCCCTACCTCCACAACACATTTACTTTTGCTCATTTTCCTTTCTCACTAGTAGGTGACCCTTTCCACAGACCCTTAACTGCTGCCATGAGAATTTTCCCAATATCAAATAAAAACTTGAAAATAACAGTTTAAAAACAAATAAATATTTTACTTTATGTATTCAGTAAATATATTAAGTATATATTTATTTTGGAAAAATATAAAACCAACATATATATATCCAACATACATATGTGTGTATATATATATCCAACACACATACACATACATACACACACACACACACACACACACACACACACACACACACACACGTTGTCTTCCAATATGGGACCATATTTCCCAAATACTGCTTTAAGCGACTTTTCATTGGTTTCTAAATGGAGGACACCAGTGAAAAGATTGCCAGGCCCATCTGCTTCCACCATTTTGCTGAAAATGGTAAAAAAAAATAATAATCCATATTTAGATAACAGTAAATAAGCCCAAAGGATAAAATTTTATTACATACTCTGTTGAAAACTCAAGTGAAATTCCCTTCCCTTAAAAAGGCTGACATACTTTTAGTATTTCTTACTTTAAATATGTAAAATTTGTAACATGCAGAGCGAAAGGGGCACTGACTTCATGGACAAATGCTGCATTTTAATACGTACCTGGCAAAAACTTGTTTGTCAAAATGAGACGAGAAAAGCTATTGTAATTTTCTTAAGCTGCAATATGCAGGATGTCCCATTTAAATAATTTTATTTGAAAACTATATATTTATACTGTACAATGTGATGTTTTGTGTATTTTTTTTTGAGATGGAAATTTCCTGTTGCCAACGTGCACTGCTCACTGCAGTGTCCCCTACGGAGCCTCAAGTGATCCTCCCACTTCTCAGCTACTTGGGAAGCTACAGGCTCTCGCTATCAGAGCTAGTAGGCAATTTTTTTGTGTTTCTTTAATAGATGTGGGATTCTCCATGGTACCCAAGCTGGTCTCGAACTCCTGGACTCAAGCGCTCTTCTGGCCTGGTGCTACCAAGGTGTTGATATTTCAAGGGTGAACAACCACGACCAGCTTGAAATTTTAATAAATGATTAAACCAAGCTAACTAAAATACATGCTTTCTTGGGGGAGAATGTTTTAAGTATTTTACAATATTTTCGTGATTTGAAATATACAATAGATCACGGATCCCCAAACCCTGGTCTCCAACCAGTATCTGTCTGTGGCCTGTTAGGAACCCGGCTGCAGAACAGGTGGTGAACCACTGGCACCGCCTGAGTCCCGCCTCCTGGCGAAGGCACTGGATTCTCACAGGAGTTAAGATCCCTACTGTGAACCTCGCATGTGAGGATCTATGTGGCGCTCTCCTTAGAAGAATGTAACCCCTGAGTGTGACCTGAGGTGGAACAGTTTCATTCAGAATCCCTTCTCCCTATTCCCCGCTGGCCTGCCCTGTTCCCCTGGCAACCCCGCTGTCCCATCGCTGCCCCCCGTCACACTGCTCTGGCCCAAAACCCCTCCCTACCCTGTACTCCTCCTGGAACGGCCGCCCCCCACCTTCCCAAGGTGTCCACCTCACCACCTTCTCCCACTACCCACCTCTTGTCTGTGGAAAAATGCCTTCCACTAAACCGGTCCCTGGTGCCAAAATGGCAGTAGATTAAAGGAGCTCATTATATTACGCAGGCTGGTCTCTAACTCGTGACTTCAAGCCATCCTCACACCTCCTCTTCCCAAAATGGTAGGATTACAAAAATAAGTCCGTGTGCCAAGTTAACAGAGAAACTTAAACGTATTATTTTGTCTCTGTTTTAAGCTATCTTTCACCATTTATCTCGATTACACCCACTTATTCGATTTAAATTATTTACGGTGCCAGAGGTACTTGAAACATGTTTCAAATATTGTCATACAAGGAAGGAGACGATTAAAGGTTTTGCGGAGACAAATTTAAACTGAGATAATTTATGGCCCCAGACTTCCTCATACACTAAAGTAATGCAATTTATGTCAAAATTTCATAATTTCTGTCAAGCAAATCACAAATTTGACATGTTATGAGTAAAAATACAAGTTTTTAATCACAGTGGTTAAGTATATTGCCTATATATTTGAATTATGACCACATTCACAGAGGAAAACCACTTTAACAAAAAGTGCACATGAAAAAAATGGCGCCCTAGCTCCATCTCCCACAACTTGCCCGCATGTCGGACATGTCTGACAGTAAAGGGAAGAATACTCAAGAAAAATCAGCGAGTTTAACGAAAGTGAGTTTCTTAATAGCAGTAAAGAGTTCTCTCCCTACTGTTTCCTCCCATAATTCAACACCCACACATTGAAAACCCATCAAAGCAAAAAGAAAAAAGAAAAAAATCCAAAATCTTAGGGGTCTGAAAAAACTCCGTGGTATACAAGAAACCAGTTATATACATAAATCCACACATAATAACAATTATAAAATTTCTTAACATTTGCCAAAATAAGCCTGAGAGACATGGATTGAATTACCACATTTCCTCTATTCGCAGATGATTTAGACATTATCTCTGTCACCTGAGATACAAACATGTCCTCTCTGCTTAAAATTAAGAATTTATTTGCCTAATTTCCCTGATTTTCTGAGAAACTGCCTGTGCACGACCTTCTGTCACCATGAGCTGAAGGAAAAGTCGAGGCTAGTGGCGTACCCAGCTAAAAAGCTTAGAAACCCGGATATACCATCCCTGCGAGAGCCACAAAGGAAGTAGGGAAAGACAAGTGTAACAGAAATAAAAGAAAGCGTGGCCCAAGAAACTTTTGAATTAAAAACAAAAAGAGAAGGAAAGAAAATTAAAATGCCAAAATGTGTTCTATATTATTTTCATTATTTACTTTTTTCAACTGTGGTAGTGTGATCAACCTTAAAGAAGTATTTTTATTTTGAAATAGTCATCCATGTTTCATCCCCCTCTCAAATATTAGCAATAAGCTTATTTCATAAAATAATGCATAAAGGGGAAAGTAATAACTAAAATTTAAAGAACTCCATAAGAAACAAGCAATAATAAGTAACATTAAAAGAAAGCAAGAAAAATAAGTCAATTAGGAATGTAAAGTTTCTACATCTTAATCTTGTATCTTCTCTCTTGGGTTGTAATATAAATATTTGAACACTTTATTTTATTTGCTTAGTAGATAAATGTAGTGATTTGACCCAAAATTCCAAAATTAACAAAAACAATGTACACAAATAGGCAATTTCTCTGTCCTCAATTTGTATATAATAAGTAACATCCTTAATTAACAGAGCTCTAGTAAAATAAATACTATTTATATGCCTGAGAAAAATATTTTATTAGCTGACAGACTATATTGTCCGTTAAGTTATTCTCCCCCTACCTATTTCATTTTACGAATTTTGTTGCAAAATAAAATGTAACATAAAAAATACATTTAAATATCTACACAATGCAACCCAAACTTATTTTTCTGAGTTTGTCTATAAATTGTGCATATCAGAATTTTAAAGAACAGTACTTTTAAAAAGGCTTATTATAAGCCACATTTTAAGTGCTTTATATTAATTTAAACAAATTAAAGTCTATACATTCTATACTCCCACTTATGAACTACTTAGTTCATAAACTATACCATACCAATATAGAGCTGTTTGTGTCTGCATAAATATTTTAATTTATCTTTTTAACACTTCCTTTTTTGATGAATATTCTAACAGTAAAATCATGCTCTGAAGGAAAGATATTTTATATGTTTATGTATATTTTAGAAAAAGTTTCTTAAATTATGGTTACAAATCTATTTCTATTATTAGTTTTTTTTGCTACAAAACCCACTGTAGCATTCTATTCTCACATTCTTTTTGTCACATTCTTACCAGAAAAACATTAATTTGACCATGGCTCTGTCTACATTATAGATTACTCTTTTTCCATTTTGAAGAGAAAATATTTCCCTTTGTTTCAATTTATATTTACTTGAGGGAATGCATTTACTAATGTTATATGTAATTGAGTAGTATATTATACTAAATTGATAACTAATACAAAAATGAATTAATAAGTTAGATAGTGAGCCTACACCACAGGAAAAACAGATTTGTAAATAATACATAATGATTGATGCCATAAGATGTATGAGAAAATGCTTCAGTGTTTTTTTTTTTAAAGAGGATACACATAATGTCATTTTCTAAATAATGATAAGGATCAACTGCTTTGATAAAATATCTACATACATTTTATACCAACTTCATTTTTAGAAGTCCCATAACATTTGTAAAATTTTTACTAGGCCTAATTTGCAAAACAGGAAACTTAAGTTACAAGCGTTTGAAAGCTACACAGTTTTAAGAGGATATTACTAAAAAAATTAGGATTTAAACCAACAAATCTTTCCTCCAGAAATATTTTGCTCTTAAAGAAAACTATCTGTTATAAAGAAATGGAAAAAAACAAGACTGAAAATGATTTTTAATATATTACATAGTACTAAGAAATATTTTCTAGGCAGAGATAAAACATGCAGATAAACAGTGTTTTTAAAATCTGTGTGGTGGAAGGAGAAGCAAAAACACAAATATAGAATGAGATTTGCTAGGAGAATGTGCGGAAACATGCAGTGTTATAAGTAAAAATCAACTTGATGGAATAACCTACATTTTCTTGTGGTCAGTGAAACAAGACTAAATACACAAAGATCAGGGAATGTCAGTAGCGGACACAGGGAGGGAGGGCAAGATCATGAAACATTTTGCTTGCCATGCAAATAGGCTACTTTTTTTTTTTCATCCCATGTTCATAGATTGGAAGACCTAATATTGTTTTTTTTTTTAATTTTTTTTTTTATTATACTCTAAGTTTTAGGGTACATGTGCACATTGTGCAGGTTAGTTACATATGTATACATGTGCCATGCTGGTGCACTGCACCCACTAATGTGTCATCTAGCATTAGGTATATCTCCCAATGCTATCCCTCCCCCCTCCCCCGACCCCACCACAGTCCCCAGAGTGTGATATTCCCCTTCCTGTGTCCAAGTGATCTCATTGTTCAATTCCCACCTATGAGTGAGAATATGCGGTGTTTGGTTTTTTGTTCTTGGGATAGTTTACTGAGAATGATGGTTTCCAATTTCATCCATGTCCCTACAAAGGACATGAACTCATCATTTTTTATGGCTGCATAGTATTCCATGGTGTATATGTGCCACATTTTCTTAATCCAGTCTATCATTGTTGGACATTTGGGTTGGTTCCAAGTCTTTGCTATTGTGAATAGTGCCGCAATAAACATACGTGTGCATGTGTCTTTATAGCAGCATGATTTATAGTCCTTTGGGTATATACCCAGTAATGGGATGTCTGGGTCAAATGGTATTTCTAGTTCTAGATCCCTGAGGAATCGCCACACTGACTTCCACAATGGTTGACCTAGTTTACAGTCCCACCAACAGTGTAAAAGTGTTCCTATTTCTCCACATCCTCTTCAGCACCTGTTGTTTCCTGACTTTTTAATGATTGCCATTCTAACTGGTGCGAGATGATATCTCATAGTGGTTTTGATTTGCATTTCTCTGATGGCCAGTGATGATGAGCATTTCTTCATGTGTTTTTTGGCTGCATAAATGTCTTCTTTTGAGAAGTGTCTGTTCATGTCCTTCGCCCACTTTTTGATGGGGTTGTTTGTTTTTTTCTTGTAAATTTGTTTGAGTTCATTGTAGATTCTGGATATTAGCCCTTTGTCAGATGAGTAGGTTGTGAAAATTTTCTCCCATGTTGTAGGTTGCCTGTTCACTCTGATGGTAGTTTCTTTTGCTGTGCAGAAGCTCTTTAGTTTAATTAGATCCCATTTGTCAATTTTGGCTTTTGTTGCCATTGCTTTTGGTGTTTTGGACATGAAGTCCTTGCCCACGCCTATGTCCTGAATGGTAATGCCTAGGTTTTCTTCTAGGGTTTTTATGGTTTTAGGTCTAACGTTTAAATCTTTAATCCATCTTGAATTGATTTTTGTATAAGGTGTAAGGAAGGGATCCAGTTTCAGCTTTCTACATATGGCTAGCCAGTTTTCCCAGCACCATTTATTAAATAGGGAATCCTTTCCCCATTGCTTGTTTTTCTCAGGTTTGTCAAAGATCAGATAGTTGTAGATATGTGGCATTATTTCTGAGGGCTCTGTTCTGTTCCATTGATCTATATCTCTGTTTTGGTACCAGTACCATGCTGTTTTGGTTACTGTAGCCTTGTAGTATAGTTTGAAGTCAGGTAGTGTGATGCCTCCAGCTTTGTTCTTTTGGCTTAGGATTGACTTGGAGATGCAGGCTCTTTTTTGGTTCCATATGAACTTTAAAGTAGTTTTTTCCAATTCTGTGAAGAAAGTCATTGGTAGCTTGATGGGGATGGCATTGAATCTGTAAATTACCTTGGGCAGTATGGCCATTTTCACGATATTGATTCTTCCTACCCATGAGCATGGAATGTTCTTCCATTTGTTTGTGTCCTCTTTTATTTCCTTGAGCAGTGGTTTGTAGTTCTCCTTGAAGAGGTCCTTCACATCCCTTGTAAGTTGGATTCCTAGGTATTTTATTCTCTTTGAAGCAATTGTGAATGGGAGTTCACTCATGATTTGGCTCTCTGTTTGTCTGTTATTGGTGTATAAGAATGCTTGTGATTTTTGTACATTGATTTTGTATCCTGAGACTTTGCTGAAGTTGCTTATCAGCTTAAGGAGATTTTGGGCTGAGACGATGGGGTTTTCTAGATAAACAATCATGTCGTCTGCAAACAGGGACAATTTGACTTCCTCTTTTCCTAATTGAATACCCTTTATTTCCTTCTCCTGCCTGATTGCCCTGGCCAGAACTTCCAACACTATGTTGAATAGGAGCGGTGAGAGAGGGCATCCCTGTCTTGTGCCAGTTTTCAAAGGGAATGCTTCCAGTTTTTGCCCATTCAGTATGATATTGGCTGTGGGTTTGTCATAGATAGCTCTTATTATTTTGAAATATGTCCCATCAATACCTAATTTATTGAGAGTTTTTAGCATGAAGGGTTGTTGAATTTTGTCAAAGGCTTTTTCTGCATCTATTGAGATAATCATGTGGTTTTTGTCTTTGGCTCTGTTTATATGCTGGATTACATTTATTGATTTGCGTATATTGAACCAGCCTTGCGTCCCAGGGATGAAGCCCACTTGATCATGGTGGATAAGCTTTTTGATGTGCTGCTGGATTCGGTTTGCCAGTATTTTATTGAGGATTTTTGCATCAATGTTCATCAAGGATATTGGTCTAAAATTCTCTTTTTTGGTTGTGTCTCTGCCCGGCTTTGGTATCAGAATGATGCTGGCCTCATAAAATGAGTTAGGGAGGATTCCCTCTTTTTCTATTGATTGGAATAGTTGCAGAAGGAATGGTACCAGTTCCTCCTTGTACCTCTGGTAGAATTCGGCTGTGAATCCATCTGGTCCTGGACTCTTTTTGGTTGGTAAACTATTGATTATTGCCACAATTTCAGAGCCTGTTATTGGTCTATTCAGAGATTCAACTTCTTCCTGGTTTAGTCTTGGGAGAGTGTATGTGTCGAGGAATGTATCCATTTCTTCTAGATTTTCTAGTTTATTTGCGTAGAGGTGTTTGTAGTATTCTCTGATGGTAGTTTGTATTTCTGTGGGATCGGTGGTGATATCCCCTTTATCATTTTTTATTGTGTCTATTTGATTCTTCTCTCTTTTTTTCTTTATTAGTCTTGCTAGCGGTCTATCAATTTTGTTGATCCTTTCAAAAAACCAGCTCCTGGATTCATTGATTTTTTGAAGGGTTTTTTGTGTCTCTATTTCCTTCAGTTCTGCTCTGATTTTAGTTATTTCTTGCCTTCTGCTAGCTTTTGAATGTGTTTGCTCTTGCTTTTCTAGTTCTTTTAATTGTGATGTTATGGTGTCAATTTTGGATGTTTCCTGCTTTCTCTTGTAGGCATTTAGTGCTATAAATTTCCCTCTACACACTGCTTTGAATGTGTCCCAGAGATTCTGGTATGTGGTGTCTTTGTTCTCGTTGGTTTCAAAGAACATCTTTATTTCTGCCTTCATTTCGTTATGTACCCAGTAGTCATTCAGGAGCAGGTTGTTCAGTTTCCATGTAGTTGAGCGGCTTTGAGTGAGATTCTTAATCCTGAGTTCTAGTTTGATTGCACTGTGGTCTGAGAGATAGTTTGTTATAATTTCTGTTCTTTTACATTTGCTGAGGAGAGCTTTACTTCCAACTATGTGGTCAATTTTGGAATAGGTGTGGTGTGGTGCTGAAAAAAATGTACATTCTGTTCATTTGGGGTGCAGAGTTCTGTAGATGTCTATTAGGTCTGCTTGGTGCAGAGCTGAGTTCAATTCCTGGGTATCCTTGTTGACTTTCTGTCTCGTTGATCTGTCTAATGTTGACAGTGGGGTGTTAAAGTCTCCCATTATTAATGTGTGGGAGTCTAAGTCTCTTTGTAGGTCACTCAGGACTTGCTTTATGAATCTGGGTGCTCCTGTATTGGGTGCATAAATATTTAGGATAGTTAGCTCCTCTTGTTGAATTGATCCCTTTACCATTATGTAATGGCCTTCTTTGTCTCTTTTGATCTTTGTTGGTTTAAAGTCTGTTTTATTAGGATTGCAACCCCTGCCTTTTTTTGTTTTCCATTGGCTTGGTAGATCTTCCTCCATCCTTTTATTTTGAGCCTATGTGTGTCTCTGCACGTGAGATGGGTTTCCTGAATACAGCACTCTGATGGGTCTTGACTCTTTATCCAACTTGCCAGTCTGTGTCTTTTAATTGCAGAATTTAGTCCATTTATATTTAAAGTTAATATTATTATGTGTGAATTTGATCCTGTCATTATGATGTTAGCTGGTGATTTTGCTCATTAGTTGATGCAGTTTCTTCCTAGTCTCGATGGTCTTTACATTTTGGCATGATTTTGCAGTGGCTGGTACCGGTTGTTCCTTTGCATGTTTAGCACTTCCTTCAGGAGCTCTTTTAGGGCAGGCCTGGTGGTGACAAAATCTCTCAGCATTTGCTTGTCTATAAAGTATTTTATTTCTCCTTCACTTATGAAGCTTAGTTTGGCTGGATATGAAATTCTGGGTTGAAAATTCTTTTCTTTAAGAATGTTGAATATTGGCCCCCACTCTCTTCTGGCTTGTAGGGTTTCTGCCGAGAGATCCGCTGTTAGTCTGATGGGCTTTCCTTTGAGGGTAACCCGACCTTTCTGTCTGGCTGCCCTTAACATTTTTTCCTTCATTTCAACTTTGGTGAATCTGACAATTATGTGTCTTGGAGTTGCTCTTCTCGAGGAGTATCTTTGTGGCATTCTCTGTATTTCCTGAATCTGAACGTTGGCCTGCCTTGCTAGATTGGGGAAGTTCTCCTGGATAATATCCTGCAGAGTGTTTTCCAACTTGGTTCCATTCTCCACATCACTTTCAGGTACACCAATCAGACGTAGATTTGGTCTTTTCACATAGTCCCATATTTCTTGGAGGCTTTGCTCATTTCTTTTTATTCTTTTTTCTCTAAACTTCCCTTCTCGCTTCATTTCATTCATTTCATCTTCCATTGCTGATACCCTTTCTTCCAGTTGATCGCATCGGCTCCTGAGGCTTCTGCATTCTTCATGTAGTTCTCGAGCCTTGGTTTTCAGCTCCATCAGCTCCTTTAAGCACTTCTCTGTATTGGTTATTCTAGTTATACATTCTTCTAAATTTTTTTCAAAGTTTTCAACTTCTTTGCCTTTGGTTTGAATGTCCTCCCATAGCTCAGAGTAATTTGATCGTCTGAAGCCTTCTTCTCTCAGCTCGTCAAAATCATTCTCCATCCAGCTTTGTTCTGTTGCTGGTGAGGAACTGCGTTCCTTTGGAGGAGGAGAGGCGCTCTGCGTTTTAGAGTTTCCAGTTTTTCTGTTCTGTTTTTTCCCCATCTTTGTGGTTTTATCTACTTTTGGTCTTTGATGATGGTGATGTACAGATGGGTTTTCGGTGTAGATGTCCTTTCTGGTTGTTAGTTTTCCTTCTAACAGACAGGACCCTCAGCTGCAGGTCTGTTGGAATACCCTGCAATGTGAGGTGTCAGTGTGCTCCTGCTGGGGGGTGCCTCCCAGTTAGGCTGCTCGGGGGTCAGGAGTCAGGGACCCACTTGAGGAGGCAATCTGCCCATTCTCAGATCTCCAGCTGCATGCTGGGAGAACCACTGCTCTCTTCAAAGCTGTCAGACAGGGACACTTAAGTCTGCAGAGGTTACTGCTGTCTTTTTGTTTGTCTGTGCCCTTCCCCCAGAGGTGGAGCCTACAGAGGCAGGCAGGCCTCCTTGAGCTGTGGTGGGCTCCACCTAGTTCGAGCTTCCCTGCTGCTTTGTTTACCTAAGCAAGCCTGGGCAATGGCGGGCGCCCCTCTCCCAGCCTCGTTGCCGCCTTGCAGTTTGATCTCAGACTGCTGTGCTAGCAATCAGCGAGATTCCGTGGGCGTAGGACCCTCTGAGCCAGGTGTGGGATATAGTCTCGTGGTGCGCCGTTTCTTAAGCCGGTCTGAAAAGCGCAATATTGGGGTGGGAGTGACCCGATTTTCCAGGTGCGTCCATCACCCCTTTCTTTGACTCGGAAAGGGAACTCCCTGACCCCTTGCGCTTCCCAGGTGAGGCAATGCCTCGCCCTGCTTCGGCTCGCGCACGGTGCGCACACACACTGGCCTGCGCCCACTGTCTGGCACTCCCTAGTGAGATGAACCCGGTACCTCAGATGGAAATGCAGAAATCACCCGTCTTCTGCATCGCTCACGCTGGGAGCTGTAGACCGGAGCTGTTCCTATTTGGCCATCTTGGCTCCTCCCTAATAGGCTACTTTTTTTTAGGGCAGCAGTTAAAAATCATTTGACTAAAAGCTTAATATCTATAAGATAGTATAATGCAGTGGTGATTTGTACAATATAAAGTTAAGCAAACCAAGAAAAATCTAACCTTCACCACTTAATAGCTGTGTGAAGTTAGACTGCTTAATCTTTGAAATTTACCCAATCAACACAGAGAATATAATAACAGTATCTACTAGATATTATTATCATAAGATTAATAATGTATTGTGCACAGTACATACAACATAGTTTAGGGCTAAAAAATGTATAGAATTGTCATAATTACATTTATATTCAGTGACACCTAGAGGTATACTTGCAATCCTGCTTTCCTTAGTGACTGGTCAAAATATATAAAATATACTTTAAAAATTGAGTTGCTTTGGATGTTGTGCATCAAGTAAAATATCCAATAGTTTATTTATATTAATGTATACTTACACTTATACATGCATACAAGGAAGGTAAAGAAATGAAGAAATACACATGTATGAGTACACACACAAACTCACATACACACAGTGGAAGAATAAATAACAAGATAATTTAACAAGAGAAAGAAAAATAAAAGAATTGTAAGAAATCGTTGCACTATTATCATAGTCATGTGAAAAATAAGATGACAGATAATTTCAAGAAAAAACATGATTTATCAAGAATTGTTTGGAAAGAAAGAAAAACCCTGTATGTAGGCACAGCTTGGTGGCTCAAGTCTGTAATTCTAGCACATTGGGAGGCCAAGGTGGGGCACATAGCTTGAGGCCAGGAGTTCAAGGCCAGCCTGGCCAAAATGGTGAAACCCTGTCTCTACCAAAAATACAAAAGATTACCTGGGAGTAGTGGCATGGGCCTGTGGTGCCAGCTACAGGTGGTGAGCTGGGAGAATCCCTTAAACCCGGGAGGTGGAATTTGCACTAAAACAAGATCACGCCGCTGCACTCTGGACTGGGTGATACAGCATGACCCTGTGTCAAAAACAAAAACAAAACAAAACTAGTAAACACACACAGAAAACAAATTAATATGTAATGAATTCTAGGGCATAAATCTGAAAAATCTGTTTAAGTGCCACTATTTTGCTGACAAATTCTTCCTTCTTCCTTTCCCTGTATTTCTTTTTCTTTTCCCTTTCACTTCCCTACTCTCATCTTTCTTTTCCTTCCTTCCTTCCTTCTTTTCTTCTTTTGTTCTCTCTTTTTTTTTTTTTTTTTGAGACAGGGTCTCTCTCCCCAGCCTGTAGTGCAGTGGTGCCATTATAGCTCGCTGCAGCCTCCAATTCCAAGTCTCACATATCCTCTTCCTTCGCTTCCCCAGTAGTTAAGACTAGGGGAATGCACCACTATCCCTGGCTAATTATTTTTTTTTAATCATTTATTGGCTGGGCGTGATGGCTCAGGCCTGTAATCATAGCACTTTGGGAGGCCAAGGTGAGCGGATCACCTGAGGTCAGTGTTCATGACTAACCTGGCCAACACGGTGAAACCACATCTCTACTAAAAAGAGAAAAATTAACCAGGCATGATGGTGGGCACCTGTAATCCCAGCTACTCGGCAGGCTGAGGCAGGAGAATCCATTGAACCTGGGAGGCAGAAGTTGCAGTGAGCTGAAATCACAGCTCTGCACTCCAGCCTGAGCTACAGAGTAAGACTACGTCTCAAAAAAAACCAAACAAACAAACAAAAAAAAAGCAAAAAAGAAAGAAAAAAGAAAGGTTTCCCCCTATTTTCTTTCCTCTTTTTTGGTATTTTGAACAAGGACATAGAGATGGGTACAGTGAGGCTGTCTTACAGTCATCTTGAAGCTGAAAGTAATGTACTATAATTGCTAAGTGGAATGATAAAATATATTTGGATCTAGAATAAAATCATTAATCTGCGTAATCTGCCTTCTCTGTTATCTCATGACTTATATAGTATGGAATATAAATTTATTTATATATAATTGACTTCAGCTTTTCTATTTTGTTTAGTAGCAACTACCCATACTATGTATTAATTGTTCTCCCCTGCCTTGAAAACTCCCTGAGAGCAAAGACTGGTCTTCCTCATATATGTGTCTGACTTATAGCCCATTCCAATTGAGAGATTTGATAAAAATTTACTGAATTGTAGCTCTTTGCTTCAGATTGCCATTAAAGGAAAGCCAGATAATTTGTCTTGAGATATTTTCTGTAAATTTACAATATCAGTGTTTCTGAGTAGAGATATAATAATGAGTAGATGTGGGTATGTCAATAGATATATGAATGAAATGTGCTATTGTTCTTTATATTTATTTATTGGTTATTTTAAATAATTATCAATATTTCCTTAACTTGTTGCAGAAAATATGTCAGATAATATAGATTATCTATTTGTTTTTAATTACTAAGTAATATTTGATAGATAGATGCTACATATTGGCAGGGCATGTTGGCTCATACCTACAATCCCGGCACTTTGGGAGGCTGAGACGGTGCGATCATTTAAGCACAGGAGTTCAAGACCAGCCTGGGCAACATGGTGAAACCCTGTCTCTACTGAAAATACAAAAATTAGCCAGGCGTGCTAGTGTGTACCTGTTGTCCCAGCTACTCAGGAGGCTGAGACAGTAGAATGTCTTGAACTCTGGAGGCAGAAGTGGCAGTGAGCCAAGATTCTACCACTGCCCTCCAGCATGGGTGACAGAGTAAGACTGCATCTCAAAAAAATAATGAAAAAAAAAGCTACATAGTAACACAGAATAGACACTAAATTTTTAAAAGGTGTGGGACTGGAATATTATCTGTCCCTACTCCAAAATTAATGGTTAACACTGAACTAATGGAAGAGTTAAAATTTTAATATCTCATTTAATTTGGCTACATTTCTTGCATATAACGCTTAGTTAATCCTAAAGGAAGGCAGTTATCTCACAAGGACCTCTTATGATGTCAGACATTCTATATCCTGCCATTTTAATCTCCAAAATAGTTTCCTAAAACCCTATCTTCATAGATAACCATAAACCCTATCTTCTATTCGCACACACTTAAGCCAACATGGGAGTTCTACTTTTCTTCTTGGGGATTGTTTCTTCACTGTTCTGCTGGTAAGTTACAGAACATGGAATTTTTTTTCTCAAGTAAATCTCCTGACTAAGACTTGTTGTTCTGAGTACTTACGGTTTTGTTTTTAGTCTTTAAAATATTATCACTTCTTTCTTCTCTACATTATTTATCTCATTTACTATATTTAATGGGTCCCTTTCCCTTAATTCTACATTTTGAAGATGCTTTTCTTTACTCCTTCTCATTCTTCTCTGTATTTCCTTAATTTCCTCTTCATCAAACAAGTAAATATATAGGATGACATATCTCACTGATCATTTGAAAAGATACTGTTTTTCATGTTATATTTACCATTCCCCCCCATTTATAGTACCTAATTCTCAGAATCTGTGGTTATACATGTTGACCCCATTGATGGCCCCATTATCAGCATCCAGCAACACATCCTGGCTAGTGTCCATGGCTGAATCCTGCCAGGGTATTATTCTGAGTTGGTGGTGGATCCTGTCTACAGCCAGCTGTCTGACTAAACTGTAAGTATTTAGAACCATGAGAATGGAATTATGCTTACATTTAGTTTTTAGATCTATTTCATCATTATTAACTATATTTGCCTTGGATTTTGATACATGAAAGGGACTTTAATCTTCTTTAGAAAATAATAGGCCAGGTATGGTGGCTCATTCCTGTAACCCCCAGCACTTTGGGAGATCAATGCATGAAAATTGCTTCAGCCCAGGAGTTTGAGACCAGCCTGGGCAACATGCTGAAACATCATCTGTACCAAAAATACAAAAATTAGCTGGGCATGGTGGTGCATACCCGTACTTGCAGATACTCAAGAGGCTAAGGCAGGAAGATGGCTTGAACCTGAGACGCAGAGGTGGCAGTCAGCCAAGATTGTTCCACTACACTCCAGCCTGGGCAACTGGAGTGAGACCCCATCTTAGCTCCTTGGGAGGCTGAGGTGGTAGGATCACCTAAGCCTGATAACTTGGCTGTATTGAGCCACTGCTCTTTAGCCTTGTTCTACATAATTACAGTTTAGTCAGACAGCTGGCTGTAGACAGGATCTACCACCAACTGAGAATAATACCCTGGCAGGATTCAGCCATGGACACTAGCCATGACATGTTGCTGGGAGTGAGACCCTGTAAGAAATAAACAAAAGAAAAGAAAGAGAGAAAGAGAGAAAGAAAGAGAGAGAGAAAGAAAGAAAGAAAGAAAGAAAGAAAGAAAGAAAGAAAAGAAAGAAAGAAAGAAAGAAAAAAGAAAGAAAGAAAAGAAAGAAAGAAAGAAAGAAAAAGAAAGAGAAAGAAAGAGAAGGAAGGAAAGAAAGGGGGAGAAAATACTGAACAGGTGCTGTGGCTCACACCAGTAATCTCAGCATTTTGGGAGGCTGCAGTGAAAGAATCGCTTGATCCCAGGAGTTCATGATCATCTTGGGCAACACAGGGATATCCCATCTCTAATATATGAATTTTTTTTAATTAGCTATGCTTGGTGGTGCACGCCTATGGTGCCAGCTGCTTGGGAGGCTGAACTGGGAGGATCACTTAAGTCCAAGAGTTCAAGACCAACCTGAACAACATAGAAAGACCTTATCTCTAAGAATATTTGTTTCAAAAATTAGCTACTTTCGGTGGTATATGCCTGTAGTATGATCTACTCAGAAGTCTAAGGTAGGAGGATTGCTTGAGTGGAGAGGTCAAGGCTGCAGTTAGCCATGATCAAGCGACTACACTCCAGTCTGGGTAACCGAGTGAGAACCTGTCCCAAAAACAAATTAACAAAAAGTACAAAATGAAGTACAATATAAAGGCATTTAGTTCCTAATTCTCAGAAGCAGTGGTTATACTCGTTGACCCCAATGGTTGCCCCATTGTCAGCATCTAGCAACAATGCAGTCTATTAAATAAATTTATACTGTTTACATTTCACTGTAATGATATAGCATATAGAATAAAAATGAGGGATCATTCATTTGTAAAATATCAAGTGCTTAAATTGCTAAATAAGGATTTATTTTATTTTATATTTTATTGTATTATTATTATTATTGAGATGGAGTCTCGCTTTGTCATCCAGGCTGCAGTGCAGTGGCACAATCTCAGTCACTATAACCTCCATTCCCGATACAAGTGATTCTCTTGCCTGAGCCTCCTGAGTAGCTTGGACTAAAGGTGCGTGCCACAATACCTACCCATTTTTTTCTTGTATTTTTAGTAGTGATGGGTTTCACGGTATTATCCAGGCTGGTCTGAAACTCCTGACCTGAAGTTGTCTGCCTGTGTTGGGCAGTCATGGGATTACAGGCCTCTCAAAATGCAGGGATTACAGGTCTGACCTACCATGCCCAGCCAACAAAAATTATATTTTAGCAAACATTTAAGTTTAAATTGAAGTAAAATTAAATGTTTTCTCACTTTAATCTTTATTGTATTCTTTATGTTTCCATTCCATTAGGAACTATTTGCACCCTAACCATTTCAGGAGTCATTGACCAGAATGCAGTGCACACTAACCATTTCTGGAGTCATTCACCAGTGTTTTACTGGGCCCCAAAATCTGCCTGCACCCAAGATTTAATCCACAAATCGGAACAGATCCAGGAATGGGGGATATAGGAGTGGTCCTTCTCCAATACCCTATCAGAAGTGAAGAAATGCCAGATTCCCACACTTACAACATCTTTTGGAAGAGCTGTTATAACTGCTTGTACAGACACTGCAGGGTATAGCAATATCAGACTAAGCCACAAGAGTCATATTCTCTATATCATTAATATAATTCAGAGGTTGACAATAAAAACAAAATTAATGGAAAAATAAAATCAGAAGTGTATAAAAAACTAGCATACAATTGAATCCATATTATTCCTCTTTATATGGGTAACAATGGAAGTAAAATCACAATGTCAGGCATTGAAATTACTCTGAATTATGTTACCTGGTGTAAGGTGATTTGCCAAAATCCAAGAGTCTATGAAGTAAGTATATATGAGATAAGATGGAGAAAAGGAGAATTTGAACTGTCTCAGGGATATTTGTAATGAATGAAAGCTATAATATAAAATCTTATAGGAAAGCCATGCTATAAATTGCCTAATGGAATAATGCATGTCTCATATCCTTCTCATCTCTGTTTCTTCAGCTCACAATAACTTTGGCAGCAGTATCAAGAAGTTGTCAGTCAAGCTTCTAGACCCCTTCTTCTGCCACCATCAACATACTCACAAGACTAGGAATAATAATTTATGTATCTGGAGTCAGCCACAAGAAGACTGCTGGGAACTTCCTATATAAAGGCAAAGTTAGCATTGTGAGGGGGTTGTAGAAACACCTTACCAATTCTATAAAGGTTCATGAAGGAATGTATTTTCTTTAATCACAAATAAATAAAGCAGAAGCATTTTTAGTGATTTTAAAAAATTGAGAAATAGGGAACTTACATAGAAAGTCTTTGAAGCCACAGGGGCTCATGCCTATAATTTCAATACTTTGGGAAACTGAGGCAGGAGGATCACTTGAGGCCAAGAGTTCCAGACTAGCTTGGTGAACATAGTGAGATGCTGTCTCTAGAAAAAAAAAAATAGCTGGGTGTTTTGGACTGTGCCTGTAGCCCTAGCTACTTTGAAGTCTGTTGGGAAAGAATTGCTTGAGCCAGGGAGTTTGAGGTTGCAGTAACCTATGATCTTGTCACTTCACTCCAGCCTGGGAGACTATGTTTCTAAAAAAAAAAAAAAAAAAGAACAAATAGAATAAATGAAAAGGTATTTAGAAACAAAGGGAAAAACCGACAGAGTTATAGTTTGATTCCTGAACTCAGTTGTTAGAAAAAATCTATAATCCAATTAAACAAATATAAACTGAGAATTTATAAAAAATGAAAATCTGAAGTCATGAAAGGTCATTATCAATTATGAAAATCCAAAATGACACAGCAAAATTAGTTCTGAAAAACACACGTCTACAAATAGCTACTTTTGAAAGAATATCATGGTCTTTTTCTTAAAGCCTAATGTAGGATATCATGTAGTACCTTCTGAAGGGGGTAATATTTAGTGTATAAATAGCCACAATTAATAAGACAAAAATGGCCAGAATTATTATTATTATTATTTTTTTACACAGGGTCTCACTCTGTCATCCAGGCTGGAGTACAATGACATAATCAGTGCTCACTGCAGCCTTGACATCCCAGGCTCAAGTGATACTCCCATCTCAGACTTCCCAGTAGCTGGAACCATAGGCATGCACCACAACACCTAGTTAATTATTTTTCTCTAGTGTTGGAGTCTTACTGTTGCCCAGGCTAATCTTGAACTCCTGGGATCAAGTGATCTGCCCACCTCAACCTCCCAAATTACATTGGATAACTGTCATGTGCCACCACGCTTGGCCTTAGAAGGAAACTTAACCAGGCTGACCAACATGGTGAAACCCTTTTCTCTACTAAAAATACAAAAACTGGCCTGTCGTGGTTATGTGTGCCTGTAATACCAGCCACTGAGGAGGCTGAGGCATGAGACTCGCTTGAGCCCAGAAGGCAGAGTTTGCAGTGAGCTGAGATTGTGCCACTGCACTCCACCCTAGGGGACAGAGAAGAGTCATTCTCTCAAAAAAAAAAAAAAAATAGAAAAGTTAAACTATTTGAAATATGAATGGAATTTATGATGGAGAAAGGTTACTAAATCATTTCAATATTCTTTGCTAACAAACATTATTGGAACATTTTCGAAGTCCAAAAGACTACCATAAAAAATCATAAAATTTGTACTTAAAAAACTTGCAATTAAGACAGGCAGGATACCAGTACAGACAAAGAATTCTAACCTAATGGGGCACATACAGGAAACAGGCCTCATCCCACTTCTCAGAAAATCCAATCCTGAGCCCTGTAGTTAGAGAGCTTACTGCCTAATATGAAATAAATCAAGTGTAAAGGATAGTGCAATAACTTTACAAGATATAATGGTCCATGTTCATGCAGGAATTTGTATTGCAAACAGTAGGAATATATAGAATATATGGTTCATTATATGTACACATTCATTAGGTTTTTAGAATGGGCTTTGAAAGAAAAGCAGCTCTTTATTATAGAAATAAGATATACAGATGTAGGAAGAATATTTAATACATAGATTATATTTGGATAGGAAAATGTGTTTTTTTTTCTGAAAAAAGTTGGTAAAAAGAGATAGAGAAGACATGAGAACAGAAAAATAAGCTGAATTCATAATTTGAAGTTATGATATTTAGACTTGATTATTTAATCAGTAGGAGCCACAGAAAAAAATTTCCTACAGAAATATTTTAAAGCAAAAGTAGCACATTTTAGAGGAATAAAACATTTTCTGTTCTGGAAAGCAATAGGCAAGATGGTCTTTAAAAATTAAATCATATTTAAGAATCTGTTAATATGTTAAATAAATTAATATTCTTTACATTTCAACGTAATGATATTGAATATAGAACAAAAACAATGAGCAGTCATTCATTTGTAAAATATGAAGTGCTTAATCATTTATTTTCGTGTGGGCTAAGGGTTATTGGTTATAAAATCATGTAATTAGGCTTACTATCATGAAGCTTACATTTTTTGTCAATCTACAAGCAAGAAAAAAGTAAAGTAAAATGTTCAGTGGTAAAACATATTTTGATAAATTAATAAGTGATAGAAAGATGTTGGCAAATGTCTTTTGGAGTGGCATGACTTTAAAAATGCTTTACTTAAGCAAAGACTAAACCTTTGGGGCAGTAATCTAGGCAGATATTTGAAGGAAGAGAATTCCAGGCAGAGAAAATAACCACTGAAATAATTCTGAGACTAGAATTAAGCAAGTAGTCATACTCCCATCATGTGGCAAGATGAACAAAATAAAACACTTAATTGAGATCAAAGACAAATCCTTTTGGTTTTACGCAGAGTATAATTCTGGCTACAGGGAGAACAAACTGTAAGCTGCAAGTGAGTATCAGGTTCAAGCAGAGAGACCAAACAAATGATGATGCTTCAACAAACGTAACGGCAGAGAAAGTGATACTCCCAGTCATTTCATGTGACTGTATAAGTTGTGCTTTGCCTAAAGTTACTTGGCTGAGGGCATAAATAATATTCAGATAACGATGTTGGGTATGTAAGTGATCTTTGTTTAGAACTTTCCTCTAAATTCCCTCTAGTATCTTATTTCACTCTTTTAACCAGAGTTACAATTATTTATGCCTAAGTGTTAATATGGAACTCATGAAGTATATAAAATGTAAAATTTATTACTGTCTATCAAGTAATATGGAATTTACATGTGATAGAAAACTATAATTTATACTTTTAAGTTAATATCTTATAATTTAATATATGTATAAATCATATAAGCTATATAACTAATTTATAAATATAAGTATTCCTAAACATATACAATATATGCATCCACATATTTTATAATTATATATGTATTACCTATAGATGAACTTTGTGCAATATATGTATTTAATACATGTATATTGTGCATTATATATATTTTAATATATGTATAGTATATGTCTATATATAAATATGTATTTCTTTTTTGTATATACTTTAAGTTCTGGGGTACATGTGCAGAACGTGCAGTTTTGTTACATAGGTATACATGTGTTATGGTGGTTTGCTGCACCCATCAACCCATCACATATATTAGGTATTTCTTCTAATACTATACCTCCTCTAACCCTCCACCCACCGACAAGCCCCGGTGTATGATGTTCCCCTCCATGTGTTCTCATTGTTCAACTCCAACTTATGAATAAGAACATGCCATGTTTGGCTTCCTGTCCTTGTGTTAGTTTGCTGAGAATGATGCTTTCCAGCTTCACCCATGTCCCTGCAAAGGACATAAACTCATCCTTTTCTATGGCTGCTTAGTATTCCATAGTGTATATGTGTCACATTTTCTTTATCACGTCTATCATTGATGGACATTTGGGTTGGTTCCAAGTCTTTGCTATTGTGAACAATCCCTCAATAAACATAAGTTTGCATGTGTCTTTATAGTGGAATGATTTATAATCCTTTGGGTATATAACCCGTAAAGGGATTGCCTGGTCAAATGGTATTTCTAGTTTTAGATCCTTGAGGAATCACCAGACTGTATTCCGCAATGGTTGAACTAATTTACACTACCACCAACAGTGTAAAAGCATTCTTATTTCTCCAGTCGTCTCCAGCATCTGTTGTTTCCTGACTTTTTAATGATCACCATTCTAAATGGCATGAGATGGTATCTCATTGTGGTTTTGATTTGCATTTATCTAATGATCAGGGATGATGAACTTTTTTTCATGTTTGTTGGCTGCATAAATGTCTCCTTTTGAGAAGTGTCTGTTCATATCATTGGCTCACTTTTTGATGGGTGGTTTTATTTTTTTCTCGTAAATTTGATTAAGTTCCTTGTAGATTGTGGATATTGGTCCTTTGTTAGATGGATAGATTACAAAAATGTTCTCCCATTCTGTAGGTTGCCTGTTCACTCTAATGATAGTTTCTTTTGCTGTCAGAAGCTCTTTAGTTTACTTAGGTCCCATTTGTCAATTTTGGCTTTTGTTGCCATTGCTTTTGGTGTTTTAGACATGAAGTGTTTGTTGATGCCTACGTGCTGAATGGTATCATCTAGGTTTTCTTCTAGGGTTTTTATGGTTTTAGGTGTTATGTTTAAGTCTTTAATCCATCTTGAGTTAATTTTTGTATAAGGTGTAAGGAAGGGGTCCAGTTTCAGTTTTCTGCATATGGCTAGCCAGTTCTCCAAATACCATTTATTAAATAGGAAATCCTTTCCCCATTGCTTGTTTCTGTTAGATTTGCCAAAGATCACATGGTTGTAGAGGCGTGGTATTATGTCAGAGACTTATGTTCTGTTTCATTGGTCTATATATCTGTTTTGGTACCAGTACCATGCTGTTTTGCTTATTGTAGCCTTGTGTTGTTACAGTTTGAAGACAGGTAGCATGATGCCTACAGCTTTCTTCTTTTTGTTTAGGATTGTCTTGGCTATGCCAGCTCTTTTTTGGCTCCATATGAAGTTTAATATAGTTTTTAACAATTCTGTGAAGAAAGTCAATCATACCTTTAATGGGGATAGCATTGAATCTATAAATTACTTTGGGCAGGATGGCCATTTTCAAAATATTGATTCTTCCTATAATGAACATGGAATGTTTTTCCATGTATTTGTGTCCTCTCTGATTTCCTTCAGCAGTGTTTTGTAGTTCTCCTTGAAAAGGTCCTTTACATCCCTTGTAAGTTATATTCCTAGGTATTTTATTCTCTTTGTAGCAATTGTGTATGTGAGTTCACTCATGATTTGGCTCGCTGTTTGCTATTGGTGTATAGGAATGCTTGTGATTTTTGCACATTGATTTTGTATCTTGAGACTTTGCTGAAGTTGCTTATCAGCTTAAGGAGATTTTGAGCTGAGACAGTGGGGTTTTCTAAATATACAATCTTGTAATCTGCAAACAGAGACAATTTGACTTCCTCTTTTCCTACTTCAATACCCTTTATTTCTTTCAATTGCCTGATTGCCCTGGTCAGAACTTCCAATACTATGGTGAATAGGAGTGGTGAGAGAGGGGGCATCATTGTCTTGTGCAGATTTTCAGAGGGAAAGAAAGCTTCCAGGTTCAGCCATTCAGTATGACATTGACTGTGGGTTTGTCATAAGTAGGTCTTATTATTTTGAAATATGTTCTATCAATACCTACTTTATTGAGTTTTTATCATGAAGGGATGTTGAATTTTGTTGAAGGGGTTTTCTGGATCTATTGAGATAATCATGTGGTTTTTGTCATTGGTTCTGTCTATGTGATGGATTGCATTTATTGATTTGCACATGTTGAATCAGCCTTGCATCCAGGTATGAACCTGACTTGATCGTGGTGGATACATTTTTTGATGTGCTGCTGGATTTGGTTTGCCAGTATTTCATTGAGGATTTTTGCATCAATGTTCATCAGGGATATTGGCCTGAAATTTTCTCTTTTTTTGCTGTGTCTCTGCCAGGTTTGGATATCAGGATGATTCTGGCCTCATAAAACGAGTTCAGGAGGATTCTCTCTTTTTCTATTGTTTGGAATAATTTCAGAAGGAATGCTACCAGCTACTCTTTGTATGTCTGCTGGAATTTGTCTATGAATCCATCTAGTCCTGGATTTTTTTGTTTATTTGTTTTATAGGTTATGAATTACTGCCTCAATTTCAGAACTTGTTATTGGTCTATTCAGGGATTCGACTTCTTCCTGGTTTAAAATTGGGCGGGTGTGTGCATCCAGGAATTTATCCATTTCTTCTAGATTTTCTACTGTATTTTGGTAGAGGTGTTTATAGTATTCTCTGATGGTTGTTTGTATTTCTATGGGATCAGAGGTGATCTCTCCTTTATCATTTTTTATTGTGTCTATTTGATTCTTCTCTCTTTTCTTCTTTATTACTCTGGCCAGTGGTCTATCTATTTTGTTGATGTTTCTGAAAAACCAGCTCCTGGATTCATTGATTTTCTTGAAGGGTTTTTTGTGTCTCTGTCTCCTTCAGTTCTTCTCTTATCTTAGTTATTTCTTGTCTTCTGCTAGCTTTTGAATTTGTTTGCTCTTGCTTTTCTTGTTCTCTAGTTCTTTCAGTTTTGATGTTAGTGTGCTAATTTTAGATCTTTCCTACTTTCTCTTGTGGATATTAAGTGGTATAAATTTCCCTCAAAACCCTGCTTTAAATGTTTCTCAGAGATTCTGGTATGTTGTGTCTTTGTTCTCATCGGTTTCAAAGAATTTCTTTATTCATTTCATTATTTACCCAGTAGACCTTCAGCAGCAGGTTGTTCAGTTTCCATGTAGTTGTGCAGCTTTTAGTGACTTTTTTAATCCTGAGGACTGCACTGTGTCCTGAGAGACTGTTTGTTATGATTTCTGTTCTTTTGCATTTGCTGAGGAGTGTTTTACTTCCAATTACGTAGTCAGTTTTAGAATAAGTACTTTTACTCTGAGTGTAGTTCTGGCTACTGGGAGAACAAACTGTGAGAGGCAAGTAGCTATCAGAATCAAGCAGAGAGACCAAACAAATGGTGATGGCTTCAACAAATGTAGTGGCAGAGGAGATGATACAAACAGTCATTTCATATGACTGTATAAGTTTTGCTTTGCCTAAGATTACTTGGCTAAAGGCATAAGTAATATTCAGATAATGATTTTGAGTATGAAGGTGATTTTTTATGGTATAGAACTTTCCTCTAATTTCCCTCTAGTATTTAATTTTACTATTTTAACCACAGTTAGAATTATTTATTCCTAAGTATCATATGGAACTCTTGAAGTATGGACCATGTAATATTTATTATTGCCCATCAAGTAATATGAAATTTACATGTGATACAAAAGTATAACTTATATTTACAATTTAATATCTTATAATTTAATATATGTATAAACCACATAACTATTTAACTAATTTATAAATATAAGTATTGATGAACATAAAATATATGTATCTGTGTATTTTATAATTAATATACATGTATTGCATATATATGTAATTTATGCATTATGTATTTTAATAGTGTATACTACATGTCTGTATGTATTTCTAATATATTTGGTTATCTTTGTTTCTAACCTTTCAGGTACAGCAAGGTATTCCTGTTCTTTGCCTCTTTGGAAGTCACTGGGAACTGGTAGGCCTGGTCAGTGATAACCTCAGAAGCCTGTTATGACCCTGTTCTTGTCATCAGGACAGTCCCATACATATGGATGAGATGGCTTACCAAGGCATCCCAGAAGCCACTGGGTCCTACTTTTTCTCTACCCTGCAACTTTCCTCCTGGAGTAAAAGACAGTCCACAAAACACACTTTGCTCTAACACAGGCTCTGCCACTTTGGTGTTCCATGGATTCTCAGTACAAACATAGGGGAGAAGATTAAGCACTTTCCCAGTAAACAGAAAGCACTGGAATCCTCAATCAATGTTTTTTGGTTCAAATAATAGAGACTTTTTTCATGCCAATAGATTATTACACTTTCAAAGTGGTCACCTCTCCTCTGCTAGCAAATTCCCAATGGTATGATCCTGGATTTCTCCTGTTGCTGAACTACGGAATCATCCCAATACAGCTGAACACTGGAGTACCCCTGTTATTATAGCTATATCCTGGAATCTTCCTCAGAAAAATGCAATGAATTATAAGTATCAAACTGTGACTGATTCAGCAAGATCTTGGATTAATACATTAGCTATTATAATTAGGCTTCATACTCTACCGGTTTCTTCTTTCTTTCTTTCTTTTCTTCCTTCCTTCCTTCCTTCCTTCCTTCCTTCCTTCCTTCCTTTCTTTCTTTCTTTCTTTCTTTCTTTCTCTCTTTTTTTTTTTTCTTTGACAGAGTCTCACTCTGTTGCCCAGGCTGGAGTGCGGTGGCATGATCTCGGCTCACTGCAAGCTCCGCCTCCTGGGTTCACGCCATTCTCCTGCCTCAGCCTCCTGAGTAGCTGGGACTACAGGCGCCTGCCACCAAGCCCGGCTAATTTATTTTGTATTTTTAGTAGAGACAGAGTTTCACCGTGTTAGCCAGGATGGTCTCGATCTGCTGACCTAGTGATCTGCCCAACTTGGCCACCCAAAGTGCTTGGATTACAGGTGTGAGCCACCATGCCCTGCCTCTGGTTTCTCTTTTCAAGTGGGATAGATGGATCTCCAGTTTCTTCTAAGATGGATATTGGTCAGTCTCAGGTTCAATCTATTAATGTTCCATCTCATCGACAACTTGTAGCTATACCTTGGCTAGAAATTACTCCTGAAGTTGAAACTTGGAAACAGTTTGTGTCTTATAAAACAGAAACAGTGATGCAGATTCAAACACCAAACGTATCATGCAGCTCATAGAGTTAAACCTGGTGTTAAACCAGTAACTTACAACTGGATTCCACTGGTACCTTTCAGAGTTAATAAAATTGAACTATGGGCTCATTCTTCCCTCAATGAAGATGGATCTCAGTATCCTACAGTAATCCATAACTTTGAACCATGGTGTCAGCCAGTCTTAAATATATTTCGATCCCAAGAAACTATAGAAAGGACAGATGGATACTGGATTCTGACGGAAGCTGAGTCAATCAGTTCTGGATTTCTTCCATACTGCATACTCCATAGTCATGTGCTAAGTCAAAAGATGCCAATATTAGGTACTGTATGCAACAGAAAACAAGTATTATCAGGCCTTTATATCAAATGAATAGATTTAGTACATTGAATAAACATGAGGCTGTTATACTGAAACCCCCAATGCAGACATGGATCTTAATAAATCCTATTATGAACATAATTGAGCCCTTAATTCACTCTAAAGTTGACATGATCAGACCCTGGAATCAGCCTGAAACAACCATATTCCAAACGTGGTCCCAGCCAGAAACTCAATCAGGAAGACTCTTGACTCACTTGAAAGCTGATACAATTAAACCATGGTTACAAACTGAAACTGAAAGAGTGAGACCCTGGATTCGGCATAAATATTAGATATTGTGGCCCAGAACGCAGACTGAAGAATGGAAAGAAAAACATTGGACCCGACCAGAAACAGATCCAATTAGGTATTGGGCCCAAACTGGAATGGAAACAGTGGTACCCGGGTCCCAACCTGAAGCTGATAAATGCAGACCCTGAATCACACTGAAGCTGATATCATCAAACTTTTGTTTCAGTCTCAAGCAGAGCCAGTCACATAGTGGAGAGAACCAGTAACTCTGATGGATCACCACTGGATACAGTCTGACACTGAAATAGTGAGGTTTTGGAACCAGCCTGTGGCTAAAAAGGTAAGAGACTGGATACTTCATGAAACTTATGCATTTAGACACTGGGGCAAGGTTGAAAGTGGTAAAGTTAGATCATGGACCCAGGCTGAAGATGACATTCTGAGACCCTGGATTCAGAAAGACCTTGGTGTAATCAACTCCTGGATACAAAATGAAGCTATTATGTAAACACCATGGATGCAGGGAGAGTCTCAAGAATTAAATCCCTGGACACAATCTGAAACTCACACAGTCCCACTGTGTGAAACTCCAACAGTAAACTATTGGACAAATATGTCAGCAGATATAGTCACAACATGGACAAAGGCTGAATTTCAAGGATTAACATGCTGGAGACAGTCTGAAACTGATCCGGTCATACTGTGGACTATTGCTGAATCTCCAGCAGTGGATCTCTGGACACGTTTTGTATCTGATAAAGTCACACGTTGGAATCAAGGTGAATTTCCAGCCTTAATTCCCTTGACAGAGCCTATAGCTAAGACAGTCACACCATGGACCCAGGATAGATTCCCAGCAATGAATCCCTGGGCAAAAGCTATAGCTGAAACTGTCATACAATTGACCCTTGATGAAATGCCAACAATAAATCCTTGGACAAAATTGCAGCCTGAATATCTAGAAGGAAACAACTGGCTCCCATCTGAATTTAATTCAGTCTCATTGTGGACCACAGCTTATTTTCCAGCAGTAAACTACCAGATACAATTTGATACTGAAACAATAACACTGTGAAACCAGGTTGAGTCTCCAGCAGTACATTCCTGGAAACAGTTGGAAGCTGATATAATCACACTAGGGACCCATGCTGAATCACTAGTGATGAATTCATGGATATATTCTCCTATATCTGATATGGTCATAATAATGTGTATCCAGGCTGAATCACTATTACTACATCATTGGACACAGTCTGAAACTGATATACTCACAACGTGGATTCTGGCTGAAACTCTAGGAGTAGGTCCCTGGGCACATGGTATATTACTATCACAGACCCATGCTGAACATCCACCAGTATCTTGTAGTCAACATGGATTCCAGGTAAATCTCCAGCAATTAATCCCTGAAGAAAGGCTATCACTGATATGGTCCTACCATGGAATGAGGGTGAATTTATAGAAGGAAATGCCTGGACACAGTCTGAAACTTACATAGTCACACAGGGAATCCTGAATGACTCTCCGACACTAATTTCATGGACACAGACAATAGCTGATGGAGACAGGCTGTGGACCAAGCCTGAATTTCCAGCCATAAATCCCTGGACAAACTAGTGGGTTTAGTACTATACCATGGATTCAGAGTGAGTCTCCACCAATAAATCCATTTACACAGGATCAATCTTATACAATCAAACTGAAAGGTGAAACCAGCTGAGCTTTACCTCAGTTTGAGGATGGGGTGGGGACTTGGAGAACTTTCCCGTCCAGCTAAAGGATTGTATATGCACCAGTCAGTGCTCTGTATCTAGCCAAAGGATTGTAAATGCACCAATCAGCACTCTGTAAAATGGACCAATCAGCACTCTATAAAATGGGCCAATCAGTGCTCTGTAAAATGGACCAATCAAAGGATGTGCATGGGGCCAAATAAGGGAATAAAAGCTAGCTACCCTAGCTCACAGCAGCAACCTGGTTGGGTCGCCTTCCATGCTGTGAAAGCTTTGGTCTTTTGCTCTTCACAATAAAGCTTGCTGATGCTCACTTTTTGAGTCTGCACTACTTTTATGAGCTGTAACACTCACCTCAGGGTCTGTGGCTTCATTCCTGAAGTCAGTGAGACCAAGAACCCAGCAGGAGGAACAAACAACTCTGGAGCTGTTACACCTTTAAGAGCTGTAACATTCACTGGGAAGGTCTGCAGCTTCACTCTTGAAGTCAGCGAGACCACAAACCCATCAGAAGGAAGAAACTCTGGACACATCTGAACATCTGAAGAAACAACCTCTGGACACACCATGTTTAACAGCTGTAACACTCACGGTGAGGTTCCGTGGATTCAGTCTCAAAGTTAGTGAGACCACAAACCCACCAGAGGGAATAAATTCTAGACACAAAACCTTGGGTCCAACATGAATCTTCAGCAGTAAATCTCTGTACACTACCTGAATCTGATAACGTTATCCTGTGGACACAAGCTGAGTCTCCAACAGTAAATTCGTGCACAGATGCTGTAAATTCCAAAGTCACAACATGGGCCTAGGCTGTATCTCCAGTAGTAATTCCATGGACACAGCCTATATCTTCCATAGTCATACCTTGGACCCGGGTTGAATGTCCATCGGTAAATACCTGGACAACATCCATAGCTGATACCATCACACTATGGAAAGAGGCTGAATTAACAACAGAATATCCATAAATACTGCCCTGGGCTGCTACTGTCACACTATGGGCACATTCTCAATCTCCAGCAGGAAATCTTTGGACAAAGCCTACGAATGACACAGACACACCATGGCCTCAGGCTGAATCTCCAGCAGTAGTTTGTTGGACAGAACCTATAGGTGATACTACACAACCCTTAATCCAATATGAAAATCAAGCACTATTTTGTGGACACATCATGAAATTGAAAACATCAATGAATGGGCCTTGCCTGAATTTGGAACCCTTATATCCTTGGTAGTGCCTCTGCACTATCAAGCAGCAAAACTATGCTCCCAACCTGAAGCTCTAACTAGCAGAAGTTTGTTTAAAACGGCAACAGAAAAAAAATTAAACCTTGGGCTCAGCCAGAATTTCAAACACTGAGCACATTTACTCCCTTTGGACCTGGTAAAATAGAATCCTGGCTAAACACAGAACTACAACATTTATAACATGGATCCAATCTGAAACTGATGTCTTCTTCCTGTGTACCCAGTCTGAAGTAGGTACAATGAGATCCCAGAACATTTCTGAAGCTGATACAGTAAAACTATGGATCCAGACTGAAGCAGGCACCATCCAGCCCTGGACTAGAGCTAAAACTAATACTATCAGACCTTTGACTCATGGTGAATTTCAAGCAGTCAGACTCTGGACCCTGGCCTTGTCTGATACACTGTTACATGTATGAGTCTGGTACACTATTGAATCAGGCTTGACCATGTCTGACATTAATACTCTGAGTAATTGGTTTCAGACCCAAAAGCATGTAAGAAGAAATGGTACTCAACCTTATTCTCAAACAGTTACTACCTGGATGAAGCCAGAGAGAATGGTAAATAACCCACCCATGGAACCAATCTGAAAAGAATGCAGTTAGACCCTGGACACAGTCTGAATGTGATGTTATTCAACCGTGGACCTATGCTGAAATCAATACAGTCAGACACTGGACACATTCTGAATTTGATAAAATAGAACAATGGACTGAGCCTGAATCTCAAGAAATTAGGACCTGGCCTGAGGCGGAATGTTGACATGTTGGTCCCCAACTCAAAACTATGCAGTTTGGCCCTGGACCCAACTTGAATCTCAAATGGCACACTCCTGGACCCAGAATCAAGTTAGCATAATTACTCCTGGACTCAGCATGTACCTGCTACTATCAGATCATGGACTTATACTCTGAAATTCATCCCTGGACCCACCCTGAAGCCAATCCAGTGATAAGATACTGGTTCCAGACTCAAATGAATTCAATAAGATCCTGGAACCAATCTGAAACTGAAGTATTCCAAATTTGGACTGTAAGCCAAGGAATAAAGCCCTGAAACATGACTGAAATTGATACAGTCACATCTCACTTACAGACTCAATGTGATACAGTTAGACCCTGGATTCATCCTGAAAGTCTCTCCCTGGTCCAAACTGAAGTTGGTATATTTTGGCCCTGGACTCAGCAAAGAGCTGCTACATACCGAACCAATGCTGAGAACCAAGCAGTGAGACCCTGGATCAAGCAAGAAACTGATATAGTCAGATCTTCATTTAATATTCAAATGAATAAAGGCAGATCATGGGCTTATTTAAAATCTCATTCCCTGGATCCAGCCTGAAGTTGATATAATTCACGCTTTAATCCGGTCTGAAAGCTTCCTACTAAGTTTCTGGCCCAAGGTTCTATCTCCAGTAGTCAAACCGTGGACCTTGCTTATAGGAAGAACACTCATATCTTGGATACTACCTGTAGCCAAAGCAGACATGCACTGGATCCAGTCTGAAGCTGATATTATTGAATGCTTTGCTGTTTTTAAAGCTGGTAAAGTGAGAACCTGGATCCAACCTGAAACAGAAATGCTAAGACCCAGAACCCATTATAAGGCTGATATAATTGTATCATTTTCTCCTCCTGAAATTGAGCTGAATGAAGAAACACTATTAACGAGTCACTTTGGCTCCTTGTCTAAACGTGTACCCTTTTTGGCAGTAAAAACTGTTTCTTTCCCAGATCACTATTTTATCACTTTGTTAACTGAGATACCTGTCACAGAAAGCCAAGATAAATCATTTCTCTCCAACCAAGCGAGCTTATAAGCATTTGCTTCCTAGAAGATTTGTTTACCAGCACTACGGCAGGAAATTAAAAATTATCAAGATAAAAGAAAGCCCTGATGTCCTAGGTACCTCTCTTATCTCTCTTTGTTCCTCCTTTTTCTTTTTTCTGTCTTGTTCTCTTCCATCTCCACATACACTGTGTTCTTCTTGTTCAATCTTTTCTTCTTGTGCATTCCCTTCATTTTGCATTTTCCCATCTTTCTCAGTTATTTTTCCTCTGGTCTCTTCTCCTGTTCTCCTATCCATAGCCTCTTCTGCTAATCCTCTTCAGAAAATATCTTTCTTAACATTTACTGAATAGTGCATTCTTTCCCATTCTTTCTCATCCTTGCATGCTGCTCCAGCCACACTTTTAACTTCTCCTGATGCCTGGATCTCAATCTGGACCCAAGCCTAGACAACAACCTCTTAGGCATTTAGAACTCAATGTTTCCCTGGTTGAGTGTCAACTAGCTGTGATATGGAAAGAAAGTTTCCAGACTTTCTGGCTCTTCAAGACAGCTGTTATTTCTCATGAAAACACAGGCACCTTTAGTCTAGTCATAGGTTTGGGTTAATATACTTGGTACGAAGACCCTTGTTGAACTCTAAAACCACAGTTTGTAAGATAAGAGGTTATGTCCGCAGATCTTTGCAATACCAAAATTTAGGTTATTGTATGACTCAGGAGAGATGTTTAAATATTGAGAGATATCTTATTTTTGCCAAACAGGATTTATGGGCTATGTTTTATAAGCACAATTCTATTCAGAGAGCAGTATTTTAAAGATAGTCTTACTTCTTAGAAATGGTTTATTATTCCACTTGAGGTATATGAATATATACACACACTATTGGATAATAGTATAATATCTTGGATATAAATAAGATATATATATATGTGTGTATATATATATATACTTTACATTATTATTTAAAGGGAAAGTATGCAGATAACCTCTGTAGTATATCTGAAATTTTAGGGTGAATAATGCATATTTCGAAGCATTGTCTCAGAATTGAAGATACTGAATTTCTCAAGCATATTCCTAAAAACCTAAAATTAGATTTTAGAAATAGGAGAGTGGTAACACTAATCTCACTCTATTCCACATGTGTATTCCTTCTGCGGAGTGTGGATTATGCCCTGGCCATGTAACCCTCTGTCCCAGCTGCTGGGAGGCAGGAATTGGTGAATTCCCTTGACAGTTTCTCTACAACTGTCTTTCTCCCATTTCTGTGCTGGCTCCATACTAAATGAACAGTGTATCCTTACCACAGCTAGATGTGCCTATTTTATGTAAATCTAAGTAATTCATTTCAAGATTAAGATATCATTATAAAGCAATTACAACTGGAGATTGTTAATGAATATCTTTCCCTTTATTTGTGTGTGTCTGTGTGTGTGAGAGAGACAGAGAGAAACAGAGATAGAAACAAGGTCTTACTCTGTTGCCCAGGCTGGAGTGCAGTGGCGTGATTCACAAGTAGCCTCAAACTCCCAATATTAAGAGATTATCCCACCTCTGCCTCCTGAGTACATGGGACCACAGGCACACACCACTGCATCTGGCTATTTTTATTTTGGCATAAATAAGCTCTTATCATGTTGTGCACCTGGTCTCAAATGATCCTCGAAAATAGTTTCTAAAGAAGTATTTCTACTTTAGTGCTTACCTGGACTTCATCTGGATTCATGTGACCTCCAGGGCTTCATTCAAATTGAAATGTGGAAATAATAAGATTTTTCTTGATTTTTTTTCCCCAGAAAAAGCTCAGGAGCCCTGGCCCTAGTCCAGTGGGGCTTAGTCATCTTCTGGAATCTGCCCAAGCTGACTGTGAGCATTGACCATGCCATACCCTACCTAGCTCCCAAGGGACCTCTAGGACCTGGGTTGATCTTCCTGAAGCAGCCACTACATTTTCAACCCCTGGTGTTTCCTCTATGCTTGGAGGAAAGTCTGGAACAGGAGAAATTTACACAACTATATGACTATTGGCTATCTAGCTGGTCCCTTATGAGGGCTGAGTAATGAAGAAGACCCTGGGATGGAAGAGAAGCATGTTTGGAAAGAGAATAGTATCCTCTCTTGAATAATAAAAAAAAATGTATTTCTCTTCACCATACTTCCCCCTCTAATCTAGGCTAAATTTGAAAACAAACAAACACAAACACCTCTTCTGTGTTTTCTATCAGGAAGTTCTGGAATTCTGCAAAAAGGGCACCTGAGCAACCAACAAGTCAGCCCTTGTGCCCAATTGTGCCCCAAGCTGAATGAATTCACTTTTTGTGTAGAGGCCAAGACAGCTGTTGGGGAGGCTGGCTGTAAGGGGACAAATTCATGGGGTATGAATGCCAGGAAGAAAGAGGAATATCTTGCACACTAAAAGTTACTTCTGGCCCTCCTTCAAAATATTGATTCATATCTTGTATCTTTGTTTCTTGCAGCGTGACTTGGGAGCACCTTTCGTATGCCATCTACAGCAAAAGGACACTTGGGTGCAAGTGGGAATCTTGAGTCACTTTGAGGAGCATTGCACAAAGCCCTGTGTCTTCAGCCAAGTGCACCCTTTTCTTTCTGGCTCCTGGGAGTGCCATGGCCTAGCCATGCACCCTGGCACCACCAGGGGCCCATGACTACCTCTGCTTCCATGTCCCTTTCAGTCTCTGCTTCTAAAGATGCCTTGACTTTTATCTCCGCTCCCACTTCCATTTGGCCACACTTCATCTCTCTGCCACAGCCTCAGAGTAAGGCTCAAAACCTTGGTAGGCAAAGCCAAAGAAGAAGGTAATTGAAATAGAAAAGAGTAGATGGAAGGAGAGAGGAGAGAAAGCTCTTCCTGAAAAATGCACAATATTTTATCTCCCAAATCATGGAAGTTATTTCCTTATGGCTTACAAAGGCATTTCATACTTGATATATTATTCAATTTCCATAGTATCCCTATAGATCATGATAGAGATCATTTAACGTGATTATTATAGTTATCTTAAATGTGTATTCTGATACTAGATAAGTAGAATGGATTGATCGATTTCTCATGGCAAAAGATGAATAGGGCTAATATTAAGACACACTCTTCTAACACAAAGACATTTCTTTACTACCACACAGTAGCTTGCATTTGTAATAGAGTTATTTTAAATTAAGTATATTTTAAGTTAAAGATATTTTGATGTTTGGAAACAGTGTAATAGTTGGTAAGTAATGAGTTTTAGGTGCTGGTGTACTAGATTGGGTTACGTTGCTATTATCAGTTTCCCCCTTCCTTTGGCTATCAGAAAACCTATCACAATATTAGCAATGGCTATTTCACATTACTGTACTTCTACTTGTTTCCTTAGAAATTGAGGGATCTCTTTTGGTCTCATGAGTTAAATGTGCACTTAGCCACAGCTATTTTATAGCTACCACCTATCGCCATAGTTACAGTGAATAATACACTTAAAACATAAAAGAGGCCATAATTATTTGCTCACATCCTCCAAAGTCTAACTCAAAGACAACTACACTTAACATCTTAGTTATGCTTCTAATTTCATCTATACTTCCTTACCCCTTCTACAGACAGGTTATCTTCAACATTTTTATCTCTCTCTCTATATATATAAACGAGCATTGCTTCAACTCAGTTTTCTGAGGAACGCTAAAATAATTTTAAAAATATGAGCTCTTTCCTGAACCTCAATCTTGAATTTTCTATTTAAACTATTGGTTTGATATCTCACTAAAATTATAAGTTTAGGAAGAAAAGCCCCCTCCATTTTAGAGACAGGTGCTTTATCTCCAAATTTTTCATTATTTATTAATACATTCAAATCATTACATTTTTTTGTTGCCTATCTACTTCAGTGATTTCTGGGTAGCTACAATCATAGATATATAAATGTTGCAATGGGGGAGAAAGCTGGGATGACTCCCAATATTTTGATTAAAGAAATTTAAGCTATGACATAAAGAAACTATGAACTCAGAAAGATAGTAAGAGGAACACTTCTTTTCAAGAAAAATGCATGAACACAAAAGACGTAGAAGTTTGTCTTTGCTGGTCATATTTAACAATGCTAATTTGGTTAGCACAAATAGGAGGGATTTAAAACTTAAAAAAATGGGCCAGGTGCGGTGGCTCACACCTGTAATCCCAGAACTTTGGGAGGCTGAGGCGGGCGGATCCCGAGGTCAGGAGATCGAGACCATCCTGGCTAACATGGTGAAACCCCGTCTCTACTAAAAAATACAAAAAAAATTAGCCAGGCACAGTGATGGACATCTGTGATCCCAGCTACTCAGGAGGCTGAGGCAGGAGAATGGCAGGAACCCAGGAGGCGGAGTTTGCACTGAGCAGAGAGCACGCCACTGCACTCCAGGCTGGGAAACAGAGTGAGGCTCCGTCTCACAAAAAAAAAAAAAAAAAAAAGATCTACAGATGGCAATTCTATTCAAATTAGCACAATTAGCTTATTTTTCTCCTCAGCTTCAGCAGATCAGATTTCTCTGCAATATGCCATGCCTTGGCAGGCTGGGATCATCAGCTGTGGCAGTCAGGTCTACAGCGGGTCCATAGTTAGCAGCTCATGGGTTCTCATAGCTGCCCACTGTGTCAGGAACATGTAAGTTTGTGCCTGCCTCTTCCCATATCCTATGATTTATGATCCCATAAGTACATTGCTGAAGGTTTCTCTGTCCTAATTCACTTCTATAATACATGAGCATCTCACTTATATGGATAACATTTTTGTTTTAGGCTAAAAAGAAATTTTGTCACAGTGTTTGGCTTATTAGTACCTCTGTTAGTCAATTCCTCTGCAATCCCCTTGTCTATGAACTCTTTATCCATAGATTTCTGATTTCTCTGAAGATGAGCTAGGGACCTTATGTATCATAAATAAAGAAATATGCTAGAAAGCCTGATGTAGGTTTAAGGTTCAGGTTTTCTAATGAATGTATTGTAATAAATCTTTGCCTATGCACACAGGAGTCCTGAAGACACTGCTGTGATACTGGGCCTGAGGCATCCTGGGGCACAACTGAGAGTTGTGAAGGTGTCTACCATTCTGCTGCATGAGAGATTCTGGTTGGTGAGTGGAGCAGCAAGAAATATCCTGGCATTGCTACTCCTCCAAGATGTCCAGACTCCCATTCGGCTCTCAGCACTCCGGCTGTCTGAAGAATCTGAATAGTCCAGAAGGCTGGCTCTCTGGGGCACAAATTATTACACCAGGTCAGTGTTACTTTTTCTCACTGGGGTAGCAGTTGTAAAAAATAAATGAGATTTGTATTTTTAATATTATGTTTCAAGGAGTAACTGTAATCACAATTGTATACATTACTAATAATAAGATGTTTAATCCACACAAGAGACCCACTAGGAAATGTGTTTTTGTTTTATAAGATGATGGTTCTGATGATAACTTCACAAGATTTTAGATCTGAAAACATTTATATGAGGATCTTTCTCTGTACAGTCAATTTTATAAACCAAAGTAGACATGATTGGTTTTCCAACTCTTTGCTAACTTCAAAACAAAGGAAAAAGAAGGTTTTTTGATTTGTTTTCTTTTTACCTCTTTATGAAAATGAAGCTGAACTTGACTTGGCATTTGGAATTTCTTAAGTAAAATTTACTTGTTACTTTTGAAGAGTGGCATTTAAAAAGTGATTAAAGAATGACAATGTTGTCCACAGTGGCTCAATCCTATATTTCCAGCACTTTGGGAGCTTCAACCAGGAGAATGTTTTAGGCCCAGGAATTTGATACCCAGTTGGGCAATAGAGCAAGACTTCATCACTAAACAACAACAACAACAAATAGCTTGATGTGGTGTTGCACACATGTAGTCCCAGCTACCTGGGAGGCTGAGAGAGGAAGATAGCTTGAGCCCAGGAGGTTGAGGCTGCAGTGTGTGAAGATGGTGCCAATGCACTCCAGCCTGGGTGACCAAGCAAGAACTTGTCCAAAAAAAGGTTTGGGAGCTGGCATGGTGGCTCATGCCTGTAATCCCAGCACTTTGGGAGGCTGAGGCCAGTAAATCACCTGAAGTCAGGAGTTTAAGACCAGTCTGACCAACATGGGGAAAACCCATCTCTACTAAAAATACAAAATTAGCCAGGAGGGGTGGTGTGTGCCTGTAATCCCAGCTACTCAGGAGGCTGAGGCAGGAGAATTGCTTGAACCCAAGAGGCTGAAGTTGCAGTGAGCTGTGAGCAGGCCACTGCATTCCAGACTGAGTGACAAAGTGGAACTGCATCTCAAGAAAAATAAAGGTCAATAGAAAGATAATAAAATATATAAATGTGTGATGTAAAATTTAATGGTGATAAAATAAACTGAATTTCTCTGTGTAAGTTACACATACAAATGTAATGACGAGACAGTGATAAGACAAATCAAGGTTTTATCTCAATACTTAGTGTCTACATGTAACATATGTTCTTTAGGATAGTTATAGTCCATTTTCTTTCCAGGAGAGACTGATGAGAATGCAGAAATGTTAAAGCACAAGTGATGGAAGCTTCCAGCTGTGCCCACCTGTAACCTGACATAGACAGTTCCATTGTTTGCTTCA
The DNA here is from genome assembly GCF_000001405.40 of Homo sapiens. NCBI lineage: Eukaryota > Metazoa > Chordata > Mammalia > Primates > Hominidae > Homo > Homo sapiens. The sequence continues at coordinate 9,914,217 of NC_000024.10, read as the reverse complement.
TTACTCAGGTCAAAGACATTAATGCAAATGTGGTACACAGTCAAATTCTTTTCTATCTACATGATAGAAACTATAACTTTGTCCCTGTATAGAAGGGTATACAGCATATGCCTAAATGATAAATATAAGTGAATCATTGATCAGTAGGAAACCATTTTAAAAGTCTTTAATTACAGAACAAAATCTCTGAAAAATTTTATTGTCAATCTGAGTTTTCTTACATGAGTTATTAATCTCTAGCCATACTAAAGAGATAGTATGCTGTTCTTCAAACAAATTAGACATTGTATATAAAACGACTCCAACATTTTTCTATTTCTCCAAGTAAAATAACTTGTTTAAGGTATGCTCTTCAGTGATTTTTTTGTAGTAACACTTTTGAAGGTATTTTACCAGGAAGATTTACTTATGTACTTATCTGATGTCTGCCTTTCTTCTGAATACATATTTTATCACCCACTTATTAATTCTAAGTTTAAGAAGTTGGAATAGGGATTTAAATCCAAATTCTACGTTTGAATTTACAGGAGTCAGTGAGTCCAGAAAATGTCATTATGCGCAGACCAATATCTGGCAATGGCACTAGGGGACAAATATGCTTTACCAGTCTCAAAGCCCTAGCTACTACAGTGAGTCCACACTTCTCCTGTATCTTATCTGCTTCAGCAAAAGAAGGCCACCACTAAATCAGGCCGTTGTGGCTTGGGTGGAAACTCCTAAGTCCTCTACTCTCCTTAAAGAGCCAACCACACTGCCACTTTCCTCAATAATAATTACTGCAGCTCTGAGACTTTGGTAGCCTAGTGACTATAACTATTGATGCTACAGTCTGGTCACAGTATGATAAAACACCAAAACAACAAAAACAAAAATATTGACTTAAGCCTTCTAAGATCTCTCTAAATATACCTTCATTAAATATGATCTTTTTCTACATAACAACTGCTTTCTACTTCCTGAACTAATGCATGGCCTTGGATTGCTTTCATTCTTGAAATTGATTCAAAAGTGTATATTTAACATGAAGGTGAATACAGAATTTCATGTGTCAGCAAATAAAATTTTCAAAATGATGCAAAATACAAATGTGAAATTTATTTGTGAATTTGATTATTCTTTCAGATTATATTTTCATACTTACCCCCTCGCACAATTTTTTATAACTATCTGCATGTTCTCCTCAGGTTGGGGAAAAACAGTATTGGAGTTCTTGAATAATTTATGAAAGACAGAATGACAATACTATACAAGGTTAACCTATACACAATACTGTATTTGGTGAGCGAAAATATTACATATAAAATCCTACAAAAGTATTAAGTAAATATAATACATTATTTCAATAATTATAAAATACATGTACATGAAGAAAATATAATAATGATTAAAATACATTAACAAACAAATGAGGCTGGGCGTGGTGGCTCACACCTGGAAGCCCAGCATTTTGGGAGGCCAGTGCAGGCAGATCACAGCAGTATGAGACCAGTCTGGCAAATACGGTGAAACCAGTCTCTACTAAAAATAGAAAAATTAGCAGGACATGTGCCTGTAATCCCAGCTCCTCAGAAGGCTAAGGCAGGGGAATCGTTTGAAGCTGGGAGGCAGATGTTGCAGTGAGACGAGATTTTGCCACTTAACTTCAGCCTGGATGACAGATCGAGACTTCATCTGAAAACAAACAAACACACACACCCCCCCAAAAACTAATGAATTTAAAAAAAAAATCTATGCTAGAAAAAGTGCTCAGAGGCAAACTCACATATCTAACTGAAAAAGAAAATCCTTGAAAACAAAAGTTCCAGAAGAGGCAAATAAGAAAACACAATTAACACCTTGCATATAAAGTACAAATAGTAAAGTGAAAAGAACCACAGGGGAAAAAAATTCAAAATTTACGACTAAGTACTCTAAAAGAAGCTGAAAGTCCCTCAAAAACTTTCCAGAGTCCATGTCCCTGTATTGCAAAAATGATCATAACAATTGCCAGGAGTAGAACAATAAAAATATATCTTAAAACTTGATAAACACTTCAAGTCTCTCATAATATTTATAATGGAAAATGGATCCTTCTGCAGTTTTTCCATACAATTATGAAGAAATTATTTTTCTTTGCACTTAAATTTGTTTTTTCAATATTCTAAGAAATTAACTTTTATATTAATAGTAGGTGATGTAACAAAGCAGGTCTTTATCAAGATAACTGACACTGGATGTCCATACCATTACTCAGGTGGGCCTTAATTCCCAGCCAGGTTCCCTCCCTGGACACATACTGAAGGTCCCCAGCCATTTTGCAATCTCTTCACATTTCCAGTCCTGGAGGAAGCTCTAAAATACATGTACATGGAGATAATAGAACATTTCATCACACTGGAACCCAGTGCATTCCTCCAGATTCCCTGTGAAGTGGACTGTCTTATATGGGAAGGCAGGGCAGTTGGAGTGAGGATAGCAGAGAGGATAACATATCAGGGCAGCCCGGGGTCATCAAAACAGAACATGACAGACCTGGGAGAAACATTCTGAAGGAATGTAGACTTAGATGGGCCTCAGGTGGATATCTGTGTAGAGAGGGAGAGGGTCCTGGATGAGCTCAAACTGAGTCTCAGGTGGTAGGAGGTCTCAGGGCAAGGGAGGGAGCTGGCAAGTGATGATGAGACAGCTATCCCTTAAGCTCTGCTTCTCACCCACTGATCTTAGTCACATATGCATTGTAGTGGCTTAAGGTTCCCCAATCCTGAAATGTGGGTGTTGCAGTTCACCGATGGGCCTTTCTCCCCCAACCAATGGATGGCCTGGGATTGCTCATTGCAGTTTCCTGCATGATCCTTGGGTTCTCCCTGTGGGGCACAGATCCAGGACTGAAAGACCTCTCAGTTCCCAGCCCTAGGCTGTTCCCTGGCCTCTGTTCCCTCTAAAATGCTGTCCCTCCCACCATGGAATAGAACTGCAATGGATTGAGCCATAGGCCCTGGCTGATGATCTAGGGGACTGCAGAAGTGGGTCCAGGACAGTTCATGTCACAGTTTAATGCCAATTCCCCAGAGACCAAGGAATGCCCAGCGAGGTCCTTTCCCATGATGCCCCATGGTGAACCTCACCTCAGCAATCCTACCAAAACCCGGGCAGTCATGTTCAGCCAAACAGGTGAAAAAGCTCAGGTAGGAGGTGTACTGCCTGCAGCTGGAGGCTTGACCTTCATGATCCCAGAACAACTGGACTGCAGTGGAATGAGATACCCTGTACCCTGGAGGGAGAGGAGTCAGGAAGGTTCATCCTAGACCTACCCTCCCACATACCGGCTCCCCTACCATGCTAGGAGGCACTCCTTACCGAGGATGCCAATGCAGTACTACTTACTGATCACTTCATTGTGGAAATAAAGGCTGTGACAAAAGGAAATCTTCATCTTGCTGCCGGTAACAGGGATGCCTGAGTTCCTCCACCTGCCTAACCAAGAAGGAGAAAGAGTATGGATTCAATGGGACCATTTCATCTAGCTGGGCTGAGGTGGCCTGCTAGCTGGAGTGAAGCATGAATTTCCCATTCCCAGCTTTGCAACTGAGACAACCCTGGACCCCAGGGGGACCTCAAACTGACTCAGACACTGGACCCCTCCCACAGACCCAGGCTCCCCAGCCTGACCTGCAAATCCATCACTTCATCATGGTTTCCAACCCAGGTCAACATCTGGTGTGCCAAACAATCTACATCTGGTCAAGGAGTCTCCAGATGATTCAGTGGGCAAGCCTCCTGACGCCTGCAATTCTGCAAGAGCACAGAGAATGTGGAGCAGGGATATCTCCCAGACATTTGGCCTGTCACGCTCCGATGTTGATCCTCTGTTTCTGTCTGGTGAGGAGGCAATGCCACAACTGTGGTGGTTTTTGGGGTGGCTGGACCCCGGCCAAGACGGCCTGGGCTGACCAGAGACGGGAGGCAGAAAAAGTGGGCAGGTGGTTGCAGCTGAGGGGCAGGGGCGGGGGCAGGGTGGTGTGAGGCGGCTGCTTCTCTGGGTTCATGAGCTGCAGGAGGCCTTTGCGTGCTGGGTGCTGGACATGCTCTGCTGATGTCCGGGTGTGTGGTGTCTTCTTATCCTAGTCTCCCTGAGGGGTGGACCTGTCTGCCTGAGGAAGCCCTGTAGTTAGAAGGGGCTGCAGGGTAGTTCCTGGCGCTCCCCATGGGGACTGGGTGGGTGCAAAGGAGGTTATATACGCTCAGGGGCTATAACCCTTTGGGTGCAGCGCCGGCAGGCAGAAGAAAGCATATCTGGGGAGCTAGTACCTGCCTTGTGGAGGTCGGCAGCCCCATGTACCGCTAACCCGAGTCTTAAGCACCTTGTGTTTCTGGGGCGAGCCTTCTGGAAACGGGCACTGAGAGCGGGGGTGATTCAATGGCTGGCAATGTCATGCAGACTCCCCTTCCTCCAGGACATTCCCAGGGAAACATGCCCTTTGACATTGTGCTGTGCGTGAAGGGACTCTGGCGCCGCGATTCTCCCTTGTGAGTGCTGTGCTCGGCTCCCCTTCCCTACCACGTGCTCCCAGTGCTCCCAGTGCTGCTACAAGCAAGCTGCCCTCACAGCTGCAGGAACGTGACCTCGGCTCCCATCCTGTCCCCCATCCCCTGCCTCCTGGCTCACCCCATGTGCCTCCTCCTGGCTCCTCCCCCAACAGCCCCCATGCCCCCACGAAGCCCGATGCCCATCCCCTGCTGCCAGCCATCTGGAATCGGCAGCTGCAAGGATATGGCTCTGTCCCAGAAGCCCAGGCCACAGGGGCATTCACGGAGTCTACCTCCAAGTGAAGGACCTCCAGCGAGTCCATTGATGGCCTGGGTGTGCTGGGTCCAGGGCCAAGCTGTGCCCGCTGGCCCTCCTTCTGCCACCCCACGTCAGTCTCCTCCTCAACCACCACCTCCACCTCAGCCATTATGTCTTCCACCTTCAGCACCGCCTCCTCTTCCAAGGCTGCCTCCTTGCTCTGTACCCCGGCCGTCCTCTCCAGCAGAGCCTCCAGCCTGAACACGGTGCCCTCCTGGGTGCTCCCACAGACCCTGGCCTGCACAGCCCAGCCCATCCCCGGTATCCCTATGCTCTGGGGGCTGCTCCCCAAGAGGCCCGCTCCGTGAAAGACCCACGGGCCTCTCCCTGCTGAAAACCTAGTCCCACACCTACATGGACCCAGGTTTCCTGAGGAGCCCCGCTGGGCCCGCAGATGGCCGCACTCGCCGTGGGGCTCAGGACCACAGCAGGGTCAACTGCGCATAGGAGCTCAGAAGCCAGAGGCCGAGGCCCTGTGCTTGCAGAGCCCCACCAGCAGGCACCGCAGCGGCTGCTGCGGGTGCGGGAGCCTCTGGGTCGTCAAGGCAGTGCACAACAGCGTGCGCGCAGGCCGACAATGGCCAACCCTGGCGGCTGGCCTCTGGTGTGCCCAGGGCACAGGACTAGAGGCCCTTTGGAATGCTCCTTGGAGTACAGCATCCTCAGGGAGGAAGCATGGTACTCGGAGCCTGTATTTGCCTCGACCTGCGAGAGTACATGCCAGGGTTCTAGCCTACAGTGCAGACGAATTCCACCTCTGCACAAGCAGGTGACTTTCCTCCCACATACCCGCCCCGACTCACTTCTGCTAGGCCACCCCCGCCGCCCTCGCCCCAGCAACCAGAGAAAGTTCTCCTCTGGATCTGCAATATTCCTTATGTACCATCTACCTGGCCTGCCTAATGAAGAGAGATGTTTCCTGTGTTCATGACACATAGAGATGTTCATGGCTTGCCACACTGAGGATGTCAGGGCACAGGGCTGCCATGCCCACAATTCCAAAGGCCACGCAGCCCGCGTGTGCCCGGACGCCTAGCTACCCGGCACAAGTTCCAAGGGCTTCTCGGAGGAGGCTTGGGCAGGGAAGGCGGGGGGTGGGGGGGCTGGAGATGCAGGCCCGCCAGTGGCTGTGCCGCCCAGGGAGACGCCCACCGCCCTCCCATTGATTGGCCACGACGGGAGGAAGTCGGCCTGGGTGCGGCCCCCCGGCCCTTCGCGCGCAGTCCCTTAGGGGGCGCCTGGAAGTCCGGCGCATGCGCCCTGAGGGCTCGCTGACCTACCGGGTGCCATAGAGGCTGCGGCAGGGTTCCTGTGGCTTGGGTCGGGCAGCACAGGCCTTGGTGTGTGCGAGTGCCGAGGAGGGCACCGCCTTCAGGATGGAGGCTGTACAGGAGGGGGCGGCCGGGGTGGAGAGTGAGCAGGCGGCTTTGCGGGAGGAGGCGGTGCAGCTGTTGGATGACATAATGGCAGAGGTGGAGGTGGTGGCCCAGGAGGAGGCCCTCGTGGAGGGGCAGGAGGAGGCCCAGAAGCCACAGCCTGGCCCTGGGCCCATAATCCCAGAGTCCGCCCTGGAGGAGCTGGTGGCCGTTCAGGTGGAGCTGGAGCCGGTTAATGCCCAAGCCAGGAAGGCCTTTTCTCGCCAGAGGGAAAAGATGGAATGGAGGCACAAGCCCCACCTAGACCGCAGAGGCGCCGTCATCCAGAGCGTCCCTGGCTTCTGGGCCCATGTTGTATCCTTCTCAGTGTTTTTTCTGCCTTTCCAGTTGAGAGGTGCTCTCGGGGAAGTGTAAGTGACCGATGGGCAGCTCATCGTCGATATGACTCTTTGGAGAACAAAGGGGAGTTGCCACGGACAAATGAGGCTGTAGAAAGCCGGAGCAGGCGTGGGTACTGTTTTCCTGCATGCGGCAGAGAAACCCTTGGTGATGCCGAGCAGCAGACGTTTGGGGCATCATTTGAAGAGCAGAAGCGAGTTCAGACCAGAATACGTTTTTCTGTGAATGAAGGTATTGTTAAGGGAGTGTGATTACTCCCCCTTGCTAGTCAGATCTGGGACTGGGCGTCTTCGCCTATAAGCTGATTCTGCCACTCCGCAGACACCAGCAACTCTCTGCAAATCGCACCTCCCCATGTCAGTGCAGTCAGCCTCAGAATTATACACTCTCTGCGAGCCCAAAAGACCTTAATTTAGGGGGAGGGGGAGGCAAAAGGAGGTCATACATGGAAGCAGTTCTGAGAAATCCCCTACCCCAGACTCTGGGCGCTCTTAGGCCTTCTTCCCTGTTGCTCCTAGCTTCTCCTTCCATCACATGTAAAGCCTCTTTGACCTAAATCAGATTGCAAACCACCCCCAGATGTCAGCCCTGATCACTGACCAAGATGAAGACATGCTGAGCTACATGGTCAGCCTGGAGGTGAGGCTGGGAAGACTGAGGCTAGAGGGTTTAGTAGGGGAGGGTAAAGGAAATAATTCATTCCTGTAAGCAACAGTGGGCACCTCACCCGAAAAGGTATTTAAGCTTTCTCCACCTTGTCCTGACAGATGAAAGAAGTGAAGCATCCCATTCATCTCTGCAAGATCATGTTGTTCTTTTGGAGTAACCCCTACTTCAGAATAAAGTGATTACCAAGGAATATCTCGTGAACATCACAGGTGAGAGGTGGCACCCCAGATGGGTAGTGGAAGGAAGATGATGTGTGGGTCATTGCCAACATGATCCAGGCCCCTTCCCACAAAACCCTCTCTTTGTAGCATACAGGGCTTATTCCACTCCAATTCAGCAGTATCAGGATTATGATGTTGAGCCCTATCGCTGGGGACACCACAACAGCAGCCTTAACTTCTTCAACTGGTTTGCTGACCGCAACTTCACAGGATCTAACAGGATTGCTGAGGAGAGTCCTCACTGGGAAACATTAGGAATGACCCTGGTGTGTTCCCAGCTGCTTGGGTCACCAGTCTGAGCCCTGATGAGGCCTTTCCCAATTGATTCCCCTGATAGAGCTTATGTACGGAACTGTGGCACAAACCCCTGCAATACTACATGAAGATGAAGCCACCTGAAGAGGGAACAGAGATTTCAGATGAGCCGTTAAGTTGGAACTGGAGCTATTTGGTGCCCAGGGTAAGGGGGTTGACATACCTGCCTGTTCAGGGAGCCTGGATGCTCATTTCAGAAATGTAGAAATTGAGGCTCCTTTCATACATGTAGAAATTCCTTGAGAGAAAGACAGAGAGTGACAGAATCCAGGACATTAACGGCATTGGGCTGAAAAAGGCACATTAGATACCACACTGCAAAGCAGGTTATAGCTGTGGAGTCTTAAGCCCAGGGAAGCATAGTCTATGTCCAGACTCACTGAGAAGTAAAGTTGAATCATTCACTTCAATTTGTGGCACTTGATTCCATGGCCATCAACCCCACCAGCAGCCATCCTACCAACTCCTTAAGATGGGGCTCCCTGAATGTGCCTCCTTGTTGTCCTTGCCACAAACCACAGAGGACTGTTTAGGTCATTGCATTTTGTTAAGCTATTGCCCCATCAGATTTCTGTGTGCTTTTAGTATACAATGAATCTTGTTAGCTGACTCCTGTCACAGTGAATACTGGGAATGGGGAAAATATTGCAGGGAACAGTTTGTAGCACATGGTAGGAGGAAGTTTAAGAGATCACAAATGGGGAAGGGGTAGTCTTTTCTCAGCAGGCCCTAAAATTAAAACATTTTGAAGTATGGCTCAGAGGAAATACATTTTGACACGTGTTTGTGTTTCTCTAGGGGACTCCCAGATGGTGAGTGGAATATGATGGAGCATCACACTTTACCTAATACAGCAGAACTCCTACATAGTTACTATAGTATGCAGGACGTCAGTACTCAACATGGTCTTATGCCCAAGAACTAAAGGAAAAACAGATCCAGTCACAGAAAATCAGACAGGTTTAAACTACCAACCGTGTGTCTGTATTTGCGTATATTTATTTCTCTGTATGGGTTTGTCTCTATTCTCTGACTCCACCTATGTCACTCTGTCTGATATGTTTCCACACTGCCCATGGTAATTTGTACACGCCTATCTCTACAACCATGCTCGACTTTGTATCTCTGTCTTTGAACATCTATCACTCTCTCTCCCTTTCTTCATTGCTTTCCTTCCTTCACACCCTTCCTTTCTTCCTTCCCTTCCTTCCCCACCACCGTCTCTCCATCTGTATCATCTGTCTTCCTATTCTCGATCTGAATTTAGTTTGTAATTCTCAATCTGTTGGCAGTGGCATCAGATTATCGTTTTCATGTCTGGATGAAATTCCTCTTATAAAGAATATCCGCTGAAGGAGATGAGTTCTTTTTGTGAGCCATAATGAACTGTTTATTTTAGGCTGATCTAGCAATGACAGAGTTAAAAAAAAAAAAAGAAAAAACAAAAAACAAAAAACTAGACATTACAGCAAAGGCAAAGGTCACACGGATCCCACTCATCCCACTCATTGTATCCAAAAGGTGGAAATGTGAAAAAGCGGGTTATGCCTGTGGTCTCCAAAGCGGAAGGAGAAATTTCAAGGGATTCTGTTGGATCATTTTCCAGGAGGCAGCTATAGTTCATAGATACATGCTGCATAAACACAAGCGCAATGATGAAACAAAGAAAATGTTCTTTTCCCTCCGTTTTTATTTTGTATTATCATTTTAACAAACATCATGCAAACAGAATTTATTCATGACATGTCATAAACTATTGTTTAATGAACTCATATCTGAGTTCTTCATTGTGTCAAACAATGTCAAAGAATCATGATTTGTTGTGACCTGCTACAGATAAGTGATAGGAAATTACAAAATGAGAGCATATAGAAAGGGCAAACTGTGGTCTGAGAACTTCACCAAGAGGTTCAGGTGAGCTGAATGCATGTCAGGGATTCAGAAAAAGACACTTGCACTTGTCATTAAGGGCTTTGAGTTCAAAAGAAGCACTCTTTCTACATTTATGTCTTTTAACTCATTTGGGGAGTTTGGTGTGTTATCTCTCTGCCCTTTCTCATTGTTCTCCCCATCTGGGGCTGTTATTATGTGAAAGCTTGTTTCTTTCATCGGATCATGTAGGCTGTAATGATGTTTCGTTTATTTTGATTCTCCTTACACTGCGTAGTTTTAATTTACCTAAGGTGACTCATTTTTGTTTGTTTCCTGAGAATAGGTCTTACTCTGTCTCCTAGGTTGGAGAGGAGCCTCAGGATCTCAGCCCACTGCAGCCTGGACACCGCACACCCATGTGATCCTCTCAAGTCAGACTCACATAGCTGGCACTACAGGTGCATGTCACCCCTCCCAGCTACGTATTAATTAATTAATTACTTTTTACACGTGGGCGCATGTTGCCCCGGGCTCATCTGGAACTCCTGAGTGCAGGCAATCCTCCCACCTCGGCCTCTCAAAGTGCTGGGATTACAGGTGTGACCCAGGGCCCTGGCATGGCTTTGAGTTTTTTGCTTTTTTCTTCTGCCTCCTCATGTCTTCTTTTCAAACATGCAGTGAAGGTTTCAATTTATGGACTATATTCTGCACCTGTAATTTCAATCTTTCAGTTGATCATCTGCATTCACTGGGATGTTCATATGTGTGTGTGTGTGTGTGTGTGTGTGTGTGTGTATATATATTTTAACTTACCAAATGATGTTGCATTCTTTCATGTGTCATGAAAAAGACTTTGATAGAAAAGAAAAGCACTGCTTTATAATAAAATACTTTATTGACATTTATTCTCTTAAGGCATTTTAAAAATTGTATGTTTATTTTTTAAATAGTCATATGAAATGATACATATTTATAACTTACAGGGTGATGTTCAAAAGATCACATACATTATGCATTGGATACATCCAGCTAATCAACCTATGCATGACCTCACATACTTAGCATTTTTGTGATGATAAAACATGAAAGACACTGTCTTAGAATTTTTTAGAGAAAGAATATGTTATCACTAGTTATAATCAGCATGCTGTAGAAAATGTTTTTAACCTATTCCTCCTTTCTAACTAGAAATATGTATTCTTGATCCAGCATCTCCTCAGTGCACCCTCTTCACTAAACACCACCCCAACCATTGGAGTCATTACCTCTGTGGGGTCTGCTTTTCAGATTTCATATAAGAATGAGGTCACGTGCTATTTGCCTTTCTGATACCTGGCCTATGTCACTAAAGAAAATGGCATGGACGCATTCAGCGGATTCACACGTATTGTCACAAGTGGCAGGATTTCCTTATTTATTACTGCAGTGCATTTTTCCATTGTGCATATGTGTTTTTGCCCCATTTTTTTAATCCACTTATCAATTGAGGGACACTCAGGTTGCTTCCGTGTTTTGGCTACAGCAAAAATGTAAAGAGTGCAGCAATAATTGCATGGGTGCATACACTGCTTCAACATACTGATTTGTGTACTTGTGGGTGTGCCCCAGTATTCTGATTTGCTGGATCACATGATGGGTGGTTCTACTTGTAGAGTTCTGAAGGCTCTATACTTAAATAAAAGCCATAAAGCTTCTTGTAATGCCTGCACTAAATTACATTCTCACCAAAAGTGCACAAGGATTTCCTTTTCTCCTCATCCTCACCAGAAATGAGGGTTTTTTGTTTGTTTGTTTGTTTGTTTTGTCTTTTGGATAATAGGTATTCTGACTGAAGTGAGAAGAAATCTCATTGTGTTTTTGATTTGCATTTTCCTGATGGATTAGGGATGATGAGTGCTTTTTAGTGTGTCTTCTGGGCAACTGTATGTCTTAGTTTCACAGATGAATATTCACATCCTTAATCCATTTCTTTTCATGCTATTGATTGTTGGGAGTTCCTTATGTACTGTGAATATTCACCCATTAACAGATGTATAGTGATCCAATAATTTCTCCCATCCTGTAGGATGTCCCTTCCATCTGTTTAGTTTTCTGTGGTGTGCCAAAGCACTTTAGTTTGATATAACCCCATTCTCTGTTTTTGATGGTGTTTACTGTGCTCTTGCAGTCACTTTGAGACCATCACGGCCCACACAGATGGCCATGGAGCTTCTTCCTTGTGATTTCTTCTGGTAATTTTATTGTTTCAGATGCGACACTGGAGTTTGGTGATAAATAATCCACCTGTAAAATCCTTTATGTGGCTCTTCAGATTTCCCCAACCTAGTTTATAGAAGATACTTGATTTTGCACTGGACGTTCTTGCTTCTTTGGGAAAAGGCTGTGAGCTGCAAATGGAGTGACTTAGTTGTGGGCTTTTATTGTTTTTCCTAAGCTCTAGTCTCTGCTTTTCTGCCAGTGCTATTGTATTTTGATACACAAAGCTTTGTAGTAGTATATCATGAAGTTAGGTAGTGTGGTGGCTCCAGCTTTGTGCTTTTTACCGGATTGCTCTGGGTTTTCAGGATCTTCTGCCATTTCATAGCAAATTTAGGATTCTCAGATGGTTTTTCTAAGAAGAATGGGTCATTGATATTTTTACAGGGGTTGTATAGAATCTGAGGATGACTCAGGTAGTAGTGATGTCAATGCCGTTTAGACAATGTGTGTGTTTGTGTGCACATGCTCAGGGCCAAGAGACACTGGGTGTCCTCACCAATACTGAGGTGGGCCTGAATGTCCAGCCAGATTGCCTTCTGGAAACACACAGAAGGTCCCGTTCCATTTTGCCATCTCTTCACATTTCCTCCCCTGTGAGCCCTGTGTGGTCCTCCAGATTCCCTGTGCAGTGGCCTGCCTATTTGGGGGGTGGGGAGTTGCTGGGTGAATGAGGATGGCGGAGGGGACCAAGCATGTCAGGGGAGCGTGGTGTCATCCAAACGGGACGTAGCAGGCCTGGGAGAGCCATTCTGGGAGGACGCAGACCTAGAGAGGCCTCAGGTAGGCATCTGTGTGGAGGGTGAGAGAGCCCTGGTTGATCCCAAACTGAACCCCAGGTAGTAGCAAGCCTCAGGACAGGGAAGGAGCTAGCAAGGGATGATGAGGCAGCTATCTCTTCATCCTGGCTTCCCACCCATTGACCTTAGCTACTTATGCCTATTAAGTGGATTAGGGTTCCCCCATCATGAAATGTGGGTACTACAGTTCCCTGATGGGCCTTTCTCCACCAGCCCATGATGGCCTGAGTTTGCTTACTGCAGTCTCCTCCCTGAGCCTTGGCTTCTCTATGTGTGTCCTAACTCCAGGACCCACAGGCCTGTCAACCCCCAGCCCTGGGCTGCTTCCCTGGCCTCTTCTCTGTTCCCTCTCTGAGGGCCTAACTCCCTTGCATAGTGCTGCAGAATATTGAGCCACAGGCCCTGGCTGATGATCTGGGGGACTGGGCAAAGTGTTCATCACAGGTCAGGTTCTGGTTCAAAGCCAGTTCTTCCGATGCCAAAGAATGACCAACAGGGTCATTTCTCATGACCCCCCATAGCCACCTCACCTCAGCAATCCTGCCATACCCTGGACAGTCACAGTAAATCAACCAACTGAAGAAGCTCAGTTAGGCAGTGCTCTGCCTGAAACTGGGGCCTTCACCTGCATGACCCTAGAACCACTGGACTGCAGTGGAGCCAGTTGCCCTGTATCCTGGAGGGAGAGAATTCAGAAAGGCTCATGCCAGGCCCAGCTTCCCACATACCACTCCCTCTACCATGCGGGGAGGCGCTCCTCATTGCAGATGCCAATGCAATACTCCTTAGTGATCACTTCAATGCAGAAGTAAATGTTGTGATGAAAGGCAAATTTCTTCCTACCACTTGTTCTCAGGATGGCTGAGTTCTTCCACCTGCCTGTCTGAGAAGGAGAAAGAGATGGTCAAGGGACAATTTCATCTAGGTGGGCTGAGGTGGCCTGCTAGCTGGGGTGAAGCATGTGTTTCCCCTTCCCAGCTCTCCCACTGAGACACCCCTGAGTCCCAGGAGGACCTCAAACTGACCAGGACCTTAGCACCCTCCCCTAGAACCAGGCTTTCCATCCTGACCTGCAAATCCAACATGCAGCTTTGAAGGACTTTCTCATGGTTTCAGAGATACTTCCTCTCACCAGAAATAATCAGAACTTTTAAACTGTTCTTTATGCCAAATTAAATTTTTCATTTGTACTACCTCATGTTTTGGATGAGGCATGTATTTTTAAATTTATTTTCGCCCTTATTGTACCTCTGTGATAAACTGCTTACTTACATCCATACCATAATTATCTTTCAGTGTTATTGTCTGTTCCTAAAGATTCACTGAAACTAAGAATTCTATTTATGCTTGTATCTTTCAGCAACCATATGTGAGATAATGATGCACATTACTGCAGACATCACAGATACAGGTCCAAAGGGAAATGAAGAAGAAGAAGAAGAAAGCAAGCTTTAAAGTCTATACATTCCTAACACTGTATCAGAAACTCACCAATAACATGAAATCAAAGAATGATAACAGCAAATTCCATTTCATACCTAGACTGAAATATGAAACTTCAAAAGAAAAGAAAGTTAAGAACTTTGGGTTTGTAAAAATTTTCCTATATAGATAAAATTATTGGTAACTTTGTATCACTAGAAAACATAAACGAAAATCCATGTTTTGCATATTTGTAAATATAAATGTTTTTATTTCCATCAGTTATGACATGCAAGCAAGTAATAAAGTGAAAGTACATTACAATGATATATGGAACTTTCTCAGTCTCAAAATATTCCATTGAGACTATTAATTTTATGAAAACCACAAAGAATGCTTCATGCAACTATATTATACAGTACTTTTTAGTATTTTACTTACATTTTAAATAATTAACAAAGGGAATTCTTCAACATTATTTATTACAAATACCATTATTTTCCTTGAGTAATACTGTTGAAATTAAGTATTTTAAATAAAATATTAAAAACAAATTATATTGACTGATTTCAGCTTTGGATGAAATCATGCTTGTGTATTTGTAGTAATGTGAAGTATAACTTTCTCCTCACAATTAATCTTTCATAACACCAGTGTTATTGTTTTCTCTGACAACAACATTGTGATATCTCACAGCTTTACTGTACATATACACTACATGCCTCCAGAGAGTAGGCTTCAAACATATGGAAAAATTATATTTGTGACAAAATTCTAGGAAAGGGAATGGTAAAATGGGAGAATAATTTCTAACTTTCTAACTGTTGATCAATGGATTTGTGTATATTTAGATATAGACACATATTTGCACACTGTGAGTTTGCCCATGTACATATACATTTACAAGAGATACCTATAATATGTGGGTTGTGTAATCTTTTAATTAATCCACAATTGTATATGTGTGAAATTTGATAAGCGGTTACCTTTTCTATACTCAATTTGATGGAAAGACAAAAAAATCTCTGTCAACATTCATTTCAATTAATCCAATACTGTTAACTGCTGATAGCTTCATTCTCCTTGTTCTCTTTTGGCAACCTGAAAGTTAATTCTCACTCTAATTCAGCTCTCAGGGTGCAATCCAGAAGACAGTGTTATCTTGCTATGGATTGTGACCTCTGACTCCACCTCTTTCTTCCTAGAGCAGTCCTACCTTTGCATATTTAATAAACTTTGTACATGGTTAAATGGATAAAAGTTCAGTGAAATGTCAAGCCATGCTGTGAAATGTTCCATTATTTCTGTATCTCTAAGTGTCCTTTCATGTTATAGAGGCAAGAAAAATAATTCAACGTGTTTCTTAGTATCCAGTCCAATGCACTCTTTCTTACTAATATGCCAAACCTATCCCTTCAAGGCCCTGACATCTAAACATGGCTGGATGTCTCAAAATCTCTTCTTGTTAATAACCATTATGTTAATCACTGTTGCCCAGAACTGGAATTCAACTGTGAAATCCCCTGGTGGCAATTTCTGTAATGGCTCAAACTATGGGAATGACTATTTTTTACCTGAAAATACCTGATGAGCATATACATATGCTATGTACATGAACATATTGTACATTAACAACATACCTTCACTGCCAGTAAATAATAGGTGAGCCAAACTGAGCTCAGGTGCTCCCACAAACCAAGCTTTTTCCTCCACAGATTTCTTTTTATGTCAAAAAAAAAAAAGCAACTCCAGGCTGGGCCTGCTGGCTCTTGCCTGTAATTTCCACATTTTCGGAGGCTGAGGTTGGTGGGTCACTTGAGGTCAGGAGTTCGAGACCAGCCTGGGCAATATGGCAAAAACATGTCTCTACCAAAAACGCAAAAATTAACCAGGCCTAATGGCACATTCCTGTAGTCCCACCTACTCGGGAGGCTGAGGCAGGAGAACTACCTGAACCTGGGAGGCAGAGGTTGCAGTTAGCCAAGATCACATTACTACACTCCAGCCTGGATGACACAATAAGACCCTGTCTCAGGAAAAAAAAAAAAAAAAAAAAAAAAAAAAAACAGAACTCCACTCGCTTAGGTAAAAAATACTGGAGTTGGCTGGGCACAGTGGCTCAAGCTTGCATTCCCAGCACTTTGGGCTTTGGAAGGCTGAGACAGGTGGATCACCTGAGGTCAGGAGTTGGAGACCAGCCTGGCCAACATGGTGAAGCCCAGCCTCTACTAAAAATACAAAAAATTAGTTGGGCGTGGTGATGCATGCTTGTAATCCGAGCTACTCGAGAGCCTGAACCTGGGAGGCGAAGGATGTGTTGAGCCAAGATCCTGCCACTGCACTCCAGCCTGGGCTACAGAGCAAGAGTACCCTATGAGAAAGGTGAATAGAACAAAAAACAATTAGAAAAATAATACCCACTGCTAAAGTTTGCCACAGAAAAGATTAAACATTTCACCAACTTCTATCTTCTGTAATGGAAGCCAAAGTTATTTGGACCAACCCTCCTGTCTTAGTTAATTTTCACGCTGCTGATAAAGACATACCTGAGACTGGGAAGAAAAGGACGTTTAATTGGACTTACACTTCCACATGGCTGGGGAGGTCTGAGAATCATGGTATAGGAATAAAGGCACTTCTTACATGGCAATGCCAAGAGAGAATGAGAAAGAACCAAAAGCGGAAATCTCTGAAAAACCCATCAGATCTCTTGAGACTTATTCACTATCACAAGAATAGCATGAGAAAGACCAGCCCCCATGATTCAATTACCTCCCCCTGGGTCCCACCTGCAACACGTGGGAATTCTGGGAGATACAATTGAAGTTGAGATTTGAATGGAGACACACCAAACCATGTCACTTCCCAAACCATTAAAAATTCCCAGTGGAAGAAACATTAATTATATCAAAAAGTGGTGGACCAAGAAGGAACTATTAGCCTCATATCTCAAGAAAGGCTCTAGTCAAGGCCTAGGGACTACTCAGGAAAAGAGTTTAATAGCCAACTCTCTCCCAGTGGATCTGGATTCCACCAGACCGTATCTTCACAGTAATG
The DNA here is from genome assembly GCF_000001405.40 of Homo sapiens. Taxonomy (NCBI): domain Eukaryota; kingdom Metazoa; phylum Chordata; class Mammalia; order Primates; family Hominidae; genus Homo; species Homo sapiens. The sequence goes on along the minus strand of NC_000024.10, from coordinate 9,897,005 downwards.
GTGAAACAGAAGTAAACCCATTCCTATTTCCAAGCTCAAGGAACTTTGGTCAAAGTTCTCTTGGAGCTGAGCAGAAGAAGGAGGCAAACAGAAACAATTTGTGTCCCTGAGAAGTCATGGCCACAGGCTGGCTATCACACAGATTGTCAAGCCAGTTCCATATTGCATGGGTATTATAGAAAATCTCAAAACATAAATTTGTGTGTGGGTTGTCCTAGAGTAGCAGGATCGGGCAGAAGCAAATTTCCTTCTAACTCTCAAAGAACCCACATAAATCTTGTTACATTTGGGATTTTACCATTTGTTTCACGAATGAGAATGGACTTTAGTTTTCATATCTTTTTATCTACTCAGTTTATGTCTTGTTGGCTTCAAAGTCCTGCTTGCCTCACAGAATAAGTTTAGGATTTTCCCTTTTTTATTTTATAGAATTCTTCATATATATTGAAATGCTCTGCCTGGGGAAAAAATCTGAGCCTATTGTTTTGTCTCTAGGAACAATCCTTTATTTCCTTGAACATTTATGAGACTATTCAGATTATATATGTCTTCTTATATCAATTTTACCAAGCTATATACATAGATTATATTTATCTTTATATATTATATATAAATATAAGATGTAAATATAAAAAATTAAATATGAAAATATATATAGAAAGCTATATATATGTCTATATATATAGACAGATTATAAATATCTGTCTATTTGATCTAAGTTTTCAAATTTGTAGGATGAAGTGTTAATCATATTTCCTTATTAGCTTCTTAATCTATACTGTATCTATAGTTATGTATCTTTTAAATTCTTAGTTTTATTTGTGCTTTCTCCCTTTTTATCTAAACTTGCCTGAGGTTTGTACCATTTACTATATTTCTCCAACAACCAAAAGTTAGCTTTGTATGTTTTACTAATTTTCCCTGCATCATTATCCCCTCACTTTAGTTTTTCAGAATTGATGCTGCTGTTTCTTTTCTAATACTTTATTTAAATATCTAGTACATTAATTTTCAAGTTGTCATAGAAACATTTGTCTATAAACTCCTATTGTAATATCACTTTTCCTGCTATTCACAAATTTAATCTGTAATAATTTCAGTATCATTAAGTTCTCAGTACGCTTAAATTTCTATTATGATAACCATGAATTGCTGAGAAATAGTGGTTATAATTTTGTTGCTCAATTTCCACTTAATTTTATTTTAACTTGTGCTAATTCAATTGAAAATTCTTTACTAATTTTTTTAAATCTCATATCAAGACTTTTATTCACATGAATTGTTCTATAAATGCTCCCACCTTGAAGAACACTCTCTTGTAGGCTGCTGCAACAGTCTGACTGGTTGCCCTCTAGGCCTCATTCAATTGTCTCATCCTAGGAATTTCATTCATTACCCTTTTACGAATTTATCTCTCTCTTTTGTTCTGTCTCTTATTTTCTGCATTTCACATATTTGTCTGTCTTGGTTTACTTCTTCCTTTTGGTAGGAAAAAAATCTCTAGCAGTTTCCTGAGAAAAGCTTCACAGGGAGACAAAATTTTACAGTTGTCATATGTCTGAAAAATGTATGTTTTCTACTTGTATATTTGATTTTAGTCTATGTGGAAACAAAAACATATGTCAGAAATTATTTTCTTTTAGAATTTTTAAAGCATAACTGTAATCCATTGCCTTCAGGTTTATAGTGATGGTGTTGATTTTTTTTTTTTTTTTTTTTGAGATGGAGTTTCGCTCTTGTTGCCCAGGTTGGAGTGCGATGGCACAATCTCAGCTCATCACACACTCCGCCTCCTGGGTTCAAGCAATTCTCCTGTCTCAGGCTGTAGAGTAGCTGGCATTACAGGCAGGCACCACCATGCCTGGATAATTTTGTATTTTTAGTAGAGACAGGGTTTCTCCATGTTGGTCAGGCTGGTCTCAAACTCCTGACATCAGGTGATTCACCTGCCTTAGCCTCCCAAAGTGCACCTTGGCCTCCCAAAGTGCTGGGATTACAGGCATGAGCCACCATGGCTGGCCAATGTTGACAATTTTTAAATCATCTGATTCCTCATCCTTTGTACCTGACCTATTTTTACCTCTCTGGAAACTTATGCAATTTTCTCTTTGTTCTCAGTGTTCTCAAATTTTACATTGATATATCTTGACATGAGTCTATTTTCATCTATTTTGCTAGGTGTTCACCTTTTAATCTATAAATAAGCATCCTGAAGTTCTGAGACTTTTTAATTATTTTGCCAACAATTTATTCCCCTGTGTTTTACTTATTTATTTTATTTCTATAACTCATATAATTAAAATAATTGGAAGAAATTATATTGGAGAAGAAGATAGCACCACACTGATTGTGTTTGTGTCAGACTATCACAGCTCAAGGTTGTCATATTTTATTAAGGAGAAATGTTGTATTTCTTGGTATTCACATTGTAACCTGAAGAAGGGCAATGACTGTCAAAAATTTAAATGTATGGGTAATAGTTAGAAGATGCAAGCACTGTATCCTCCAGAATTTTAGCATATGCAAACCTTTAAATTCCAGGCAAGTTGACTTAAGCTTCAACATTCTGCCAGCTAAAATGAATCCATTTGTGCTAATTTCTGTGATCAAAGGTGAATAAGACATTGTTCCTGCCTTCAGTGATAGCTCAGTCCAAAGGGAGACAAGTAGAAATGGTATAAAACGAGCGATACTAGTCTGCATGTAGTGGCTCACGCCTATAACCCCAGCACTTTGGGAGGGCAAGGCGGGAGGGTCATGAGGTCAGGAGATTGGGGCAATCCTGGCTAACATGGTAAAACCCCATCTCTACAAAAAATTAGCCAGGCATGGTGGGAGTACTTGGGAGAATACTTGGGAGCCTCCCAGCTACCAGGGAGGCTGAGGCAGGAGAACTGCTTGAACTCAGGAGGCAGAGTTTGCAGTGAGCCAAGAACACGCCACTGCACTCTGGCCTAGGCAAAAGAACAAGACTCTGTCTCAAAAAAAAAAAAAAAAACAAACAAAAAAAAGGAGAGTAATATGTAAAGTGTGCTATAAAAACTGAGAAAAGGGACAGAATATCTGTGACAGATAACTTGTTTCGGGCAGTGGGAAATGAGGAGGTCTGTGTATGCCTTCACTGTGTCACATTTGATTACAGGCAGAAATAAATGAATCTTAATATTTATGGGGTCACAGACCCTTTTTAAAAATGATGAAATTTATGATAATTCTTTCAATAAACATTTATAGAACATACATATATATTTTGCTTACTAACTCAGAATGTGCATCAAGAGCTCTGGATATAGGAGAATGAGTAGAAATATTTTAGGCAGAAAAGAAGGGAAGGGGAGTCCAAACAGAGGAAACAGCCTGTGTCAGAGCCTGGAGACAAAAAAGCTTGTGCATTATTGGAATCAAGGTGACTATAAGATAATTCAGGGTGACTGGAGCATAGCTGGAAGATGAACCAGTCATGGTATAAGATGAAAACAGAAGGCCAAGCATGTTCGCTTATGCCTGTAATCCTACGCTTTGGGAGGCCCAGGTGGGCAGATCACCTGAAGTCAGAAGTTTGATACCACTGTGACCAAAATGGCAAAACCCCATCTCTACTAAAAGTACAAAAATTAGCCAGGCATGGTGGTGGGTGCCTGTAATCCTGCTACTCAGGAGGCATATGCAGGAGAATCAGTTGAACCAGAAGGGTGGAGGTTGCAGTGAGCCGAGATTGCACCATTGAACCATTGAACTCCAGACAGGAAGAAAGATTGAAACTCCATCTCAAAAAAAAAAAATATAAATATAAAATAAGCCGGGCGTGGTGTTGGATGCCTGTAATCCCAGCTCCTCGGGAGGCTGAGGCAGGAGAATTGCTTGAACCCGGGAGGTGGAGGTTATGGTGAGCTGAGATCATGCCATGGCACTCCAGCCTGGGCAACGAGAGTGAAACTCCACTTCAAAAACAAACAAATGAAAATAGAACATAAGTAGATATCCAGAGATAAGGCATGAAGTATCTCAAATATCAGTCATGCACTTTGTTTACTCAGAGACAACACCAGGATTGATTAAAATTATGCACATCATGTCAACCCTCTTCTAAATGTTAACAAATATAACTGGAACAGTTATACATATATACACACACACACACACACACACATACGTGTGTGTGTGAGAGAGATGGAGTTTCACTCATATATATATACATACACACATATATGTATATATGTGTGTGTATACATAAATGTATATATGTGGGTGTGTGTGTATATATATATATGAAAGAGTGAAACTCCATCGCTCATACACACACACACAGACACACACACATACATATATGCTTGGCCACTTTAATTCCTCTATAATGGAATTCTGAGCAGCATGCTTGAGGGTAAATATCAGGACCTGCAGGCAGTCAGCCTGTGCTAGAAATACTCAGTGTGTTTTTTCACATTATACACTTTCATCTTCTGAGTGTACTGCCTGAGGCTATTGTTCTCTTCATATCTTGCAGATCTTTCTGGGGAAAAGGCAACATGCATCAACAGGTTTTTTGCTAAGGGTCTTCTAATTAATTGGAGGACTTTTCAGTTGAAAAATATCTAAGGACAAGATTTTTTCTCTTTTGGCTCAGGAAACTGCAGGCATCAGTTGCACACCAATATTTAACTGTAACACAGCTATTAAGTCATATCCATTGCCTTAAACAAAATGTACAGAATTCAGTATTTTTAGTTACACCAAACACTATATAGGGTTTGCAGTTAATCATTTTTATATTCTATATTCTCTTTGATATTGAACATAGAACTTCAAGAAGAGGGTCACACAATGATTTATTCAGCAAATATTTATAGAGTTGTGTGTATCAAAAACTGTGGTAAGTGCTGAGATTAGAAAACATACCATGTATCTGCTTTCAACATGTTCTCATTCTATTAAATGTTGTAATAACACAACATTGAGTCCTAAAAGTGTCAAAAGAGAAGTACACACAAAAAAAGAGCTAGGCAAATACATTATGACAACTTAGAGCTGGTGTCAGTTAAAGACAGATCTTCAAGGAGCATAAATGCCAGGAAAGAAAGTTTAGAACAAACTGTCTACATAAAGGCAAGTTTTTTTTGTTATTGTTTTTTCATAGGAAAATAAGATCTGAGTTTCACGAAGGTTATAAGACTAACTGCAATATATAGGATGGGTTGAAGATCAGCAAGAGAAACAGAAGGTGAGTTATGAGTTTTATTAAGTGGTTCAACTAATAGCTGATGGTGGCCTGGGCAAGGAAAGTGGAAGAAAGGACTGGAAGAAAGAGGCAGATGCAAGAATCATTGCAAAGATAAAATGCAAAAGTCTTGGAATGAGTTTTCAAGTTGAGGCTAGTAAAAAATATTGTGGGATTCTTGGCATTCATCTATCCATCAAATTATTCAATGAATCTTTATTAAGATTCAAGATTATTATTGATCTTCATTATTATTTGAGATTATTAAATTTATTATTCACTGAATAATAAATATTCAATGAATATTTAATACTATGCAACAAGCACTGTGCTGGGTTCTGGAGGTACAGCAATGAATATGGGGTTAATGGTCCCTGACTTCTTTAAGCTTTATGTACAGGGAGAGACAGATAATAAATAAAAGTCACAAGCAATTGTAAATGCTGTGAAGGAAACTTTGGGATGCTGAAAGAGAGTAACAGACGGTAGTGATGGTTGGTATAACAGACAGAACTATTGGATTTTGGGAACTAAGTGAAGCTTTCTCCAAGGAATTCCTATTTGATATATCAGAAAGAGCAACCATTGCAAAAGAGTGAGAAAACAGCTGCCAACTCTCTAGAATAGGACAATTTTGGCATAGTTCTGTGTTTGAAGAAAAGAGAGTTGCTAATGTGCAGAATAATGCTGAGAATTTGAGTAAGAGGAAAATGGTAAAGTAACCAGTGGTTTTAATAATACAGATGGGAATGCTGTCCTTGATAAAAGTAGTTCCAGTGGAATGAGACCAAAACCAAATTGAACTGAACTGAAAAGCCAGTGGGAAGAAATGAGAGAAGTGGGTACAGCATGCTTAGTGGAGAAAAGTAATGAAGGGGTAGGCGGCAGGGGCTTAAACAATGGGAAAAATTCTAATTTATAAAAGCAATATAAGAATTTAGATCACAGTTGTATATGTATACTGAGCTGGTAGAGATAGAGGGATTAACGTACATGAGAAAATAAAATTGAGAGCAGTGGATTTTTGTTTCTAGCACCTACAGTGCACTCTCACCTTGCCTGTGAGTTGGATAAATGGCTGAAAGCTGATTCTTTTTCAAAGTTGATTTCAATTTGGGAAAGAAGGGAGTAGGGAACAAAATGACATTGTAAACTGGATAGCAAAATAAGGATATTGAGTACATAGAGGAAGAGCTCAGGCACAAGAAGATCTTGTTCCTCAAACCACATGCTGCCTACTTTCTCATCTAGCTTCACATTAGCCCTACTCCAATTTCCAAAAGAACAATGATTGTTTCATTTAATCTAACCAAGAGCATTTTACACATCCTACCATATACATCTGTCATCTCAAAGAGGAAAGAGTATTTTAAGACTACAAATAAAAATAATGTAATATTAAATTAAAATCAAGTAACAAATCTAGCTTCATTGAAAATCTGTCTATAATGATATCTTATTTTTTTTAAATTCTGCCGTGGAGTAGTGAAAATATTATCCCAGTCTTGTGTCTGTCTGGAAATCAGTATTGGGAAATCACTAGAGTGATTGCTTTATGAAATCACTTCCTATTCAAATTCTATAATTCAGTTAATAATTACAAAACATATCATATTTGAAGTAAAATAATTTCCTTTTTTATCTTCCATTCAAATATATCACAAATAACTCTTTCTTTCCAAGTCATCTTTGCAGTTCTTTCACCTATATAGGGATCTAAAGCAACACTTTGACACTCTCATCCATTTCAAAAGTCTCGTCTCCCAACTTTTCAGAGCCCACAGCATTTACAATAAACATATCTCTCTGCACAGAAGATAATAGCTGGTTCTACGTTATCTGTCAGCCTAAATGTTGATTAAGACCTCAGTAATCACACTCCACCCTGCACAGATCTAAAATCACAAAATGCAGATTAATTCATGAGAACAGAAGGAAAGAATTGAAAGAAAAATGCTGTCTTGCTCAAAGAAAGGAAAACACAAAAGAAGTCCCACTGCCTGCCTCATTTGGATATTTTTATTTTTAAAGTGTTCAAGCATCCTAGTATTTTTTTCATCACCCTTAAAGAGACAATTAAATATTGCATCAAATAGGATATTTAAAAAGATGACATGTTATAACAGGGGGACTCTAAACATGAGAATTATCACTGGCTCACTGAGACCTCTGATCTGCAGGCATATGATTGACGACGCCTTTCTAATTCCAATAGCATGGGCCTGCAGCAAATTTTATTTTACTGCAAGGTCTACTTTATTGAATTCACTGCCTGTCCTAATTCTATATATTTTTGATTAGTGGACCTTCAAAACTGATGTTAGTAAAAGGAAATTGTTTTCTGACATGCTAACATTTTAAAGCTAATCATTTTTTTTTAAATAAGCAGTTGAGTTTGCAGCATTCTGCTCCTGTTATGTTTTATTAGTGTTTGTACTTTAATTTGGTATGTTTGTTTTGGCATCACTCCAGCAGTAGGTCCAATTATAAAAATAGAAACAATTAGATTCACTGTGGTGACTGATATAAGCATTCCAAGCTTAGCTTTTAAAACAAAATGGTAGACTTGGCTCTTTCCAGAGTCCTGCAAATAAAATGTATTGATTCTGTAGGGTTTTCTCTACTGTAGCTTTTTGAAATTTTGTCCCCACTCTTCACATGTCCAAATCCACAATCCCCTAAACAGCTTTTATTGAAAACCACAACCTCATCTCCTCCTTTTTTGAAGCAATTAAGTCCATCTAACTGGAGAGCCCAAGTACAGTTTATTTTCCTCTTTAAAATCTCTCTCCAGTGCTTTCTACACTATTGTCAAGTAATAGGGCCTTAATAAATCTTTATTAAATGACAGGTTGAATGAACTTGTCCTCTCTTCTCTTTTCTCTGACTTGCAGTAAAAGAAATTTCATTTTTCCAAGACTAACCTTTGTCAGTGATGTAGAATTTATCTGATTCTTTCCACTCAGGCCTTCTTCAAGACCTTGATTCATCATGTATTTCTTCTAAGTCTAACTGTCTTTGGTATTCATTTCTTCATTGGCCACTGTGTGGCTTCCTAATAACACAGACAAATTTCTCAGTTTTGTGAAAGGCCTAAAGGGAATGGTGATTTGGACAAGGTATCTGCATTGGAATACTAGTTTGGTAGGCAATATGCTGTTGCTTTATATCTGTGTGGTGGAAATAAAACCATACACTTGTGTGCTTTCCATATCTGAGTTTTATCTTAAAATAAAAAGGCAAAAATAAAAACAAGCAAAAAAAGAAACACATCGAGGACAAGAGGTTCCTTAAGGCTGATACAACTTAACATAGAGACCAGACCTGAAGAATCTCTTAGAAGAAAACAACAGGCCTCAGAAGTGACTTCAACCTTACTTGATTCGCAAACATAAGCAAAACTTAACTTCAGCTCTTTCTTGTAAATGTTTATATCTAAAAAAAAGAATGTAAACTCAACCAATTAGAAGCAGTTAACAAACTTATATGATTAGGACTTCCCGATGGGACTGATCAAATGAGGCAACTGTGTAATTGTAACCAATCAAATACCATCTGCTTTAGTTCTGTGTGTGTTTTATAAAATTCTCCCCATTGTTTTCCCTTGATGGAGCTCCTGAATGGCTTCTACTTTGGAGCTGCACAATTCATGGAATATTTCTTGCTCAAACTCTTTAAAAATGTGCCTCAGTTTACCTTTTAAGATTAGAAATGTAAGGCATTGGCTTCACAAGGTGAACAATTTCTAAAGGCTAAATAGTAACTCCTCTTCTAAGTCAAGCAATTTTCAATGCTTGTTTCAACAAAATTGAATGACTTGCAGTTGTCATGTATATAGTTTTCGGTATTTAATACATGAAGAATTCAAAGAATTGAGTGAAATTGCTTTAAAAATTCATTCTTCCATTCCTATATACATATTCACGGGAACAAAGTCTCTTTTTGACACTTCCATCCATAGAGAGAAAAAAGTAAAAATTGAATTAATAATGAATGCTGTCTCACTCTGGCATTTAGCAATAGTTTTCTAGTCTACAAGAGAGAATGAGAGTAAATGAGAAGGGGGCAGGAACAATATCATGCATCTCACTAAGAAATATATTTTCTTTGTGTGTGTGCGTGTGTGTGTGTGTGTGTGTGAGAGATGGAGTTTTGCTCTTGTTCCCAGGCTAGAGTGCAATGGCGCAATCTCGGCTCACTGCAACCTCCCCTTCCTGGGTTCAAGCAATTCTCCTGCCTCAGCCTCCTCAGTAGCTGGGATTACAAGCATGTGCCACCATGCCCAGCTAATTTTGTATTTTAAGTAGAGATGGGCTTTCTCCATGTTGGTCACACTGGTCTCGAACTCCTGACCGCAGGTGATCCACCTACCTTGGCCTCCCAAAATGCTGAGATTACAGGCACGAGCCACTGTGCCTGGCCAAGAAATGTATTTTAATCAATATTAACATTGTATGTTTAACAAGTATTTTCCAAAAAAATTTAACATACTCTTTTCAATGAATTGTATGCTCTATTAATTGAAACCTGCAAGTATGTTTTTCAAAACAATAAGGGTAGTTTTTTTTTTATTGTTGCATTTCACATGGTTTTTTTTGCGTCCTTCTTTGTACTTTTTGTATTTTCAAATCTTACAGTAGGCTCATTTTTCACTGAATAAAGCAATAAGCTATTAAAGTTATTAAAAAATACTTTCCCTTGAAAACACCTCCCTAAAGCTATTAATCTTTTTTCTTGTTTGCTTATCTCCTTTTCATCATTATTCACTCATTTCATTTTCCAAAAGAATCCTGCCCCTACTACTCCACTGAAAATATACTCTTCAAGGTCAACCTTACCATTACAAAATCTTCTGTCTTTACTTTCTTTGACAGCTCTCCACAACATTCAGTATAGTCAACTTGACTGAGCCTTGCAAAATGTGTCCCTTGGCTATTCACTCCCTTGTTTTCTTTCCCTTTCTGCTCGCATCTTTGATTGGCTTTATTATGTCATCTGCTAGTTGTAAAATGTAAACCCAAGCCTAAATATTTAGGATACCACTAGCTATGTGTCTCCAGGTCAGTATGTCATGGTTGAATGACTTTCCAGCCTGCGTTCACCATTCAGAGTGTTCCCTGACCTTCAGTCATAGTTCTGTAACTTCCATTTTCAATGGAATATCTTGACACCACCTTAAACTCAACATGTCTAAAACCACATCTGTTGCTCCAAGTCAGTTTTCCCTCTAGACCATACTTGTTCTGCCACAAAACTAGATCACAACTTCCTTGCTTTTGCAATAGCCTTTGGGAAAATACAAGAAAAAGTCACAAAGTGATCTTAAGCTACAGTACTAAGATGAAAACAGAACACACAGAAAGTCTGAATACAAGATTATTTATTTTTCGATCTGATTTCATAGAAGAAATTAGACCAATATATTATTATGTTAGTTTAAGCATGACCATAAAAGTAAATTTGGCTTCAAATTTGGAGTCAGTCAGTCTCTAGAGAGAAATGTGTTCATTACCAGGATTAGCAGCATTTTATCCTCCAAGTCATTTGGGTCACAAATCATGGGGAGGTACAATTCTCTGTTTTATAAACCTCATATTCAGTCTTTTGCCTACTCTTTCAAGTATTTTTGAATGCCTTTTGCTGTTTGTTACGTTTGCACTTCCACGAAATACCTAATTCAGGACATGTTCACTTACATTAAGATGTTACAACACTCAAACTTTTTTTTATTGTACTTTAAGTTTTAGGGTACATGTGCACAATGTCCACGTTTGTTCCATACGTATACATGTGCCATGTTGGTGTGCTGCACCCATTAACTCGTCATCTAGCATTAGGAATATCTCCTAATGCTATCCCTCCACTTCCCCCTACCCCACAACAGGCCCCAGTGTGTGATGTTCCACTTCCTGTGTCCATGTGTTCTCATTGTTCAGTTCCCACCTATGAGTAAGAACATGCAGTGTTTTGCTTTTTGTCCTTGAGATAGTTTGCTGAGAATGATAGTTTCCAGCTTCGTCCATGTCCCTACAAAGGACATGAACTCATTTTTCATGGCTGCATAGTATTCCATGGTGTATATGTGCCACATTTTCTTAATCCAGTCTATCATTGTTGGACATTTGGCTTGGTTCCAAGTCTTTGCTATTGTGAATAGTGCCACAGTAAACATACGTGTGCATGTGTCTTTATAGCAGCATGATTTATAATCCTTTGGGTATATACCCAGTAATGGGATGGCTGGGTCAAATGGTACTTCTAGTTCTAGATCCCTGAGGAATTGCCACACTGACTTCCACAATGGTTGAACTAGTTTACAGTCCCACCAACAGTGTAAAAGTGTTCCTATTTCTCCACATCCTCTCCAGCACCTGTTGTTTCCTGACTTTTTAATGATCGCCATTCTAACTGGTGTGAGATGGTATCTCATTGTGGTTTTGATTTGCATTTCTCTGATGGCCAGTGATCATGAGCATTTTTTCATGTGTCTTTTGGCTGCATAAATGTCTTCTTTTGAGAAGTGTCTGTTCATATCCTTCGCCCATTTGTTGATGGGGTGTTTGTTTTTCTCTTGTAAATTTGTTGGAGTTCATTGTAGATTCTGGATATTAGCCCTATGTCAGATGAGTAGATTGCAAAAATTTTCTCCCATTCCGTAGGTTGCCTGTTCACTCTGATGGTGGTTTCTTTTGGTGTGCAGAAGTTCTTTAGTTTAATTAGATCCCATTAGTCAACTTTGGCTTTTGTTGCCATTGCTTTTGGTGTTTTAGACATGAAGTCCTTGCCCATGCCTATGTCCTGAATGGTATTGCCTAGGTTTTCTTCTAGGGTTTTTATGGTTTTACATCTAATGTTTAAGTCTTTAATCCCTCTTGAATTAATTTTTTTTTTTTTTTTTTCGAGACGGAGTCTTGCTCTGTCACCCAGGCTGGAGTGCAGTGGCGGGATCTCAGCTCACTGCAAGCTCCGCCTCCCGGGTTCACGCCATTCTCCTGCCTCAGCCTCCCAAGTAGTTGAATTAATTTTTGTATAAGGTGTAAGGAAGGGATCCAGTTTCAGCTTTCTACATATGGCTGCCAATTTTCCCAGCACCATTTATTAAATAGGGAATCCTTTCCCCATTTCTTGTTTCTGTAAGGTTTGTCAAAGATCAGGTAGTTGTAGGTATGCGACATTATCTCTGAGGGCTCTGATCTGCTCCATTGTTCTATATCTCTGTTTTGGTACCAGTACCATGTTGTTTTTGTTACTGTAGTGTGTAGTATAGTTTGAAGTCAGGTAGTGTGATGCCTCCAGCTTTGTTCTTTTGGCTTAGGATTGACTTGGCAATTCGGGCTCTTTTTTGGTTCCATGTGAACTTTAAAGTAGTTTTTTCCAATTCTGTGAAGAAAGGCATTGGTAGCTTGATGGGGATGGCATTGAGTCTATAAATTACCTTGGGCAGTATGGCCATTTTCATGATATTGATTCTTCCTACCCATGAGCATGGAATGTTCTTCCATTTGTTTGTATCCTCTTTTATATCATTGAGCAGTGTTCTGTAGTTCTCCTTGAAGAGGTCCTTCACGTTGCTTATAAGTTGGATTCCTAGATATTTTATTCTCTTTGAAGCAATTGTGAATGGGAGTTCACTCAGGATTTGGCTCTCTCTTTGTCTGTTACTGGTGTATAAGAATGCTTGTGATTTTTGTACATTGATTTTATATCCTGAGACTTCGCTGAAGTTGCCTTCAGTTTAATGAGATTTTGGGCTGAGATGATGGGGTTTTCTAGATATACAATCACGTCATCTGCAAACAGGGACATTTGACTTCCTCTTTTCCTAATTGAATACCCTTTTATTTCCTTCTCCTGCCTGATTGCCCTGGCCAGAACTTTGAACACTATGTGAATAAGAGTGGTGATAGAAGGCATCCCTGTCTTGTGCCAGCTTTCAAAGGGAATGCTTCCAGTTTTTGTCCATTCAGTGTGATATTGGCTGTGGGTTTGTCATAGACAGCTCTTATTATTTTGAGATACATCGAATATATACCTAATTTACTGAGAGTTTTTAGCATGAAGCATTGTTGAATTTTGTCAAAGACCTTTTCTACATCTATTGAGATAATCATGGTTTTTGTTGTTGGTTCTGTTTATATGCTGGATTATGGTTATTGATATGTGTATGTTGAACAAGACTTGCATCCCAGGGATAAAGCCCACTTGATCATGGTGGATAAGCTTTTTGATGTGCTGCTGGATTTGGGTTGCCAGTATTTTATTGAGGATGTTTGTATCAATGTTCATCAAGGATATTGGTCTAAAATTCTCTTTTTTCTTGTGTCTCTGCTGGCCTCATAAAATGAGTTAGGGAGGATTCCCTCTTTTTCTATTGAGTGGAATAATTTCAGAAGGAATGGTACCAGCTCCTCCTTATACCTCTGGTAGAATTCAGCTGTGAATCCATCTGGTCCTGTACTTTTTTTGGTTGGTAAGCTATTAATGATTTCCTCAATTTCAGAGCCTGTTATTGGTCTATTCAGAGATTCAACTTCTTCCTGGTTTAGTCTTGGGAGGGTGTATGTGTCGAGGAATTCATCCATTTCTTCTAGATTTTCTAGCTTATTTGCATACAGGAGTTTATAGTATTCTCTGATGGTAGTTTGTAATTCTGTGGGATTGGTGGTGATATCCCCTTTATCAATTTTTATTGTGTCTATTTGATTCTTCTCTATTTTCTCCCTTATTAATCCTGCTAGCGGTCTATCAATTTTCTTGATCTTTTCAAAAAACCAGCTCCTGGATTCATTGATTTTTTTGAAGGGCTTTTTGTGTCTCTGTTTCCTTCAGTTCTGCTCTGATCTTATTTCTTGCCTTCTGATAGCTTTTGAATGTGTTTGTTCTTGCTTCTCTAGTTCTTTTAGTTGCGATGTTAGGGTGTCAATTTTACATCTTTCCTGCTTTCTCTTGTGGGCATTTAGTGCTATAAATTTCCCTCTACACACTGCTTTGAATGTGTCCCAGAGATTCTGGTATGTTGTGCCTGTGTTCTTGTTGGTTTCAAAGAACATCTTTATTTCTACTTTCATTCCGTTATGTACTCAGTAGTCATTTAAGAGCAGGTTTTTCAGTTTCCATGTAGTTGAGTGGTTTTGAGTGGTGTTCTTAATCCTGAGTTCTAGTTTGATTGCACTGTGGTTTGAGAGACAGTTTGTTATAATTTCTGTTCTTTTACATTTGCTCAGGAGTGCTTTACTTCCAACTATGTGGTCAATTTTGGAATAGGTGTGGTGTGGTGCTGAAAAGAATGTATATTCTGTTGATTTGGGGTGGAAATTTCTGTAGATGCCTATTAGGTCCACTTGGTGCGGAGCTGAGTTCAGTTCCGGATATCCTTGTTAACTTTCTGTCTCGTTGATCTGTCTAATGTTGACAGTGGCATATTTAAGTCTCCCATTATTGTTATGTGGGAGTCTAAGTCTCTTTGTAGTCTCTAATTACTTCCTAGGTGCTCCTGTATAGGGTGTACATATATTTAGGATAGTTAGCTCCTCTTATTGAATTGATCCCTTTACCATTATGTAATGGCCTTCTTTGTCTCTTTCGATCTTTGTTGGTTTAAAGCCTGTTTTATCAGAGACTAGGATTGCAATCCCTGCCTTTTTTGTTTTCCATTTGCTTGGTAGATCTACCTCCATCCCTTTATTTTGAGCCTATGTGTGTCTCTGCATGTGAGATGGGTTTCCCGAATACAGCACACTGATGGGTCTTCACTCTTTATCCAATTTGCCAGTCTGTGTCTTTTAATTGGAACATTTAGCCCATTTACATTTAAGGTTAATATTGTTATGTGTGAATTTGATCCTGTCATTATGACGTTAGCTGGTTATTTTGCTCATTAGTTGATGCAGTTTCTTCCTAGCCTTGATGGTCTTTATAATTTGGCATGTTTTTGCAGTGGCTGGTACTGGTTGTTCCTTTCCGTGTTTAGTGCTTCCTTCAGGGGCTCTTTTAGAGCAGGCCTGGTGGTGACAAAATCTCTCAGCGTTTGCTTGTCTGTAAAGGATTTTATTTCTCCTTCACTTATGAAGCTTAGTTGGCTGGATATGAAATTCTGGGTTGAAAATTCTTTTCTTTAAGAATGTTGAATATTGGCTCCCACTCTCTTCTGGCTTGTAGAGTTGCTGGTGAGCAATCATCTTTTAGTCTGATGGGCTTCCCTTTGTGGGTAACCCAACCTTTCTCTCTGGCTGCACTTAACATTTTTTCCTTCATTTCAACTTTGGTGAATCTGACAATTATGTGTCTTGGAGTTGCTCTTCTTGAGGAGTATCTTTGTGGCATTCTCTGTATTTCTTGAATTTGAATGTGGGCCTGCCTTGCCATATTGGGGAAGTTCTCCTGGATAATACCCTGCAGAGTGTTTTCCAACCTGGTTCCATTCTCTACGTCACTTTTAGGTACACCAATTAGACGTAGATTTGGTCTTTTCACATAGTCCCATATTTCTTGGAGGCTTTGTTCATTTCTTTTTATTCTTTTTTCTCTAAATTTCTCTTCTCACTTCATTTCATTCATTTGATCTCCATCACTGATACCCTTTCTTCCAGTTGATCGAATCAGCTACTGAGGCTTGTGTATTCGTCACATAGTTCTCATGCCATGGTTTTCAGCTCCCTCAGGTCCTTTAAGGTGTTGTCTGCATTGGTTATTCTAGTTAGCCATTTGTCTAATTTTTTTTCAAGGTTTTTGACTTCTTTGCCATGGGTTTGAACTTCCTCCTTTAGCTCAGAGTTCTTTGATGGTTTGAAGCCTTCTTCTCTCCAC
Organism: Homo sapiens; assembly: GCF_000001405.40. Taxonomy (NCBI): domain Eukaryota; kingdom Metazoa; phylum Chordata; class Mammalia; order Primates; family Hominidae; genus Homo; species Homo sapiens. The sequence continues at coordinate 9,880,984 of NC_000024.10, read as the reverse complement.
TTGTCAAAGTCATTCTGCATCCAGCTTTGTTCCGCTGCTGGTAAGGAGCTGCATTCCTTTGGAGGAGGAGAGGTGCTCTGATTTTTAGAGTTTCCAATTTTTCTGCTCTGTTTTTTCCCCATCTTTGTGATTTTATCTACCTTTGGTCTTTGATGATGGTGACGTACAGATGGGGTTTTGGTGTGGATGTCCTTTCTGTTTGTTAGTTTTCCTTCTAACAGTCAGGACCCTCAGCTGCAGGTCTGTTGGAGTTTGCTGGAGGTCCTCTGCAGACCCTGTTTTCCTGCGTGTCAGCAGTGCAGGCTGCAGAACAGCAGACATTGGTGAGCAGCAAATGTTGCTGCCTGATGGTTCCTCTGGAAGTTTTGTCTCAGAGGAGTACCCGGCCGTGTGAGGTGTCAGTCTGCCCCTACTGGGGGGTGCCTCCCAGATAGGCTACTCGGGGGTCAGGGACCCACTTGAGGAGGCAGCCTTACTGTTCTCAGACCTCCAGCTGCGTGATGGGAGAACCACTACTCTCTTCAAAGCTGTCAGACAGGGACATTTAAGTCTGCAGAGTGTTCTGCTGCCTTTTGTTTGGCTATGCTCTGGCCCCAGAGGTGGAGTCTATAGAGGCAGGAAGGCCTCCTTGAGCTTTGGTGAGCTCCACCCAGTTCAAGCTTCCTGGCTGCTTTGTTTACCTACTCAAGCCTCCTCCAGCCTCGCTGCTGCCTTGCAATTTGATCTCAGCATGCTGTGCTAGCAATGAGTGAGGCTCTGTGGGCATAGGACCCTCCAAGCCAGGCACAGGATATAATCTCCTGGTGTGCCATTTGCTAAGAGCATTGGAAAAGCACAGTATTAGGGCAGGAGTGACCCAATTTTCCAGGTGCCATCTGTCACCCCTTTCTTTGAGTAGGAAAGGGAATTCCCTGACCCCTTGTTCTTCCCGGGTGAGGAGATGACTCGCCCTGCTATGCCTCATGCTTGTTGCGCTGCACCCACTTCCTGCACCCACTGTCCGACACTCTCCAGTGAGATGGACCTGGTACCTCAGTTGGAAATGCAGAAATCACTCTTCTTCTGCATCTCTCATGCTGGGAGCTGTAGACTGGAGCTGTTCCTATTCGGCCACCTTGGCTCCACCCCCTCAAACTCTTAACTGATAGACTTGATGTCCATTGTCTTCCATATTCTGTTCCTGTTCATATAAATTCAACCTGCTTTAAAAATTATATTTGGTACTTAATGACTATAAGATAGACACTGTAAACCTGAGTATTCAAGGTGAATAAATCTGATCAGAAGCCAACTTCCAATCTAATCCAGAACTATATTTTTTCCACGAACTATGTCTAATCAGCCATGTTAAATTCTAAGTATGAAGGAAATAAAAATAGTGCATATATAGTTAAAGAAACAGCATATTGGAAGCAGAGGTTTGGTGGAATCTAGTGAATGTCACAAATAAGTAGAGAGCCTAGGACAAACATTTAGGGGCTGAATTAAGTAGGAGCCAGTCAAGGAGAATGAGAGAAGTCAGTGAGGTAGGAAGAAAACAAAATTAAACTTGACTTTACAAAAGACAAGGGAAGAAGATGTTCAAACAAAGAACGGATGTCCAACTCTTTAAGAGTGATAGGTGACCATTAAATTGGAAATATAGAAGTCACTGATGACCTTGACAAAAGCAAGATCAGTGGAGTGGACAGACTGAAATCTGGATGGTTTAAGGAGTGATCAGAATTTTGAGAAAAAAAGTGAGTATCAACAACTCTTTTTTTTTCTCTTTTTCTTTTTTTTTTTTGGAGGGGGGATGGAGTCTTATTATATCACCCAGGCTGAAGTACAGTGGTGCGATCTCATCCCACTGCAACCTCTACCTCCCAGGTTAAAGCAATTCTCCTGTGTAACCCTCCACGTCTGGCTAATTTTTGTTGTATTTTTGTCTCAGTCCAAAATCTCCTTAAGCTGATAGGCAGCTTCACCAAAGTCTCAGCATACAAAATCAATGTGCAGAAATCACAAGCATTCTTATACACCAATAACAGACAAACAGAGAGCCAAATCATTAGTGAACTCCCATTCGCAATTGCTTCAAAAAGAATAAAATACCTAGGAATCCAACTCACAAGTGATATGAAGGGCCTCTTCAAGGAGAACTACAAACCACTGCTCAATGAAATAAAACAGGATACAAACAAATGGAAGAAAATCCCATGTTCATGGGTAGGAAGAATCAATATCATGAAAATGGCCATACTGCCCAAGGTAATTTATAGATTCAATGCCATCCCCATCAAGCTACCAATGATTTCTTAAGAGAATTGGAAAATACTACTTTAAAGTTCATACGGAAACAAAAAAGAGCCCGCATTGCCAAGTCAATCCTAAACCAAAAGAACAAAGCTGGAGGCAACATGCTACCTGACTTCAAACTATACTACAATCTACAGTAACCAAAAAAGCATGGTACTGGTACCAATCAGAGATATAGACCAATGGAACAGATCAGAGCCCTCAGAAATAATGCTGCATATCTACAACTATTTGTTCTTTGACAAACTTTACAAAAACAAAAAATGGGGAAAGGATTCCCTACTTAATAAATGGTGCTGGGAAAACTGGCTAGCCATATGTAGAAAGCTGAAACTGCATCACTTCCTTACACCTTATAAAAAATTAATTTAATATGGATTAAAGACTTAAATGTTAGACATAAAACCATAAAAACCCTAGAAGAAAACCTAGGCCATACCATTCAGGATATAGACATGGGCAAGGAGTTCATGTCTAAAACACCAAAAGCAATGGCAACAAAAGCCAAAATTGACAAATGGGATCTAATTAAACTAAAGAGCTTCTGCACACCAAAAGAAACTACCATCAGAGTGAACAGGCAACCTACGGAATGGGAGAAAATTTTTCTAATCTACTCATCTGACAAAGGGCTAATATCCAGAATCTACAATGAACTCCAACAAATTTACAAGAAAAAAACAAACACCCCATCAACAAGTGGGCGAAGGATATGAACAGACACTTCTCAAAAGAAGACATTTATGCAGCCAAAAGACACATGAAAAAATGCTCATGATCACTGGCCATCAGAGAAATGCAAATCAAAACCACAATGAGATAGCATCACACACCAATTAGAATGGCGATCATTAAAAAGTCAGGAAACAACAGGTGCTGGAGAGGATGTGGAGAAATAGGAACACTTTTACACTGTTGGTGGGACTGTAAACTAGTTCAACAGTTGTGGAAGTCAGTGTGGTGATTCCTCAGGGATCTAGAACTAGAAATACCATTTGACCCAGCTATCCCATTACTGGGTATATACCCAAAGGATTATAAATCATGCTTCTATAAAGACACATGCACACGTATGTTTATTGAGGCACTATTCATAATAGCAAAGACTTGGAACCAAGCCAAATGTCCAACAATGACAGACTGGATTAAGAAAATGTGGCACATATACACCATGGAATACTATGCAGCCATGAAAAATGATGAGTTCATGTCCTTTGTAGGGACATGGATGAAGCTGGAAACTATCATTCTCAGCAAACTATCTCAAGGACAAAAAACAAAACACTGCATGTTCTTACTCATAGGTGGGAACTGAACAGTGAGAACACATGGACACAGGAAGGGGAACATCACACACTGGGGCCTGTTGTGGGGTAGGGGGAGGTGGAGGGATAGCATTAGGAGATATACCTAATGCTAAATGATGAGTTAATGGGTGCAGCACACCAACATGGTACATGCATACATATGGAACAAACGTGGACGTTGTGCACATGTACCCTAAAACTTAAAGTATAATAAAAAAGTAAAAGAAAATAAAAAATAAAATAAAATATTAATCTCTCCAAAAAAAAAAAAAGAAGAGGGGGGTTTCACCGTGTCTGCCAGGATGGACTGCATCTCGTGATCCACCCACCTTGGCCTCCCAAAGTGCTGGGATTACAGACGTGAGCCACCGCCCACATCAACAATTCTTATAACAGGTTTTGCAGTGAGGAAAGCAGATAAATTAGACTGTAGATAGGGATTTAGGGTAAATAAGTATTTTATCATATTATTTTGAAGATGGCATTTTTTTAACATGTTTGAATGTTAACAGATATGATACAATACAGGAGAAACTGATGTTGCAAGAGAAATATGGTGCACCTGAAAGAGTAAAATCCTTGGGGAGTGAAGAAGAATGGGACCCAGTACAATTGTGGAACGACTGTCCCATCTCTTAGAAATGGGGACACTTTCTTGGTTTGAAATAAAGAAAAGGGGTATATTAACATCAGGCTTGGAGATGTCACAGTCAAAATATGGAGCAAGCTTCTTTTCATGGCTTCCTCCCATTTTCTCAGTGAGGTATACAATTGGAAACAATGAGATTGGGACAGGTGGGTATATAAAATTTAAGGAAAGGGAAGATATGAAAATGAGTTTAGAGATAGTGAAAAAGTGAACTTGCTATAGAAAAACAGTGGAAATTCCAGGAAGTATTGAGACTTAATTTGAGTTTTGAGAACAATTAAAGTTAAACTAGGGTGGCTGATGATTTGATTTTCTCCAGCTATGAAGAAAGGATAACTAATGTGCAGAGCAAAAATGGGACTTAACTTCATGATTTCTGACTCTACAATATTCTTTGGACTATACTATATTAATGGTATTTTCTTTTAAATTCACTACAAAAGTCATAGCTCAGGTTGTAACTGAGTAAAATATTTTCTTCAAATTAAAAAATATATATCCAAGTGGAGGATAAGCAGCAATACCTTTGGAAAGAAATTGAAAAGGCTTACAACATGAAACATTTGTAGCTTGTATGCTAATCAGCATATATTTCACTCCCTGTAAATATTGCAAAATATCCATATGCTTATGTTGCAAAATCCTTCTTGGAGCCTTGTAATAAGGCCAGTGGACCATGTTGTTAGGCACAATGTAACCGCTTTCATTCTTGGCCCCAAACAAAGGACAGCAGGCTGATAGTGTTAGAGCTAATTAGCACACTATTCATCTTGCCTTATGCTTAGAATGCCTAAAGGAATCTTCCTTTTTCTGGCTGATGATAAAACAGAATCAGTCTCTTTTGCTCTCTGATTTGAGTCATTTATCAATCATCATTCTGCAGACACACTGAGAAGCAAAGAATGTATACACATATACATGTTTTTGTTAAATGTTTTATGGGGTTATATATGTTTTTTAGCAGGCGTGTGTCTGTGTGTGTGTGTGTGTGTGTGTGTGTGTGTGTGTGTGTGCTTGGCAACACAATATAATGAAAAGAAAAGTGGGAGGGGTTGAGGAAAGCGAAGTCTGGAAACTGAGTACAGCTATTCCTGGAGAGACAGAATGGTGTAAAATTAAAAGCATGGGCTCTGGAGTCAAATTTCTTGGCCTGAATCCTGGCTCTGACACTTATTAGCCACATGGCCCTGGCCAAGTTACTTACCTTCCCTGGACCTCAGTCACCTTATTTGTTGCATACAAATAATAGTAGTACTTAAAATAAAAAGTTGTTGAAAGAATTAAATGAGTTGATGTTTGAAACTCTAGTATTTACCAGCTGGTGATCCTGGGAACATCATTTAAATTCTTAAGTTTCAATGTCCTTACAGTAAAAATACCTCCAAAGCCTCCTCTGTTTTGCATTTTTTTTTTCCCTTTCACAGATTTTACATTTTCTGGTATTTTGGCAACAGATTCATGGTTACATAATATTGTATTAGTTACAAAATTTCCTCTACCTTTACGCAGATTAACTAGACTTCAGTTGCACTAATTAAGAGAGCATTAGCTGAGTCAAACGATAATAGATAAGTTATAATTGATGTCAAAATTCTACCTCATTATATTACCTTCCAAATCATATCCCAAGTTTTCTTCTATTTTGAGAAACATCACTCTACATACACATAGAACAAAGATTGATTTTGCAGATTAGCATGATTTTAATAGAGCAAATTCGACCTTCAAATCTGATAAGCACTTTCCAATCCATAAAACACTGTCAGAAAAAAACTGTCTATCAGGTTAGACACATTTCACAGAGCCTATGAAGTTGCAAATCACTTATGCCTCCCTCTTGTGTTACCAAGATAACGTATAGCACTACATAGTGTTTCTTAGCTTGAAAGAGCTTAGGAACTTAATTAATCCCTAGACTACCTAGTGAGAGAGTGGTAAGAAGCCCCTTGAAGAGATCATTTAACTACATAATTCACTCTTGCTTAAATGTAATTCAGCATATGTGTCATGTTGTGTTCTACTAGCTTTCTATTTCAATCTTCAGAGAAATAATATTTATGTGTGAATGTATGATGCATAGGCAACTATTATGAACAAAATTATGTAGACTGCACTCTGTCTGCCACTAAAAGCTAACAGATATATGTACATCCAACACATTAAAAAAATCTGGTACATTCTGCTGGATTTTCTTTTCTTTTCCATTTTATATCTCATTTTCAGGTATTTCACAGTGGCCTTCTTAGATTTGAAAAGGCTAAAAATTTTAAATAAGGAATATACAATTCTCTTGTTAATTTTTATAATTACTTTAATTTTTTGGAAAGTGTATTAAAAGTAAATGTTTATAGATGAATATAAAAGAATATCGTATGTGAACACTTCACCCAAATGAAAGAATATTTATTTATTCTATTTAGAATTCTCTCTAGTAGGATTTCCTTCTCTGCAGGTAGCTGGCTACAGGGATCTACCAAAACAAATCTATTTCTGCAGTAAATACCAACACTTGGTTACTCAGGAAATAACTCTTTCAGTCTGCAAAACACTACATATCTTTTCCCTGAGCAGGATAAATTCTTATACAGTTTTACTGTTCTACTAAAATTTCAATTAAAGTTAACCATTTTCATTTTTATTGCAAATAAAATCTGGTTACTTTCTAATTACTTGCCCGAAATCTATTCTCTATAACTTTCTAAAATTACATAGACATACACACACCCATACAAAAGAAACAGTACAACTGGAAGAATAACCAATGTGTGCATGTGTTCTGTTTTAAAAAAATTTCTACTGTACTATTTGCATTAAGGTTATAGTTGTAATTCAATCAATGACCCATTTTAAATGAGTGGCTAGGACATCACTGGAGAAAGTGGGTGCAATGCAAGAAACATTTCCCTATGCATTCACTTTATTTGTAAATACATTTATACTGTATAGTTGAAGTGGTTAACTTTGTCGTCAAAGACTGATACTGGCAAAAGTTTTGTTTCTTAATATGCTCTTCTTTAATTTTTTCCAGAATGTTTCAAAATGTCATTCATATATTTATTCTAATTTCTTCTGGGAATAGATAGCTAAAGAAAAATGGAGAAAACCATTTTTTCCTATAAGTTTATCATCTCTTGAGTGTCAAACTTGTCATGAAAGGAGAGATGCATCTGCTGCTCTTACTTTAAGACCAGACTTTCCACCAATAGATTATAAATGTGAAAATATCTGCCTACTTAAAGCCACTGTTCTGAAGAAAACACTATTACAGTCTGAGATTGAACCCTAAGGATTGGCCTTGGGAACTTTGAGATTTTGGTCAACTAATTTCTAAGCTAATTTCTAAGGATGATCTCAGTTGCAAGAGTTATTGACTCTTTAGTCAAACACTCTATCACAGAAAATCTAACCTTGTGGGCCATTTGGTTATGAGACGGTAAAAAATAATAAAAATATTACTGGGATGCAGATAGCCAGTACTATAGCTCTTCAAGGAAAAATACTCTCAGTAACAATATGAAAGTTTGTCTGAATTTCTATTTCCACACTATGATTATTATGCCACATTTTGTAGCATTTCTGTAAATTATTTCTGGTTTTGAAAATCTTTACTTTTGAATGAGGATTTGTCTTTAAAAATTAATATTGTTCCATAGGACCATTTGCTTGTATAAATTATGCAACATTTTATGGGAGCTCATACATGGACATCTCATAGAAAGCAAGTGATGAGACAGATGTTTGAGATGCATTAGGGTGGATGAAGCGGAAGCACTGTTTCTACTCTCTGGGTCTCTCACTTCCAATAAGACAAACTACAAAATAATTTCATATAAGAGTTTAAAAAAGAATGACTCAATCTGTTGTGTCTGATTGTTGTTTTGTATCCCATAAACACTTTATGCTATATCTAAGACTTAAGGTGTTTTAAACATTAGATATTGTCTTTAGGACACCAAGTGGAGGCAGGGCAACACAAGCAGGTGCTGCCTGGGGGATCTTATCTAATGAAAGAAGTCAGCAACAGGCAGCTGAAAGGGTAGTGGTCCAGTGCCAGGTGTTTAGCTGAGACTTGTATAAGTTTCTCAGAAACTCTCACAAGTATCTGAGGGAAATGAAACTGGTTTACCAATGCTCTTTTAAAAAAATCAGCTAAAGAACATCCTATAGTGTCCTGAGGAGAAAAGTGAGCAAGGCACATAATTTGAGATAGGAAAAATAGTAGGTGATTGCAGGAGCATAGAAAATCTCAGACAGGTGTTTCACATGACTAGCAAATATACACTGTTAAAATAGCCACATAAAGTAGGAGATGATAAGACTGTGGAAAACCAGGGTGTGGGCAAATCTGGCTAGGAACAGCTGGTTGAAATTCAACATGGTGTGGAATTTCATCTAGGTTTCGCCTTAGAGAAAATAGCCAAAAATTCACTGCTACTACCATGCAGCTCTGCTACTACCATGTAGCAGAGCAACTAATCAAAGGCAGCAACTGCCTAACTATGGCTGGTTCACATGTGAAAAACAGAAATCCCTTTTTGTTTAATTCATGCTTACTTTTTTCTGCTATATGAAGTAAAACACATTCCTTAATGACAACATGTTTCATTTTCTATCTTACTCTTCACCATTTATTTTCTTCTCACATTACTTATAATTTGTAACTTATTTTGTCAAATATATGAAATGAGGTAACACGGCAGTATTATAGAAAGCACACTGCATTGAAAACAGACTTATATTGAAACGGGAAAACATCGCTTTTACCCTTCCCAATGGAGCTTGCAATGAGGACAGGTTGTGGGGCTCTGCTCCCAGGCAGTGTCTAGGGATGAATGTTCACAGATCTGGAATTGCCAGAGGTCATGTGTTACATGGTGTTATTTTAGTTTATCCATCCGTAGGTGGCTTGAGTTAGTCAGCTCCATCAGACACCCTGCCTTACTGCAAACACAGAGGGCTATCTGAATCCCGGGGTTTCTTGCCTTGGTGTACCTGAAGAATTGGCTCCCACGTGGGCTTGAAGAATAAGTGCCAGGTTTCATTGAGTGGATGCTCTCAGCAGATAGATGGGGACCCACAAGGGAGATGGAGCAGGAAGGTCGGTTTCCCTTGGAATGGGGCAGCTCTGGACTCTCTTCCCACAGCCCCATGGGACTCCATGTTCTTCTGAGGTGGATGGCCTGCCACCTCTGTCCTTGTGCTTTCCTTCCTCTGGTGTCTTCTCAAGGTCCAGTTGCTGCGTCTTTTTCTGCTGATGGTTCCTCTCGACATCTGCGGCTATGTCACTGCCTGCTAGGGTCTCCAGGTTTCTTATATCACAGGATGGAGGTGTAGCAGGCCAGGGTGGTCTTGGGAAATGTTCCTCTCAACATCTGCGGGTATGTCACTGCCTGCTAGGGTATCGGAGTTTCTTATATCACAGGATGGAGGTGTGGCAGGCCAGGGTGTTCTTGGGAAATGCAACATTTGGACAAGAAAACAGAAGTGTTTGTCCTCACCTATGTGAGTGAACACAGGTCTGAGGGTGGAGCCCTAACCAAGGACCATGCCCTCCCCTACCCAGCACTTCTCTACCCCCTTCCATATCAATAGTTTTTATTTAAGTCTCCAAAAATGATACCCAAATTCTTTAGAGAAGACAATTGGAGGAAATAGCATTAGAATATTCTAGGATTAGGGTCACTAAATAGAAAATGAAAACAGAGAGCATGTCCTGCAGGCCATGGAATCACTGCAGAAACATATCCCCTGCTGAGAAGGAGAGGGACACACACTGGCTTCTCTAGTCTTCTTGTTCTCTAGTCTCTTCACTGTCACCCCTCAACTGAATTGAAACAGGAAGTAATTTTTATGGGAGCCTAGGAACCATGACTCACAGAGGCCAGGCCTCTCTATTACAGAGCAGTGCCAGGAGATGTGATTGATGTATCTGTGGGCATATAAACCCATAATCAAGGCTGACATCTGGGGGTGGTTCGCAATCTTGATTTAGGTCAAAGAGGCTTTAGATGCCATGGAAGGAAAAGCTAGAAACAACAGGGAAGAAGGCCTAAGAGCACCCAAAGGCAGGGGTATGGAATTTATCAGATCTGCTTCCATGTATGACCTCCCTTTCCCCTCTCCCTCCCCCTGAATTAAGGACTCTTGGGTTCACGGAGAGTATGTAATTCTGAGGCTGACTGCACTGATATTGGGAGGGGAAATTTGCAGAGAGTTCCTGGTGTCTAAGGAGTGGCAGAATCTGCTTATACCCAAAGACTCCCAGTCTCAGATCAGACTAGTAAGGGGGAGCAATCACACACCCTTAACAATATCTTGATTCACAGAAAAACCTGTTCTGGTGAGAACTCGCTTCTGCTCTTCAAAAAGATGCCCCAAACGTCTGATGCTCAGCATCAGGAAGGGTTTCTCCGCTGCATGCAGGAAGATAGTACCCGCCTCTGCTCCGGCTTTTTACAGCCACATGTGTCCGTGGCAACCCACGTTTCCTCCCCAAATGGTCACATCGACGCCGAGCTGCCCATCAGTTACTTACACTTCCCCAAGAGCACCTCTCAACTAGATAGGCAGAAGAAACACTGAAAATGATGCAACACTGGCCCAGAAGCCAGGGATGCTCTGGATGATGGCGCCTCTGCGGTCCAGCTGGGGCTTGCGCCTCTGCTCCATCTTTCTCCTCTCCTGAGAAAAGGTATTCCTGGCTCGGGCATTAACCAGCTCCAGCCCCACCTGAACGACCAGCAGCTCCACCAGTGCAGACTCTGGGGTCATGGGCCCAGGGCCAGGCTGTGCCCGTTGGTCCTCCTCCTGCAGCTCCACGTCGGCCTCCTCCTGGGCCACCACCTTCGTCTCCGCCATTATGTTGTCTAACAGCAGCACAACTCCTCCTCCAAGGCTGCCTCCCCGCTCTGCGCACCGGGAGCCCCCTCCTGTACAGCCTCCATCCTGAAGACAGTGCCCTTCTCCGGACTCCCACAGACCACCGCCTGTGCTGCCTGACCCACACCACAGGAACCCTGCCGCTGCCCTTACTGGAGCCTGTGGGTCGGAGGGCCCTCAGGGCGCATGCACTGGGCTCCAGGCTCCCCCAACAGACTTCAGGCAAACGGCGCCAGGAGCCGCGCCAACACCACCCGCCTCCCCCCGCGGTCAATCAGTCGGAGGGCGGTGGGCGTCTCCCTGGGCGGCACCAACCCAGGTTGGCCTGCAGTCCCAGCCTCCTGGGGTAACCCTCCTCTGAAAAGCCCTTGGAGCTTGTGCCAGGTAGCGCTGCGTCCAGGCACACGTGGGCTGCGTGGCCTTTGGAATTGCGGGCATGGGAGACCTGTGCCCTAACTGACATCCTGAATGTGGCAAATCATTGACCCACAAGGAGCACATGAAACATCTCATTTCATTAGGCAAGCCAGGTAGATGATACGGAATATTGCAGATCCAGAGGAGAACTCTCTCTGGCTGCTGGGGCGAGGGCAGTGGGGGTGGCCTGGGGAAAGTGGGTCGGGGCCGACGCTAGGGAGGAAAGTAGCCGGGTTATGCTTGGGTGGAAGTCGTCGCCTCTAGAGGCCAGAACCCCGGCAAGCGCTCTCGCAGGTCGAGGCAAATACAGGCTCCGCGTACCATGCTTCCTCCGTGAGGATGCTGTACTCCGGGGAGCATTCCAAAGTGCCTCTCGTCCTATGCCCTAGGCACACCGGAGACCAGCCGCCAGGTTGGCCGTCGATATCCTGCGTGCACACAATTGTACGCTGCCTTGCAGACCTAGAGGCTCCCGCACGTGCAGCAGCGGCTGCGGTGCCTGCTGGTGGGGCTCTGCAAGCCCAAGGCCTTGGGCTGTGGCTCCTGAGCTCCTGTGCGCAGTTGACCCTGCTGGGGACCTGAGCCCCAGGTCAAGTGCGGCGATCTGCGGGCCCAGCCGGGCTTTTCAGGAAACCTGCGTCTACGTACCTGTGGGACTAGGTTCTCAGCAGGGCGAGGTCTGTGGGCCTTCCGGGGAGCGGGCCTCCTGGGGAGCGGCCCCAGAGCCTAGTGGTGCCGGGGATGGGCTGGGCTGCACAGACCGGGGTCTGCGGGAGTACCCAGGAGGGCACAGTGTTCAGGCGGGAGGCTCTGCTGGAGAGGACGGCCCGGGTACAGAGCAAGGAGGCGGCCTTGAAAGAGGAGGCGGTGCTGATGGTGGAAGACATAATGGCTGAGAAGGAGGTGGTGGTTAAGGAGGAGACCAATGTGTAGTGGCAGAAGGAGGACCAGCGGGCACAGCCTGGCCCTGGACCCAGCAGAACCGGGCCGTGAATGGACTCTCTGGAGGTCCTTCACTTGCAGCTGGGCTGTGAATGGGCCAGGCCACAGGGCGTCTCCGGCTTCTGGGACAGAGCCATATCCTTGCAGCTGTCCATTCGGTATTGCTGGCAGCAGGGGATGGGCATCAGGCTTCGGGGTGGGGGGCATGGGGGCTGGGTTGGGGGAGGAGCCAGGAGGGAGGCGTATGGGGTGAGCCAGGAGGCAGGGGATGGGGCACAGGTTGGGAGCGGAGGCCAGGTTCCTGCAGATAGGAGGCTAGCTTGCTTGTGGGAGCCCCGGGAGCACGTGGTAGGGAAGGGAAGCCAAGCACAGTACTCACAAGGAGGAATCTCGGCGCCAAGGGTCCTTCACTCACAGCACAAAGTTAAGGGGCACGTTTCCCTGGGAAATGCCCTGGAGGAAGGGGAGTCTGCAAGCTCGGGCCAGCTAATGAACCACCCCCGCTTTTAGTGCCTGTTTCCACCAGGCTCACCCCAGAAACACAAGGTGCTAAAGACTCGAGTTTGTGGTGCATGGGGCTGCTGACCTCCTCAAGGCAGGTACCAGCTCCCCAGATAACGCTTTCTTTCCCCTGCGGGCGCTGCACCAAAAGAGGTGTAGGCCCCGAGCATATATAAACTCCTTTGCACCCACACAATTCCCATGGGGAGCACCAGGCAAAATCCTGCAAGCTCCTTCTACCTACAAGGCTTCCCTCAAGTGGACAGGCACACCCTCAGGGAGTCCAGGATAAGAGGACACCACACACCCAGATATCAGCAGAGCATGTCCAGAACCCAGCACACAAGGGCCTCCTGCAGCTCATGAACCCTGAGGAAGCAGACACCTCATACCACCCTGCCTTCCCCCATCCCTCCCTCAGCCAAAACCACCTGCCCACTCATTCTGCTTCCTGTCCCTGGTCAGTGCAGGCCAGCTTGGCCTGGCTCCACCCAACCAAAAACCACCACAGTCGTGGTGTTGCCTTCTTGCCAAAGACAGGGGATCAACAAGAGAGGGTGACAGGCCAAATGTCTGGAAGATAGCCCTGCTCCACATTCTCTGTGATCTTGCAAAATTGCAGGGTGTCACCACGCTTGCCCAACCAATCATCTGGAGGCTCCTTGACCAGAGGTAGATTGCTTGGCAAGCCCAGATGTCGGCCTAGGTCAGAAACCATGATGAAGTCCTGCTTTGCTACATGATGGATTTGCAGGTCAGGGTGGGGAGCCTGGGTCTGTGGGAGTGGTCCAGTTTCTGAGTCAGTTTGAGGTTCCCCTGGGGCCTGGGGCTGTCTCAGTGGCAGAGCTGGAAAGGGGAAACTCATCCTTTACTCCAGATGGCAGCCCACTTCAGCCCAGCTAGATGAAATGGTCCCGTTGAGTCCATCCTCTTTCTTCTTCTTGATCAGACAGGTGGAGGAACTCAGTCATCCTGGTTACCGGCGGCTGGATGAAATTTCCTTTCATCACAACCTTTACTTCCACAATGAAGTTATCATTAAGGAATACTTCTTTGGCATCCTGGGTAAGAAGTGCCTCTCAGCATGGTAAGGGAGCTGGTGTGTGAGAGGGTAAGCCTGTCATGAACCTCCCTGACTCCTCTCCCTGCAGGGTACAGGGTGTCTCATTCCACTGCAGTCCAGTGGGATCATGAAGGTCAAGCCTCCAGCTGTAGGCAGAACATTGCCTACCTGAGCTTGTTCAGCTGTTTGGCTGAATATGACTGCCTGGGTTTTGGCAGGATTGCTGAGGTGGGGTCCGTGGTGGGGCATCATGGGAAAGGACCTTGCTGCTCATTCCTTGGCCTCTTGGGAATGGGCTTTGAACTGTGACCTGACCTGTTGTGGACCCCTTCTGCAGTTCCCCAGATCATTAGCCAGGGCCTATGGCTCAATCCATTGGAGTTCTACCCCAGGGAGTGAGGGACAGCATTAGAGAGGGAACAAAGAGGAGGCCAGGTGAGCAGCCTAGGTCTGGGAACTGAGAGGCCTTCGAGTCATGGATCTGTACCCTGCATGGAGAACTCAAGGATCATGGAGAAGACTGCAGTGAGCAATCCCAGGCCAACCATCGGTTTGGGAAGAAAGGCCCATCAGGGAACTGTAACACCCACATTTTAGGATTGGGGAACCCTAAGCCATCGACAATGCATATGTGTCTAATGTCAGTGAGAAGCAGGGCTTAAGGGATAGCTGTCTCATCATCACTCACCAGCTCCCTCCCCTGCCTTGAGGCCTGCTGCCACCTGGGGCTCAGATTGAGCTCAACCAGGGCCCTCTCCCTCTCCAAGCAGATGTGCACCTGAGGCCAATCTAGGTCTACACCCTTTCAAAATGTTTCTCCCAGGCCTGTCATGTTCTGTTTTAATGACCCCAGGCACCCCTGACATGCATTCTCCTCTCTGCCATCCTCACTTGCACTCCCACTGCCCTTCCTTCCCAGATAAGACAGGCCACTGTACAGGGAATCTGGAGGACCACACTGGGCTCCAGTGTGAGGAAATGTTCTATTTTCTGAATGTACATGTATTTTAGAGCTTCCTCCAGGGCTGTAAATGTGAAGAGATTACAAAATAGATGTGGACCTTCAGTGTGTGTCCAGGGAGGGAACCTGACTGGGAATTAAGGCCCACCTGAGTAATGGTGTGGATATCCAGTGTCAGTTATCTTGATAAAGACCTGCTTTGTTACATCACCTACTATTAATATAAAAGTTAATTTCTTAGAATATTGAAAAAGCCAATTTAAATACAAAGAAAAATGGTTTGTTCATAATTGTATGCAAAACCTGCGGAAGGATCCATTTTCCATTACAAATCTTATGTGAGACTTGAAGTATTTATCAAGGTTTAAGATACATTTTTATTGTTCTACTCTTGGCAAATTTTATGATCATTTTTGCAATACAGGAACATGGGCTCTAGAAAGTTTTTGAGGGACTTTCAGCTTCTTTTAGAGTACTTAGTTGTAAATTTTGAATGGTTTTCCCCTGTGGTTCTTTTCAGTTTACTATTTGTACTTTATATGCAAAGTGTTAAATTTGTTTTCTTATCTGCCCATTCTGGAACTTTTGTTTTCAAGAATTTTTTTTTTTCTGTTAGATATGTGAGTTTCCTGTGAGCACTTTTTCTAAAACAGATTTTTTTTTATTCGTTTGTGTGTGTGTGTGTGTGTGTGTGTGTGTGTGTGTGTGTTTTGAAATGGAGTCTCACTCTGTCACCCAGGCTGGAGTGAAGTGGCATGATCTCGGTTCACTGAAACCTCTGCCTCCCAGGTCCAAGCAATTCCCCTGCCTCAGCCTTCTGAGGAGCTGGGATTTCAGGTGCATGACACCAGGTCCAGCTAACTTTTGTACTTTTAGTCGAGACTGGGTTTCACCATATTTGCCAGGCTGGTCTTGTACTCCTGACCTCAAGTGATCTGACCACATAAGCCTTTTCAAAATGCTGGTCTTCCAGATGTGTGCCACCACACCCGGACTCATTTGTTGTTTACGTATTTTAATCCTTGATCTATTTTCTTCATGTACACATATTTTAGAGTTATTGAAATCATATATTTTACTTACTTAATACTTTAGTAGGATTTTAAAAGTCATGTCTTCATTCACTAAATACAGTATTGTGAATAGGTTAAACCTTGTATAGTATTGTCATTCTGACTTCCATAAATTATTCAAGAACTCTGATACTGTTTTCTCCCACCTGAGAAGAACATGCAGATAGTTATAAAAAATTGTGTGAGTGGGTAGGTATGAGCATTTAATTTGAAGGAATAGTAAAGTTCACAAACACAAGTTCACATTTGTATTTTGCATCACTTTGAAAATTTTATTTGCTGACATATGAAATTCTGTATTCGCCCTCATGTTAAATATACACTTTTGAATCAATTTCAAGAATGAAAATAATCCAAGGCCAAGCATTAGTTCAGGAAGTAAGTAGAAAGCAGTTGTTATGTAGAAAAAGCATATTTATTGAAGGTATATTTAGAGAGATTTTAGGAGGCTTAAGTCAATATTTTGTTTTTATTGCTCTGGTGTTTTATCATACTATGACCAGACTCTAGCATCACTAGTTATAGTCACAAGGCTACGAAAGTCTCAGAGGTGCAGTAATTATTATTGAAGTAAGTGGCACTGTGGTTGGCTGCTTAAGGAGACTAGAGGACTTAGGAGTTTACACCCAAGGCATAAAGGCCTAGTTTAGTGGGTGGCCTTCTTTTGCTGAAGTAGATATGACCCAGGAGAGGTGTGAACTCACTGTAGTAGCTAGGGCTTTGAGACTATTGAAGCTTATTTGTCTCCAACTGCCATTGCCAGATATTGGTCTACAAATAACGGCACTTCCTAGACTCACTGACTCCTGTAAATTCAAACGTAGAATTTGGATTTAAATCCCTATTCCAACTTCTTAAACTTAGATCTAATAAATGGATAAAAAATATGCATTCAGAAGAAAGTGAGACATCAGGTAACTACATAAGTAAATCATCCTGATGAAATACATTCAAAAGTATTACTACAAAAAATCACTGAAGATTAAACTTTAAAAAAGTTATTTAATTAGGGAAATAGGAAAAGGTTAGACTCATTTTAAACTCTGAGGTGTAAAGATACTATTATTAGAATATGAGAATTATATAAAATGTCTAATTTGTTTCAAGGGCAGCATGCCAGCAATTTAGCATGGCTAGAGATTAGTGACCCATGTAAGAAAACTCAGAGATTAACAACAAAGTGTTTTCAGAGATTTTTTCTGCAATTGAAGACTTTTAAAATGGTTTCCTGTTAATCAATGATTCACTTAAATTTATCATTTAGGCATATGCTGTATACCCTTGTATATAGGAACAAAGTTATAGTTTCTATCACTATAGAACTACTATAAAACTAGTTACTATAGTTTTATAGTAGCTAGAAAAAAAATTTTTGACTGTGTACCACATTTGCATTAGAGTCTTTGGCCTCAGTAACAAAGCAAACAATGG
The DNA here is from genome assembly GCF_000001405.40 of Homo sapiens. NCBI lineage: Eukaryota > Metazoa > Chordata > Mammalia > Primates > Hominidae > Homo > Homo sapiens. Next base: position 9,863,463 of record NC_000024.10, on the reverse strand, counting down.
AGCTGCCTATGTCAGAATCCAGGTGGGCACAGATGGAAGCTTGCATTAGTTGCGTCTTTAACATTTCTGGATTCTCATAAGTCTCCCCTAGAAAGAAAAATGGAGTATAGCTATCCTATAGAACATATTTTACAATTAAACACTAAGTATTGAGATAAAACCATGAATTGTCTATCACTGTATCATTATTACTTTAAACTTGTATGTATAACTTATAGAAAGAAATTCAGTTTATAGCCAATAATTTCATTCTCTTTCTAGTGACTTCATTTTTTTTTTTTTTTTTTTTTTTGAGATGGTGTTTCACTCTGTCACTCAGCCTGGAATGCAGTGGCCTGATCTCACTGCAACTTCCACCTCTTGGTTTCAAGCAATTTTCCTGACTCAGCCTTCTAAGTAGCTGGGATTACAGGCACACACCACCACTCCTGCCTAATTTCATATTTTTGGTAGAGATGGGTTTTCCCCATGTTGGTCAGACTGGTCTCAAACTCCTGACTTCAGGTTATTCGCTGGCCTCAACCTCCCAAAATGCTGGGAGTACAGGCATGAGCGACGACACCAGCCCCCTCTCTTTTTTTCTGAGACAAGTTATTGTGTGGTCACACAGGCTGGAGTGCATTGGCACCACCTTCACATGCTGCAGCCTCAAACTCTCAGTCTCAAGCTATCTTCCTGTCTCAACCTCCCACGTAGCTGGGACTACATGTGTGCAACACCACACCAGGCTATTTGTTGTTGTTGTTGTTGTTGTTCTTTAGTGATGAAGCCTTGCTATATTGCCCAAGTGGGTATCAAATTCCTGGGCCCAAAGGATTCTCCTAGTTCAAGCTCCCAAAGTGCTAGAATTATAGGAGTGAGCCACTGCGGACAGCATCATCACTCTTTAATCACTTTCTAAATGCCACTCTTCAAAAGTAACAAGTAAATTTTACTTATGAAATTCTAAACGCCAAGTCAAGTTCAGTTTAATTTTCATAAAGAGGGAAAAACAAAACAAACAAAAAAACTCCTTTTTCCTTTGTTTTGAAGTCAGCAAAGAGTTGGAAAGCAAATCATCTCTACTTTAGTTTACAAAATTGACTGTACAGGGAAAGATCCTCATGTAATTGTTTTCGGATCTAAAATCCTATGAAGTTATCATCAGAGCCATCATCTTATAAAATGAAAACAAATCTCCTATTGGGTCTCTTATGTGGATTAAATATCTTACACTTAGTAATATATACAATTGTGATTGTACTTCTTCCTTGAACCATAATATTAAAAATATGAACCTCATTTTTTAGAACTGCTACCCAAATAAGAAAACTAACCACTGACCTGGTGTAATAATTTGTGGCCCAGAGAGCCGGCATGCTGAACTATTCAGGTTCTTCAGATAGCCCAAGGGGGCTAAGAGCCAAATGGGAGTCTGGACATCTTGGAGGAGTAGTAATGCCAGGTCATTCCTTCTGCCCCACTGACCAACTGGAACCTCTCATGCAATAGAATACTAGACACCTTCACAACTCTCAATAATGCCCCACGGTGCCTCAGGCCCAGAATCACAGCGGTGTCTTCAGGATTCCTGTGTGCATAGGCAAAGATTTATTGTGGTACATTCATTAGAAAACCTGAACCTTACACGTACATCAGGCTTTCTAGCATATTTTTTAGTCATGATACACAAGGTCCCTAGCTCATCTTCAGAGAAATCAGAAATATATGAATAAATCCCACAGACAATGGGATTGCAGAGGAATTAACTAACAGAGGTACTAGTAAGCCACAGTAAAGCAATTTCTTTTCAGCCTAAAACAAAAATGATATCTGTAGAAGTGAGATGGTCATGCATTATTGAAGTGAATTTGGACACAGAAACCTTCAGCAATGTAATTATAGGATAATGAATTACAGGGTATTGGAAGAGGCAGGCACAATCTTACATGTTCCTGACATAGTGGGCAGCTGTGAGAACCCAAGAGCTACTAACTACGGAACCACTGCAGACCTGACTGCCACAGCTGATGATCCCAGCCTACCAAGGCATGGCATATTGCAGAGAAATCTGATCTGCTGAAGCTGAGGAGAAAAATAAGCTAATGTGCTAATTTGAATAGAATTGCCATCTGTAGACCATTATTTAAAGTTTTAAATCCCTCCTATTTCTGCTAACCAAGTCAGCATTGAGAAATATGACTAGCAAGGACAAACTTCTACCTCTTTTGTGTTTATGCATTTTTCTTGAAAATAAGTGTTCTTATTATCTTTCCAAGATCATAGTTTCTTTATGTCCTAGCTTAAGTTTCTTTAGTCAAAATACTGGGAGTCATTCCAGCTTTCTCCCCCATTGCAACATTTATTTATCTATGATTTTAGCTACTTAGAAGTCATTGAAGTAGATAGGCAACAAAAAATGCAATGATTTGAAGCTATTAGATAAATAGTGAAAAATCTGGAGATAAAGCACCTGTCTCTAAATTAGAGAGGGCTTATCTTCATAAACGTATAGTGTTCGTGAGATACCAATCCAATAGTTTAAATAGAAAATTCAAGTTTGAGTTTCAGAAAAGAGCTTATATTTTTGAAATGATTTTAGAGTTCCTCAGAAAATTGAGTTGAAGCAATGCTCCTGAATATATATAGAGAGATAACCTGTCTATAGAAAGGGTAAGCAAGTAGAGATGAAATTAGAAGCATAACTAATATCTTACATGTAGTTTTCTTTGAATTAGACTTGGAGGATGTGAGCAAATAATTATGGCCTCCTTTATGTTTTAAATATATTATTCACTGTAGCTATAGAAATAGGGGTAGCTATAAAATAGCTGTGGTTAAATGCACATTTAATTCATGAGACCAAAAGAGATCCCTCAATTTCCAAGGAAATAATATTTTGAAGGATGGCCGGAAGTAACTTTTGGTGTTCAAGATATTCCTTCTTCTCCCTGGCATTCACACCCCATGAATTTGTCAACTTACAGCCAGGCTCCCACGTAGCTTTCTTGGCCTCCACACAAAAAGTGAATTCATTTAGTTTTGGGCAAAATTGGTTACAAGTGCTGACTTGTAGGATGCTCAGGTGCTGTTTCTGCATAATTCCAGGACTCCTTGATAGAAAACAGAGAAGAGGTTTTTTTGTTTGTTTTCATACTTAGCCTAGATTAGAGAGAGAATATGGTGAAGAGAAAGACAAATACTTTATTATTCAAGAGAGAATAATATTCTCTTTCCAAACATGCTTCTCTTTCATCCCACTGTCTTCTTCATTACTCAGCCCACATAAGGGACCAACTAGATAGCCAACAGTCATATAGTTGTATAAATTTCTCCTGTTCCAGACTTTCCTTCAGGCATATAGGAAGGACCAGGGGTTGAAAATATGGTGGCTGCTTCAGGAAGATCAACCCAGGTCACAGAATCACTTGGAACCTAGGTAGGGTATGGCACAGTCAATGCTGACAGTCTGAGCTTGGGCAGAATCTAGAAGATGATTAAGCTCCACTTGGACCAGGGCCAGGGCTGCTGAGTTTTTTCAGGGGAAAAAAAAGTCAAGAAAAAGTCTTATTATTTCTACATTTCAATTTGAATAAAGCCCTGGAGGTCACGTGAATCAGATGAAGTCCAGGTAAGCACTAAAGTACAAATACTCCTTTAGAAACTATTTTCAAGGATCATTTGAGACCAGGTAGGCAACATGATAAGACTTTATTTCTGCTGAAAAAAAATTAGCCAGATGCAATGGTATGTGCCTGTGGTCCCATGAACTCAGGAGGCAGAGGTGGGAGAACTCCTTAATCTTGGTAGTTTGAGGCTACTCTGAATCACGCCACTGCACTCCAGCCTGGGCAATAGAGCAAGACCCTGTCTCTATCTCTCTTTCTCTCTGTCTCTTTCTGTCACATAGGCACACACACACACACACACACACACACACACACACAAAGGTAAATATATTCCTTTAGAATCTCAATGTTATTATTGCTTTATAATGATATCTTAATCTTAAGATAAATTTCTTAGACTTACATAAAATTGACACATCTAGCTGTAGTAAGGAAATAGTGTTCATTTAGTATGGAGCCAGCACAGAAATGGGAGACAGAACGTTGTACAGAAACTATTCAAGAGAATTCACCAATTTCTGACTCCCAGCGGTTGTGACAGTGGGTGATATGGCCAGGGCATAATCCACACTCTGCAGAAGGAATACACATGTGGAATAGAGTGAGATTAGTGTTACTACTATCCTATTTATAAAATATAATTTTAGGTTTTTAGGAATGTTCTTGGAAATTCAGTATCTTCAATTCTGAGAAAATACTTGGAAATATACATTATTCATGCTACAATTTTAGATATGCTACAGAGGTTATTTGGATACTTTCCCTTCAAATGATAATTTAATGTATATATAAATATATAATATATCTTATTATTGTATCCAAGATATTATAGTATTATCCAGTTGTGGGTGTATATATTCATATACTTCAAGTGGAATAATAAACCATTTCTAAGAAGTAAGACTATCTTAAAAATACTCTTCTCTGAATAGAATTGTGTTTATAAAACATAGCCCATAAATCCTGTTTGGCAAAAGTAAGATATTCTCTCAATATTTAGACATCTCTGCTGATTCATACAATAATCTAAATTTTGGTTTTGCAAAGGTTTGAGGACATAACCTCTGATCTTACAAACTGTGGTTTTAGGGTTCAACAAGAGTCTTCGTAGCAAGTATATTAACTCACACATATGACTAGTCTAAAGGTGCCTGTGGTTTCATGAGAAATAACAGCTGTCTTGAAGAGCCAGAAAGCCTGGAAACTTCCAGATTACAGCTAGTTGACACTCAACCGGGAAACATTGAGTTCTGATTGCTTAAGAGGTTTTTGTCCAGGATTGGGTCCAGATTGAAATCCAGGCATCAGGAGAAGTTGTTTTGTTGAAAGTGTGGCTGCAGCAGCATGCAAGGATGAAAAAGAATGAGAAATAATGGACTCTTCAGGAAATGTTGAGGAAGATATTTTCTGAAGAACATTAGTAGAAGAGGCTATGGATAGGAGAACAAGAGAGGAGACCAGAGGATAAATAACTGAGCAAGATGGGAAAATGAAGAATGAAGGGAATGTACAAGAAGAAAAGACTGAACAAGAAGGGCACAGTGTACATGGAGATGGAAGAGAATAAGAAAGAGGAAGGAAAATGGAGGAAGAAAGAGAGATAAGAGAGGTACCTGGACATCAGGGCTTTCTTTTATCTGGATAATTTTTAATTTCCTGCCGTAGTGCTGGTAAACACTCTTCCAGGAAACCAAGTACTTGTACGCTGGCTCAACTGGAGAGAATTGATTTTATCCTGGCTTTCGGTGGCAGTTATCTCAGTTAACAAAGATAAAATACTGATCTGGGTAAGAAACAGTTTTTACTGGCAAAAAGAGCACATGTTTAGACAAGGAGCCAAAATGACTCGTTAATAGTGTTTCTCCATTAGGCTCAATTTCAGGAGGAGAAAATGATGCAATTATATCAGCCTTAAAATGGTTTATGGGTCTTAGTATTTCTGTTTCAGGCTGGATCCATGTTCTTACTTTTCCCGCTTTAAAAATAGCAAAGGATTCAATAATATCAGCTTCAGACTGGATACAGTGTCTGTCTGCTTGGGTTACAGGCAGTATCCAACATACGAGTGTTCTTCCTATAAGCAAGGTCCGTGTTTTGACTACTGGAGGTAGAATCTTGGGTCAGAATCTTAGTAAGAAGGTTTCAGACTGGATAAAATGGTGAATTATGTCAACTTCCAGCTGGATCCAGGGACTGACTGTTTGAGATTTTGAATAAACCCATGATCTGCCTTTATTCATTTGAATGTAAAATGAAGATCTGACTATATTAGTTTCCTGCTCGATCGAGGGTCTCACTGCTTGGGTTTCAAGGTGGGTCCAGGTTTGATATGTAGCAGCTCTTGGCTGAGTCCAGGTCCAAAATGTACCAACTTCAGTCAGTGGCCAGGGAAAGAGCAGCTGACTTTCAGGATGAATCCAGGGTCTAACTGTATCACATTAAGTCTATAAGCAAGATGTGACTGTATCAATTTCAGTCATGTTTCAGGGCTTTATTCCTTGGCTTACAGTCCAAATTTGGAAAACTTCAGTTTCAGGTTGGTTCCAGGATCTTACTGAATTCATTTGAGTCTGGAACAGGTATCTTATCACTATATTGTCTTCAGGGTGGGTCCAGGGATGAATTTCAGAGTAAGTCCATGGTCTGATTGTAGCACGTACATGCTGAGTCCAGGAATAATTTATGCTAACTTGATTCTGGATCTAGGAGTGTGTCATTTGAGATCCAAGTTGGGTCCAGGGCCAAACAGAAGCGTTATGAGTTGGGGACCAACATGTCACCATACCTACCTCATGCCACATCCTAATTGCTTGAGATTCAGGCTCAGTCCATTGCTCTATTTTATCAGTTGCAGAATGTGTCTCGTGTCTGACTGTATTGGTTTCAGCATAGATCCAAGGTTTCAGAACATCACCTTCAGACTGGGTCCAGGGTATGACTGCATTCTTTTCAGATTGGTTCAATGGGCGGATTATTTGCCATTCTGGCTTCATCCAGGTAGTAACTCTTTGAGAAGAAAGTTGAGTACCACTTCTTCTTACATTGTTTTGGGTCTGAAACCAAGCACTCAGAGTATTAATGTCAGGCATGGTCAAGCATTTTGCTGCCTGCATTTCAGCCAGATATAATAGTGTGTCAGACAATGATTGTATTAATGTTGCCTTGAGTCCAGGGGTGGATTGTGCCTGCTTCAGACCGGATCCATAGTTTTACTGTATGAGCTTCAGAAATGGTCTGGGATCTCATTGTACCTACTTCAGATTGGGTACACAGGAAGAAGCCATCAATTTCAGACTGGATCCATGTTATAAATGTTGTAGTTCTCTGTTTGGCCCAGGATTCTATTTTACCAGGTCCAAAGGGAGTAAACGTGCTCAATGTTTGAAATTCTGACTGAGCCCAAGGTTTTATTTTTTCTGTTCCAGTTTTAAACGAAGTTCTTTAACTTGAGCTTCAGGTTGGGACCATGGTTTTGCTGCTTGAGGCACAGCCAGTATCCAGGATATAAGTGTTCCAAACTCAGGCAAGGTCCATTCATCGATATTTTCAATTTCATGATGTGTCCATAAAATAGATGCTTGATTTTCATCTTGGATCAAAAGTTGCGTAGTATAAGGTTAAGGCAGCAAGGAAACTCTATAAATATTTTAGCTTCAGGCAGTGCCTAGAGTTTCTTAGCTTCAGTTTTAACCATCATCCAAAATGAGCCCATATCACTCTGTGTATAAGAATTTGCATCTGGAAAATCATCATGAGTCCACTTTGTGTCTGTGGAAGCTGTGGCCTCTGTCCATGTGTTTACCACTGGAGACTCAGACTGAGATCATGGGGTGATTGATTTGGACACAGGTAGTGTCCAGGTTTTTCCTGCTGAAGGGATACCCTGGGTCCATGGTAACACTGAGGAAACTGCAGCCCATGCAGTTTCTCAGCCCATGCATGCCTCTGGATTTTCTGCTGAAGTTTCATCATAGTTCCATGATATAAGTATATCAGATACAGTCTGTGTCCAGGTAATTCCTACTGGAGACTGGGCCAGAAGTCACAGTATAATTTTGTCAGATACTGGCTGTGTGGAGGTAATGACTGCAGAAGATTCAGCCTGCACCCACAGTGCAACTATATCAGATACAGAATGTATCCAGGGATTTGTTGCTAGAAGTAAAGCTTTGATCCATGGGGTGACTTGGTAGCTATTGCCTCTATCCATGGATTGACTGCTAGAGATACAGGCTGGGTCCACAGTGATAATGTATTAGATATAGGCAGTATCCAAGGATTTACTGCTGAAAATTCAAATTGGATCAATCCTATGTATGTCTCAGATACAGGCAGGATCCATGTAATTAATGCTGCAGATTCAGTTTGGGACCATAATCTGATTGTATTAGATGAAGGCTGTGCCCAGGCCTTTACTGTTGCAGATACAGCCTGTGCCCAAGTTGTAGCTGTATAAAAAACAGGCTGTGTCCAGGGATTTATTGCTGGAAATTCAGCCTGGGTCCAGGGTATAACTTTGGAAGCTACAGCCTCTGTCCAGATATTTACTGGTAGACATTCAGTTTGATGCCCTGCTTTAAGTGTACCATGTAAACTTTATGAAAAGAAGATTAATGATGGAGTTACAGGCTGTGTACACACTGTGAATGTATCAGCAACAGACTTGGTCCATGGATTTACTGCCAAAAATTCAGTCTGTGTCCATGGTATGACTGTGTCAGTCTCATCCTGTAACAGAGGACTTGGGACTGAACATTCAGACTCTGTCCAGATATTTACAATTAGAGACTTAGACTGCATCATGGGATTTACAGCTGGAAATTCAGCCTCATTCCAAGTGTTTACTTATAGATATTTTGTTTAGGTCCATAGTGTGACTGTATCAGGTACAGGTTGTAACCAGAAATTGATTGCTGGTGATTTTGTCTGTGTCCATGTTATGAATATATCAGCTAGAGCCTCTCTCCTGAGAATTATTATTAGAAATACATCCGTGTACTGCAGTGTGTCTATATGAGTTACAGCCAATGCTAAGTGACTTATTGCTGGCAACAGATCCTGGGTCCATGATGTGACTTTCTCAGTTTTAGACTGTCTCCATAGATTTACTACTACATAAACATTCTTAGCCAATGGTTTCACTCTATCAATAAGTATATGTACAGAGATTATTGATTTTAGAATGAGCCTGGGTCCACAGTAAGACAATTTCTGTTTCAAGCTTTGTGGAGGGATTTACTCCTACAGGTTCATCTTGGTTCTGTGGTATAACTGCAGCAGGTATAGGCTGTGTCCAGTCATTTACTTTTGGAGATTCAGTCTTGGTCTACTGTATGAAGGTATCAGTTTCATATTGTTTCCAGAGATTTATGGCAGGTAATTTGACTTGGTTCCAGAGTTTGATTGTATAAGCTATTGCCTGTGTCAAATGCTTTACTGCTGAAGATTCATCTTGGTCCCATGGTTTGATTCTATAAGATAGATACTGTGTAAAAGGATTCATTGCTGGAGAGTCATCCTGAATCCACAGTATAGTACTATCACCCAGAGACTGCCCAGGGATTTACAGCTGAAAATTCAGGCTTGGTCCACAGCTTGTCTGCATCAGCTGTTGTCTGTGTCCATGAATTTACTGCTAGAGAATTAACCAGGATCCACTCTGTGACTGTATACATTTCAGACTTTGTCCATGCATTTCCCTCTTTAAGTTCAGCCTAATTCCTTGGTAGGACCATATCAGCTGTAGCCTCTCTCCAGGCATTCATTGCTGGAGTTTCACCCAGAATCCATGTTTGAGTCCAAGATACTGGTGGATGTTCAGGGTGGGTCCATGATAGGAATATATCATGTGTCCAGGGACTTACTCCTAGAGTTTCAGCCAGAATCCATGTTGTGAGTATATCAGTTTCAGACTGTTTCCAATGATGTAATAATAGCGATTCAGCCTGGATACACATTATTATGACTGTATCAGATATAGGAGAATATATTCATGAATTCATCACTAGTGATTCATCATTGGTCCCTAGTGTGATTATATCAGTTACCTACTGTTTCCAGGAATGTATTGCTGGAACCTCAATCTGGGTTCACAGTGTTATTGCCTCAGTATCAAACTGTATCCAGTAATTTACTGCTGGCAAATAAGCCATGGTCCACAATGAGACTGGATTAAATTCAGATGGGAGTAAGTTATTTCCTTCTAGATATTCAGGCTGCAATTTTTCCATGGATTTATTGGTGGCATTTCATCAAGGGTCAATGGTATGACAGTTTCAGCTACAGTTTTTGCCCAGAGATTCACTGTTGTAAATCTATCCTGGATCCATGGTGTGACTGTCTTAGCTATACGAATATGTCAAGGGAAATAAGGCTGGAAATTCTTCTTGGTTCCAACATGTGACTTTATCAGATACAGAATGTGTCCAGAGATTCACTGCTGGAGATTTGGCAATAGTTCACAGTATGATTGGATCAGTTTCAGACTGTCTTCAGGATGTTAATTTTTGAAATTCAGCCTTTGTCCATGTTGTGACTGTATCTGCTAACATCTTGGTCCAAGAGTTTACTATTGGAGTTTCAGTCTGGGTCCACAGTGGGACTGTGTGAGTTTTAGATTGTGTCCAGGGATTTAATTCTTGAGACTCTCCCTGCATCCATTGTGTTAGTACGGTAGCTTTACTTTGTACCCAGGGGTCAATTACACCAATGTCTTTCTGATTCCAGGGTCTCAAAGTGTCATCTTCAGCTTGGGTCCACGATCTAACTTTAACACTTTCAAACTTGCCCCAGAGTCTAAATGCATAAGCTTCATGTTGTATCCAGTCTCTTAACTTATCAGTCACAGGTTGGTTCCAAAACCTCAATATTTCAGTTTCAGACTGTATCCAATGCTGATTTGTCAGAGTTACTGGTTCTCTCCACTGTGTGACTGTCTCTGCTTGAGATCAAAACAAAAGTTTGATGATATCAGCTTCAGTGTGATTTCGGGGTCTGGATCTATCACCTCCAGTTTGGGGCCTGGGTACCACTGTTTCCATCCCAGTTTGGGACCAGTACCTAACTGGATCTGCTTCTGGTTGGGTCCAGTGTTTTTCTTTCCATTCTTGAGTCTGGGTTCTGGGCCTCAGTATTTTAAATTTATGCTGAATCCAAGGTCTCATTGTTTCCATTTCAATTTGTAACTGTTGTTTAATTGTATCAGCTTTCAGGTGAGTCAAGAGTCTTCCTGATTGAGTTTCTGACTAGATTCACGTTAGGACTATGACTGTTTTAGGCTGACTTCAGGGTTTGATCATCTCAACTTTGGAGTGAATTGAGGGCTCAATTGCATTCATAATAGGATGTATTAAGATTCATGTCTGCATCAGGGGTTTCAGTAATAATAGCCACATGTTTACTCAATGGACTCAATCTATCTATTTGATTTGAGGGCCTCATTATACTGGTTTTCTGTTGTGTCCAAGCCCTAATATTGTCACCTTTTAACTTTGCACATGAAGAGTATGCAGTATAGAAGAAATCCAGAACTGAGTTGACTCAGGTTCAGTGAGAATCTAGTATCCATCTGTCCTTTCTATAATTTCTTGGGGATACAAATATATTCAACACTAGCTGACACCATGGTTCAAAGGTATGGGTTACTGTAGGATGCTGAGATCCATCTTCATTGAGTGATCAATGAGTCCATATTTCAATTTTATTAACTATGAAAAGTACTGGTGGAATCTAGTTGTAAGTTGCTGGTTTTGCACCAGGGTTAACTCTATGAGCTACATGATACTTTTGGTTTCTAGTACTCTCTTCACTGGATTTAATCTGCATCACTGTTCCTGTTTTATAAGCTAACAATTGTTTCTAAGTTTCAACTTCAGGAGTAATTTCTAGCCAAGGTTTAGCTACAAGTTGTCCATGAGATGGAACATTAATAAATTGAACTTGAGATTGACCAGTATCCATCTTAACAGGAACTTGAGATTCACCTATCCCACTTGAAAAGAGAAACCAGGATGTACCAGCATTAACTAATGGTAGAGTATGAAGCCTAATTGTACTAGCTAATGTATTAATCCAGAATCTTGCTGAATCAGTCACAGCTTAATATTTATAATCCATTGTATTTTTCTCAGGAAAATTCCAGGCTATAGGTTTAATATCTGTTTGGGAGTTCTGGAGTCCAGAAAAAAAAAGAAATATTGAGAAGTTTCCATTTCTGGGGTACTCCAGCATTCAGCTGTACCAGGATGATCCCGTGGTTTGGCAGCAGGAGAAATCCGGGATTGTACCATTGGGAATTTGCTAGCTGAGGAGAGGTGACCACTTTGAAAGTGTAATAGTCTATTGGCATGAAAAAATCTCTATTATTCTAACCAAAAAAAAAAAAAAACATTCAGTGGGGGTTCCGGTGCTTTCTGTACACTGGGGAAGTGCTTAATCTTCTCCTCCTTATTTGTTCTGAGAATCCATGAAAGATCAAATTGTCAGAGCCTGTATTAGAGGTAACTGTATTTTGTGGACTATCTTCTACTCCAGGAGAAAAATTGCAGGGTAGAGAAAAAAATACCCCCAGTGGTTTCTGGGATGCCTTGATAAGCCATCTCATTCAAGATATGTATTGGGCTGTCCTGATGACAAGAACGGGGTCATAACAGGCTTCTGAGGTATCACTAACCAGGCCTACTACTGAGGTATCACTGACCAGGCCTACTACTGAGGTATCACTGACCAGGCAGTGACTGCCAAAGAGGCAAAGAACAGGATGACCTTGCTGTACCTGAATGGTTGGAAACAAAGTTAACCATATATGTTAGAAATACACATAGATGTGTAGTATACATGTATTACAATATGTAATGCATAAATTACATATACATGCAATACATATATATTAATTATAAAATATACAGATACATATCTTGTATATGTTTATGAATACTTATATCAATAAATTATATAGTTTATATGGCTTATATATTAAATTAAAAGATACTAAACTATAAGTATAAATTTTACTTTTCTATCTCATGTACATTTCATATTACTTGATGGGCAGTAATAAATAATATATTGTACATACTTCAAGAGTTCCATATAACACTTAGGCATAAATAATTCTAACTGTGGTTAAAACAGTAAAATCAAGCACTAGAAGGAAATTAGAGGAAGGTTCTAAACAATACAAATTACCTACATACTCAACATCATTATCTGAATATTACTTATGCCTTTAGCCAAGCAGTCTTAGGCAAAGCACAACTTATACGATCATGTGAAATGACTGTTTGTGTCACCTCCTCTGCCATTACATTTGTTGATGCCATCATTATTTGTTTAGTCTCTCTGTTTAATTCTGATGCCCACTTGCAGCTTGCAGTTTGTTCTCCTAGTAGCCAGAATTATACTCAGAGTAAACACTTATTGTAAAATCGACTACATAGTTGGAAGTAAAACAATCCTCAGCAAATGCGAAAGGATAGAAATCATAACAAACAGTCTCTCAGGCCACAGTGCAATCAAACTAGAACTCAGTATTTAAAAATTCACTCAAAACTGCACAACTATGTGGAAACTGAACAAACTGCTCCTCAATGACTGCTGGGTACATAATGAAATGAAGGCAGAAATAAAGATGTTATTTGAAACCAATAAGGACAAAGACACAGCATACCAGAATCTCTGGGAAACATTTAAAGCAGTGTTTTGAGGGAAATATATAGCACTTTTAATGTCCAGAAGAGAAAGTAGGAAACATCTTAAATTGGCACACTAACATCAACATTAAAAGAACTAGAGAACAAGAAAAGCAAAAGCAACAAATTCAAAAGCTAGGAGAAGACAAAAATAAATAAGATCAGAACAGAACTGAAGGAAACAGAGACATGAAAACACTTCAAAAAAATCAATGAATCCAGGAGCTGGTTTTTTGAAAAGATCAACAAAATAGATAGACCACTAGCCAGACTAATGAAGAAAAGAGAGAAGAATCAGACGTAATAAAAAATGATAAAGGGGATATCACCATTGATCCCACAGAAATACAAACTACCATCAGAGAATACTGTAAACACCTCTATGCAAATAAACTAGAAAATTTAGAAGAAATGGATAAATTCCTGGATGCATACACCCTCCAAAATCTAAACCAGGAAGAAATCGAATCTCTGAATAGACCACTAACAAGTTCTGAAATTGAGGCAGTAATTAGGAGCCTATCAACAACAACAACAACAAAAGGTCGAAGAGTAGGTTGTTCACAGAAGAATTCTACCAGAGGCACAAAGAGGAGCTGGTACCATTCCTTCTGAAACTATTCCAAACAATAGAAAAACAGGAAATCCACCCTAACTCATTTTATGAGGCCAGAATCATCCTGATATCAACATCTGACAGAGACACAGCAAAATAAGAAAATTTCAGGCCAATGTCTCTGATGAACATTGATGCAAAAATCCTCAATGAAACACTGGCAAACCAAATCCAGCAGAATATCAAAAAGTGTATCCACCATGAAGAAGTCACGTTCATGCTTGGGATGCAAGGCTGATTCAACATGCACAAATCAATAAACCTAATCCATCACATAAAGAGAATCAATGACAAAAACCACATGATTATCTCAACAGATCCAGAAAAGCCCCTCGATAAAATTCAACATACTTCATGATAAAAACTGTCAGTGAACTAGGTATTGATGGAATGCATTTCAGAATAATAAAGCTACTCATGACAAAACCATAGCCAATATAATACTGAATGGCAGAACCTGGAAGCTTTCCATTTAAAAACCTGCCCAAGACAAGGTTACCCCCTCTCTCACCATTCCTATTCACCACAGTTTTGGAAGTTCTGACAAGGGCGATCAGACAAGAGAAAGAAAGTGTATTCAAAGAGAAAGAGAAGAAATCAAATTGTCTCTGTTTGCAGATCACAAGATTGTATATTTAGAAAATTGCACTGTCTCACCTCAAAATCTCCTTAAGCTTATAAGCAACTTCAGGAAAGTCTCAAGATACAAAATCAATGTGCATACATCACAAGCATTCCTATACTCCAATAGCAGACAAGCAGAGAGCCAAATCACAGTCATCTCACACACACAGTTGTTACTAAGAGAATAAAATACCTAGGAAAGTAACTCACAAGGGATGTGAAGGACCTTTTCAAGGAGAACTACAATCCACAGCTCAAGGTATAAGAGAGGACACAAATACGTGGAAAAGCATTCCATGCTCATTATAGGAAGAATCAATATCATGAAAATGGCCCTACAGTGCAAAGTAATTTATAGATTCAATGCTATCACCATAAAGTTGCCATCTGACAAGGGATAACATATTAATCTGACAACAGACCAATATCCACAATCTACAAAGAACTTAAACAAATTTACAAGAAAAAAACTAAACCAACCCATCAAAAACTGAGTGAAGGGTATGAAGAGATACTTCCCAAAAGAGGACATTTATGCAGTCAACAAACATGAAAAAAGTTCATCATCCCTGGTCATTAGAGAAACGCAAATCAAAACCACAATGAGATACTATCTCATGACAGTTAGAATGGCTATCATTAAAAAGTCAGGAAACAACAGATGCTGGAGAGGATGTGGATAAGTAGGAACGCTGTTACACTGTTGGTGGGAGTGTAACTTAGTTCAACCACTGTGGAATACAGTCTGGTGACTCCTCAAGGCTCTAAAACTAGAAATACCATTTGACCCAGCAATGTCATTATGGGTTATGTACTCAAAGGATTATAAATAATTCTACTATAAAGACACGTGCACACTTACGTTTATTGACACATTGTTCACAATAGCAAAGACATGGAACCAACTCAAATGTCCATCAATGATAGATTGGATAAAGAAAATGTGGCACATATACACCATGGAATACTAAGCAGCCATAAAATAAGATTAGTTTATGTCATTTGCACGGACATGGGTGAAGCTAGAAAGCACCATTCTCAGGAAACTAACACCAGCACCGGAAGCCAATCACCACATATTCTCACTCATAAGTTGCAGTTGAACAATGAGAACACATGGACACAGGGAGGGGAATATCATACACCAGGGCCTGCCAGGGGTGGAGGGCTAGAGGAGGTATAGCAGTAGGAGAAATACCTAATGTGTGTGACAAGTTGATGGGTGCAGCAAACCACCATGGCAGGTTTATACCAGTGTAACAAAACCGCACGTTCGATACATGTACCCCAGAACTTAAAGTATATAAAAAATACATATAGACATATACTATACATGAATTAAAATATATATAATGCATACATTTCATCTATATGCAATTCATATATATTATAAAGTATACAGATACATATATATGTTTTGGAACACTTATATTTATAAATTAGCTATATAACAAGGGGTTTATACATACATTATAAAATATTAACTTAAACATATAAATTATACTTTTCTATCACATGCAAATTTTATATTACTGGATGGACAGTAAGAAATTTTACATGGTACATACCTAATGAGTTCCATATAACACTTAGGCATAAATAATTGAAACTCTGGTTAAAAGAGTAAAACCAAATACTAGAGGGAATTTAGAGGAAAGTTGTAACAATAAAAAATCACCTACATATTCAACATCATTATCTGACTATTACTTATGCCCTCAGCCAAGTATACGGTTTATACAGTCACATGAAACGACTGTGTGTATCACCTCCTCTGCCATTACATTTGTTGAAGCATCATCATTTGTTTGGTCTCTCTGCTTGATTCGGACACTCACGTGTAGCTTAGTTTGTTCTCCCAGTAGCCGGAATTATACTCAGAATAAAATCAAAAGGATTTGTCTTTGATCTCACTTAAGAGTTTTCCTTAGTTCATCTTGCCACATGATGGCAGTATGACTATTTGCTTAATTCTAGTTTCAGAATTATTTCAATGGTTATTTTCTCTGCCTGGAATTCTCTTCCTCCAAATATATTCCTAGATTACTTCCTCAACGGTTTAGTCCTTGCTCAAGTAAAGCATTTTTAAAGACAAAGTGACTTCAAAACACTTCTTCCAACATTTTCCTGTCACCTAATTAACTATGAACTGTAGTTGATGTAAAAATGTTTGTAAATGTGCTTATGTTAAATGTGCCAATGTTATTGATGGTACCCTTAGTACTTTTAGTCTTTGGATCGAAAAGCAATAAAAGTAGAATAAGCCAAAAAACCGTCTTTTCAAAGTGGTGGTAGGCGGAGACCACCACCTTCTTCAAGAAACAGAAGCCCGTCAGCAAATCTGAGATCTGCAAGAGGAAGTAGTGGAGGAAAAAGAGCGTGGCTGCCCTCACATGAAGAACACTTGGGTAATGTTTTAAAATATAAAGGTGGAACCATGGGACTGAAAGAAAACAAGTTTGAAGGTATCAAAATTTCTCAATTTTATTTATTATCTTTATGAGCAGAATATTAATTATTGATAAGCACAATTATCTCTAATTACTAAAGGTGTATTATAAGAATGATTGAATTAATATCTAAAATTCATTTTAAAATTGTAACAACTTTGCATTGAAATAACACAGATTTCTTTTATTATTATTATTATACTTAAAGTTTTAGGGTACATGTGCACAATGTGCAGGTTAGTTACATATGTATACATGTGCCATGCTGGTGTGCTGCACCCATTAACTCATCATTTAGCATTAGGTATATCTCCTAATGCTATCCCTACCTCCTCCACCCACCCCACAACAGTCCCCAGAGTGTAATGTTCCCCTTCCTGTGTCCATGTGTTCTCATTGTTCAATTCCCAGTTATGAGTGAGAACATGTGGTGTTTGGTTTTTTGTCCTTGTGATAGTTTACTGAGAATGATGATTTCCAGTTTCACCCATGTCCCTACAAAGGACATGAACTCATCATTTTTTGTGGCTGCATAGTATTCCATGGTGTATATGTGCCACATTTTCTTAATCCAGTCTATCATTGTAGGACATTTGGCTTGGTTACAAGTCTTTGCTATTGTGAGTAGTGCCACAATAAACATATGTGTCCATGTGTCTTTATAGCAGCATGATTTATAGTCATTTGGGTATATACCCAGTAATGGGATGGCTGGGTCAAATGGTATTTCTAGATCTAGATCCTTGAGGAATCACCACACCGACTTCCACAATGGTTGAACTAGTTTACAGTCCCACCAACAGTGTAAAAGTGTTCCTATTTCTCCACATCCTCTCCAGCACCTGTTGTTTCCTGACTTTTTAATGATTGCCATTCTAACTGGTGTGAGATGGTATCTCATTGTGGTTTTGATTTGCATTTCTCTGATGGCCAGTGATGATGATCATTTTTTCATGTGTCCTTTGGCTGCATAAATGTCTTCTTTTGAGAAGTGTCTGTTCATATCCTTTGCCCACTTGTTGATGGGGTTGTTTGTTTTTTTCTTGTAAATTTGTTTGAGTTCATTGTAGATTCTGGATATTAGCCCTTTGTCAGATGAGTAGGTTGCAAAAATTTTCTCCCATTCTGTAGGTTGCTCTCCACTCTGATGGTAGTTTCTTTTGGTGTGCAGAAGCTCTTTAGTTTAATTAGATCCCATTTGTCAATTTTGGCTTTTGTTGCCACTGCTTTTGGTGTTTTAGACATGAAGTCCTTGCCCATGCCAATGTCCTTAATGGGATTTCCTCGGTTCTCTTCTAGAGCTTTTATGGTTTTACATTTAACATGTAAGTCTTTAATCCATCTTGAATTAACTTTTGTATAAGGTGTAAGGGAGGGATCCAATTTCAGCTTTCTACATATGGCTAGCCAGTTTTCCCAGCACCATTTATTAAATAGGGAATCCTTTCCCCATTGCTTGTTTTTCTCAGGTTTGTCAAAATTCAGATAGTTGTAGATATGTGGCATTATTTCTGAGGGCTCTGTTCTGTTCCATTGATCTATATCTCTGTTTTGGTACGAGTAGCATGCTGTTTTGGTTACTGTAGCCTTGTAGTATAGTTTGAAGTCAGGTAGTGTGATGCCTCCAGCTTTGTTCTTTTGGCTTAGGATTGACTTGGAGATGCAGGCTCTCTTTTGGTTCCATATGAACTTTAAAGTAGTTCTTTCCTATTCTGTGAAAAAAGTCATTGGTAGCTTGATGGGGATGGCATTGAATCTATAAATTACCTTGGGCATTATGACCATTTTCATGATATTGATTCTTCCTACCCATGAGCATGGAATGTTCTTCCATTTGTTTCTATCCTCTTTTATTTCATTGAGCAGTGGTTTGTAGTTCTCCTTGAAGAGGTCCTTCACGTCCCTTGTAAGTTGAATTCCTAAGTATTTTATTCTCTTTGAAGCAATTGTGAATGGGAGTTCACTCATGATTTCGCTCTCTGTCTGTTATTGGTGTATAAGACTGCTTGTGATTTTTGTACATTGATTTTGTATCCTGAGACTTTGCTGAAATTGCTTATCAGCTTAAGGAGATTTTGGGGGGAGACAATGGGGTTTTCTAGATACACAATCATGTCATCTGCAAACAGGGACAATTTGACTTCCTCTTTTCCTAATTGAATACCGTTTATTTCCTTCTCCTGCCTAATTGCCCTGGCCAGTACTTCCAACACTATGTTGAATAGGAGTGGTGAGAGAGGACATCCCTGTCTTGTGCATGTTTTCAAAGGGAATGCTTCCAGTTTTTGCCCATTCAGTATGATATTGGCTGTGGGTTTGTCATAGATAACTCTTATTATTTTGAGATATATCCCATCAGTACCTAATTTATTGAGAGTTTTTAGCATGAAGGGTTGTTGAATTTTGTCAAAGGCCTTTTCTGCATCTATTGAGAAAATCATGTGTTTTTGTCTTTGGTTCTGTTTATATGCTGGATTACATTTATTGATTTGCATATATTGAACCAGCCTTGCATCCCAGGAATGAAGCCCACTTGATCATGGTGGATAAGCTTTTTGATGTGCTGCTGGATTCAGTTTGCCAGTATTTTATTGAGGATTTTTGCATCAATGTTCATCAAGGATATTGGTCTAAAATTCTCTTTTTTGGCTGTGTCTCTGCCGGCTTTCGTATCCGGATGATGCTTGCCTCATAAAATGAGTTAGGGAGGATTCCCTCTTTTTCTATTGATTGGAATAGTTTCAGAAGGAATGGTACCAGTTTCTTGTTGTACTTCTGGTAGAATTCGGCTGTGAATCCACCTGGTCCTGGACTCTTTTTGGTTGGTAAGCTATTGATTATTGCCACAATTTCAGATCCTGTTATTGGTCTATTCAGAGATTCAACTTCTCGCTGGTTTAGTCTTGGGAGAGTGTATATGTCGAGGAATTTTTCCATTTCTTCTAGATTTTCTAGTTTATTTTTGTAGAGGTGTTTATAGTATTCTCTGATGGTAGTTTGTATTTCTATGGGATCAGTGGTGATATCCCCTTTATCATTTTTTATTGCATCTATTTGATTCTTCTCTTTTTTTCCTTTATTAGTCTTGCTAGTGGTCTGTCAATTTTGTTGATCCTTTCAAAAAATGAGCTCCTGGATTCATGCAGTTTAGAGAAAAAAGAATAAAAAGAAATGAACAAAGCCTCCAAGAAATATGAGACTATGTGAAAAGACCAAGTCTGCATCTGACTGGTGTACCTAAAAGTGACGGGGAGAATGGAACCAAGTTGGAAAACACTCTGCAGGATATTATCCAGGAGAACTTCTCCATTTTAGCAAGGCAGGCCAACATTCAGATTCAGGAAATACAGAGAATGCCACAAAGATACTCCTCAAGAAGAGCAACTCCAAGACACATAATTGTCAGATTCACCAAAGTTGAAATGAAGGAAAAAATGTTAAGGGCAGCCAGAGAGAAAGGACAGGTTACCCACAAAGGGAAGCCATCAGACTAACAGTGGATCTCTCCTCAGAAACTCTACAAGTCAGAAGAGAGGGGGAGCCAATATTCAACATTCTTAAAGAAAATAATTTTCAACCCAGAATTTCATATTCAGCCAAACTAAGCTTCCTAAGTGAAGGGGAAATAAAACACTTTACACACAAGCAAATGCTCAGAGATTTTGTCACCACCAGGCCTGCCCTAAAAGAGATCCTGAAGGAAGCACTAAATGTGGAAAGGAACAACCAGTAGCAGCCACTGCAAAATCATACCAAATTGTAAAGACCATTGAGGCTAGGAAGAAACTGCATCAACTAACGAGTGAAATAACCAGCTAACATCGTAATGACAGGATCAAATTCATACATAACAATATTAACTTTAAATGTAAATGGACTAAATGCTCTAATTAAAAGACACAGACTGGCAAATTGGATGAAGAGTCAAGACCCATCAGTGTGCTGTATTCAGGAAACCCATCTCACCTGCAGAGACACACATAGGCTCAAAATAAAAGGATGGAGGAAGAGCTACCAAGCAAATGGAAAATAAAAAAAAGGCAGAGGTTGCAATCCTAGTCTCTGATCAAACAGACATTAAACCAACAAAGATCAAAAGAGACAAAGAAGGCCATTATATAATGGTAAAGGGAGCAACTCAACAAGAAGAGCCAACTATCCTAAATATATATGCACCCAATACAGGAGCACCCAGATTCATAAAGCAAGTCCTGAGTGACCTACAAAGAGACTTAGACTCCCACACAATAATAATGGGACACTTTAACACCCCACTGTCAACATTAGACAGATCAACAAGACAGAAAGTTAAAAAGGATACCCAGGAATTCAACTCAGCTCTGCACTAAGCAGACCTAATAGACATCTAAAGAACTCTCCACCCCAAGTCAACAGAATATACTTTTTTTTCAGCACCACACCACACCTATTCCAAAATTGACCACATAGTTGGAAGTAAAGCTCTCCTCAGCAAATGTAAAAGAACAGAAATTATAACAAACTGTCTCTCAGACCACAGTGCAATCAAACTAGAAATCATGATTAAGAAACTCACTCGAAACCGCTCAACTACATGGAAACTGAACAACCTGCTCCTGAATGACTACTGGATACATAACGAAATGAAGGCAGAAATAAAGATGTTCTTTGAAACCAACAAGAACAAAGACACAACATACCAGAATCTCTGGGACACATTCAAAGCACTGTGTAGAGGGAAATTTATAGCACTAAATGCCCACAAGAGAAAGCAGGAAAGATGCAAAATTGACACCCTAACATCACAATTAAAATAACTAGAAAAGCAAGAGCAAACACATTCGAAAGCTATCAGAAGGCAAGAAATAACTAAAATCAGAGCAGAACTGAAGGAAATAGAGACAGAAAATCCCTTCAAGAAATAACACAGATTTCAAACTGAATTGATTTTATGAATGCTGATTGCCTGTACTCAACTGGTTTTCTGCATAACTCATTTATATTTATTATACTTTAGAGTTTTCTACTCCAGGGCCCAGAAATTCAAATCAGTTTTATTATCAAAATACAATGGAATATTTACAGTTTTCAAATGGGAAAAAAGTAACTCAGTACTTAAGATTGATTTTTCAATATTTCATTTTTTATGTGTGTATACCTGTGCAAACATCTATGCAGATGAATCGCTTTGTAATTTTGATAAACAGAGTTTGTACATTGGCTTGCCATAAAGCGTTTTCAATTGAAGAAATGTAGAACTTTAATTTCTGAAAACAGTCTGTGACTCTGGAAATGTCTAAGAACTACTGCTTCACACATATCTATATATCTTTCTTTGCTGAAGGATGAGTCTCTGAAAATGATATTCATGAGTGATTTACACAAAAGAAATAAGGGGTTATTTCTACATAAAAAAGAAAATCAAACCATGTATTGTATATATATTTATAATTTTATATATTTCTTTATAAAATAAAGGTATTTTATGTATTTCTGTATACAGATTAACATATTTTATGTATTTCTATATACAGATAAATGTATTTTATGTATTTCTAGATTCAGATAAACATATTTTGTGTATTTCTATATACAGATAAACGTATTTTATGTATTTCTATATACAGATGAACGTATTTTATGCATTTCTATATACAGATAAATGTACTTTTTTCATTTCTATATACAGATAAACATATTTTATGCATTTCTATATAAAGATAAACGTATTTTATATACTTATATATAAAAATAAATGTATTTTATATACTTATATATAAAAATAAATGTATTTTATATACTTATATGTAAAAATAAATATGTTATATATTTATATATAAAAATAAATAAAAATAGACTGCTAGCAAGACTAATAAAGAAAAAAGAGAGAAGAATCAAATAGATGCAATAAAAAATGATAAAGGGGATATCATGACCGATCCCACAGAAATACAAACTACCATCAGAGAATACTACAAACACCTCTACAAAAATAAACTAGAAAATCTAGAAGAAATGGATGAATTCCTTGACACGTACACTCCCCCAAGACTAAACCAGGAAGAAGTTGAATCTCTGAATAGACCAATAACAGGATCTGAAGTTGTGGCAATAATCAATAGCTTACCAACCAAAAAGAGTCCAGGACCAGATGGATTCACAGCCGAATTCTACAAGAGGTACAAGGAGGAATTGATACCATTCCTTCTGACACTATTCCAATCAATAGAAAAAGAGGGAATCCTCCCTAACTCATTTTATGAGGCAAGCATCATTCTGATACCAAAGCTGGGCAGAGACACAACCAAAAAAGAGAATTTTAGACCAATATCCTTGATGAACACTGATGCAAAAATCCTCAATAAAATACTGGCAAAACGAATCCAGCAGCATATCAAAAAGCTTATCCACCATGATCCAGTGGGGTTCATCCCTGGGATGCAAGGCTGGTTCAATATACACAAATCAATAAATGTAATCCAGCATATAAACAGAGCCAAAGACAAAAACCACATGATTATCTCAATAGATGCAGAAAAGGCCTTTGACAAAATTCAACAACACTTCATGCTAAAAACTCTCAATAAATTAGGTATTGATGGGACATATTTCAAAATAATAAGAGCTATCTATGACAAACCCACAGCCAATATCATACTGAATGGGCAAAAACTGGAAGCATTCCCTTTGAAAACTTGCACAAGACAGGGATGTCCTCTCTCACCACTCCTATTCAACATAGTGTTGGAATTTCTGGCCAGGGCAATTAGAAAGGAGAAGGAAATAAAGGTTATTCAATTAGGAAAAGAGGAAGTCAAATTGTCCCTGTTTGCAGATGACATGATTGTATATCTAGAAAACCCCATTGTCTCAGCCCAAAATCTTCTTAAGCTGATAAGCAACTTCAGCAAAGTCTCAGGATACAAAATCAATGTACAAAAGTCACAAGCATTCTTATACACCAACAACAGACAAACAGAGAGCGAAATCATGAGTGAACTCCCATTCACAATTGCTTCAAAGAGAATAAAATACCTAGGAATCCAACTTACAAGGGATGTGAAGGACCTCTTCAAGGAGAACTACAAACCACTGCTCAAGGAAATAAAAGAGGATACAAACAAATGGAAGGACATTCCATGCTCATGGATAGGAAGAATCAATATCGTGAAAATGGCCATACTGCCCAAGGTCATTTACAGATTCAATGCCATCCCCATCAAGCTACCAATGCCTTTTTTCACAGAATTGGAAAAAACTACTTTAAAGTTCATATGGAACCAAAAGAGAGCCCACATCACCAAGTCAATCCTAAAGAACAAAGCTGGAGGCATCACACTACCTGACTTCAAACTATGCTACAAGGCTACAGTAGCCAAAACAGCATGGTACTGGTACCAAAACAGAGATACACATCAGTGGAACAGAACAGAGCCCTCAGAAATTACACCACATATCTACAACTATCTGATCTTTGACAAACCTGAGAAAAACAAACAATGGGGAAAGGATTCCCTATTTAATAAATGGTGCTGGGAAAACTGGCTAGCCATATGTAGAAAGCTGAAACTGGATCCCTTCCTTACACCTTATACAAAAATCAATTCAAGATGGATTAAAGACTTAAATGTTAGACCTAAAACCATAAAAACCCTAGAAGAAAACCTAGGCAATACCATTCAGGACATAAGCATGGGCAAGGACTTCATGGCTAAAACACCAAAAGCAATGGCAACAAAAGACAAAATATACAAATGGGATCCAATTAAACTAAAGAGCTTCTGTACAGCAAAAGAAACTACCATCAGAGTGAACAGGCAACCTACAAAATGGGAGAAAATTTTTGCAACCTACTCATCTGACAAAGGGCTAATATCCAGAATCTACAATGAACTCCAACAAATTTACAAGAAAAAAACAAACAACCCCATCAAAAAGTCGGCAAAGGATATGAACAGACACTTCCCAAAAGAAGACATTTATGCAGCCAAAAAACACATGAAAAAATGCTCATCATCACTGGCCATCAGAGAAATGCAAATCAAAACCACAATGAGATACCATCTCACACCAGTTAGAATGGCGATCATTAAAAAGTCAGGAAACAACAGGTGCTGGAGAGGATGTGGAGAAATAGGAACACTTGTACACTGTTGGTAGGACTGTAAACTAGTTCAACCATTGTGGAAGTCAATGTGGCGATTCCTCAGGGATCTAGAACTAGAAATACCATTTGACCCAGCCATCCCATGACTGGGTATATACCCAAAGGACTGTAAATCATGCTGCTATAAAGACAGATGGACACATATATTTATTTCGGCACTATTCACAATAGCAAAGACTTGGAACCAAGCCAAATGTCCAACAATGATAGACTGGATTAAGAAAATGTGGCACATATACACCATGGAATACTATGCAGCCATAAAAAATGATGAGTTCATGTCCTTTGTAGAGACATGGGTGAAATTGGAAATCATCATTCTCAGTAAACTATCACAAGAACAAAAAACAAACATCGCATATTCTCACTCATAGGTGGGAATTGAACAATGAGATCACATGGACACAGGAAGGGGAACATCACACTCTGGGGACTGTTGTGGGGTGTGGGGAGGGGGGAGGGATAGCATTGGGAGATATATCTAATGCTAGATGACGAGTTAGTGGGTGCAGCGCACCAGCATGGCACATGTATACATATGTAACTAACCTGCACAATGTGCACATGTACCCTAAAACTTAAAGTATAATAAAAGGAAAATATATATATATATAACGTATTTATATATAAAAATAAATATATTATATATTTAAATAAAAATAAATATATTATATATTTGTATAAAAATAAATATATTATATATTTATATATAAAAACAAATATATAATATATTTATATATAAAAACAAATATATAATATATTTATATATAAAAACAAATATATAATATATTTATGTATAAAAACAAATATATATTTATGTATAAAAATAAATATATTATATATTTATATATGAAAATAAATATATTATATATTTATATATGAAAATAAATATATTATATATTTATATATGAAAATAAATATATATTTATATATGAAAATAAATATATTTCATGTATTCATATATGAAAATAAATATATTTCATGTATTCATATATGAAAACAAATATATTTCATGTATTCATATATGAAAATAAATATATTTCATGTATTCATATATGAAAATAAATATATTTCATGTATTCATATATGAAAATAAATATATTTCATGTATTCATATATGAAAATAAATATATTTCATGTATTCATATATGAAAATATATTTCATGTATTCATATATGAAAATATATATATTTCATGTATTTATGTATGAAAATATATATATTTCATGTATTTATATATAGAAATAAATATATTTCATGTATTTATATATAATATAAACATATTATATATATAGATAGATATTGATATAGATATATCTGGTGTGGTGATTTCCACCTCTAATCCCAGGTACTCGGGAGACTGAGGCAGGAGAATCACTGAAAACTGGCAGGTGGAAGCTGCAGTGAGCCAAGGTCACGACTTTGCACTCAAGCCTGTGGGATATGGCAAGAGTCCATCTCAATAAATAATAAATCCATTTTTAAACTTTTATTATCTATTAATCAACCTTCAAATATATATCATTTAATTTTGAGTTTAGTAACCAGATTTTTAATTAATGGGAGATGTTTTTTAAAGTTGAAATTGCAGTGTTTGCTCCATTTTAAGAAACACAGCTTCATGATTATTTTGTCTCCATTGGTCTTGAGGGTGAGGTTCAATAATATTCTGCCGTGGATAAGAATGTGCATATTCTAACCTGTAACACTGCCTGGCAATTGGCATATATCTACATTTTTTGTAGACATATAAAAATATTTTTTCATATTATTTAATATGGAATTCTTAAAGATTATTAATATTTAGCATAGTCTAACCTGAAAATTAGTGTTTCATAAGGGAATTGTAAGAATTCAATATTATGTTAACAAATTTTAGAGATAATATATTTTCCTGATGTGTCACCTTTTGATATTGTAAATATCTGAGTTTCTTTGAATGGAATTTAGTTTATCTTTATGATATGCTTTGAAAATTTTTCCTCATAAGAGAATGATATAAACAGTCATTTATCATTTTTCTTTCAATGTTTTTATATATATTATACTTAGATATTTTACTGATAGTTTTCTGCTCCCTGTTCACTCCCCACTTTTTCCACATCTCTCTCTCACGCAAACATATTATGATTCTTGTGTTTCTTTCTAGATTTTCTAAATGGACTTTTATTGCTTGAATTGTACTTATTTCATATAAAAATGTTAATTTTATTAGTTTAGACAAATGTGAATTTGTAAGATTATAATATGTAGAAAATCTTTATAAACAACTAAAACTTAGCTATTTAAGAAACAGTGATGTTAGTCAACTAAAAAGATTTTGTTTGAAATACAGATGATGGTGGATAAACTCTTGATCTCAACATGAGTTCTTCTAGGGGGCACATTCCAGTTAAAAGCGGTCCACCTTCAAGAAGTGGAGGTCCTCCTCCTACAAAATCTGCTCCTGCTGTGGCAAGAAGCAGTAGTTGGATGGGAGGCCAAGGTAAGTGCTACCAGAGAGAAAGACAGTATTTTTCGTATGACTAAAAATAAGCTATTTTACTTGAATGCTTAACTTTAACTTCATCGAACGAAAGAGGAGTGACACATACATGGGCATAATTCAGACTGATACCTTTTATTATGGTTTATATATCACTAACTACATTTCAGATTTATGGTAAAGAAATACTTGAGCTTCTCATTGCAGGTGAAATAAGTTATTAGAGTGAGGCCAACATTACTTTTAATCCTGTGTTTGCTAGAGAATTCCCCTTAATAATTCTAACAGTTCCTAGCAGTATTCTTTGATTGTAGTCTTCTTCATCTAATGAATTCTTCCATTTCCTAGGTCCCCTGGTAGTGGTTCCCTGGTGTCCCATTCTAAAAATTGCTTGTTCAGTTCCTTTGTTGGGTTGGAGTCTTGCTCTTATGAGGTCAGAGTGCATAGGTGAGATGATGGCTTACTACAGCCTTAAACTCCTGGGCTCAGGCAATTCTCCTGTTTCATTTTCCTGAGTTGCTGCAACTATAGCCATGCACCACCATATCTAGCTAAGTTTTTTCCCCTATATTTTTGTAGAGAGAGGATCTCACCACATTGACAAAACTGACATTAAAGCCCGGGGCTCAAGCAGTCCAGGTGCCTCACCCTTCCACACTGGCCCACAGTGTGAGCCAGTTAGCCTGGCCATCTAGGTTTTGAGACCTCAATAATTCTAATCCGTGAGGCATTTTTCCTGCTTATATAAAGATTGAAAAGAACTGCAAGAATATTTAGCAGAAAAAGATTCACTGAGCTTAAACATTATTTAAAAAATAATTTAAGGCTTGTAAGTTAGACATGAAGGAGTCCAATATTCTTAAATTAAGTGGATATCACAGAAGTGTAGAGTTATGAAATATAAGGGGATGTAAATCAATAATTAAGATTGTACCTGGATGTTTAAACATTAACACAAGACCTTAGTGTAAGATTTGAAATTATTTGAGGCGAGAATTTAGAACTAAGCAACAAGAGTTGAACAGTAGGATCGAATAGAAGTAATATTTTTGAGAAGGAGAATTGTAAGATTGCAGACTGAACAGAAGAAAACAAGACAATAAATAAAAATTCTTAGGGACGACGTTTAGCAGAACAAAATAAAATTCTTACTTTGTCCTCCATCCTAAGATGGAGGAAAATGAAAACTGCCATTTTTAATTTTACATTTCATGTGTAGAGTATCAGTGAAGTTAGTTATTTATTGTCTTCAGGATACACAAGCCAACACATTTCCATAGGAAAATTAGCCAGTGAACATATTATAAGTGAAAGACAGACCTCTAAGGAGTAGCACGTGAAGAGTATATTAAAGGAGAACCTTTTCTATTTTGAAATAACAACAATGTGATAATGACCCCTTGAACACTATTGCTTATTGCAGTATAAGAAAATCTTGGTCATCATTAGAAAATCTTCACTAGTATATTTTAATTTGCCAACATTTAAGATAGAGCCAACCACTTAGAGATAAAGGAGAACTTTTAGGTAAAAGTTTAGCATGCAGTCATTCAAAGGTGGCAGTATTTGTGTGTGTGAGATGGACTGAACAACATGGGAAAATTTACCTTCTTCAGCTGAGAAAGGACAATGTATGTAAACTTTAAAATCAGTGGAGAGTTTGATGGTTTTACATTTTCCATGTGTCATTAGTATTCATTAGTAATTCTATAAAAAGGAAAATAATAACTAAGTAGTTATTAAACATTAAAATGAACTTTTACAAAAGAATTAACATCTGCCTTCAGCTTTGTTAGAAGAACTGGCCTTGCAGGAGCCATGGGGTTATCCAAGGCCATAAGAAATATTCACAGTGTCATGATTTTCTAGTAATTTAGGGAAAAAAAGAATGGAGACGTAGATGAAATAATTTTAAAAAGTTGTTTGAGAGAAGAGAAAATAATGTTTCAGATTTCGTGTTCTTTACATTATGTTCCATCATTTTAATATTAAATGTAATGGAAGAGAGAATTATGGAGTTCCTCCACAGAGACAGTCAGTCTTTTCCTGGAGAAATGACCATGTGTCATCAAAAGATGTTGGTTATGCAACTAAGGATAGGTAAAAAAAAAAAAAAGAAAGAAAAAATAGTTAATTTTTTTTTGTTGTGGTGATGAAATTCACTTAACAAAATTAAATATTATAAGGTAAACAGTTAAGCGGAGTTAGATACCTTCTGTGTAGTGCAGCAACTACCTCCATCGAGTTCCAAAACATTTTCATGACTCCAAACTAAAATTCCAACTACTAGTTAAGCAGTCCTTCATTTTCTCCCTTCCCTCAGCTGCTAGCAAACACCAATCTGTGTTCTGCCTGTGCACATACCTGTTGTGGGCATTTAATGTTAATGGGGTCAAACACTACATGACTTTTTTACTGTCTGTTTTCCTTTTTCATGATGTCCAGAAGGTTCACATATGTCATAGCACTTCATTTCTTCCACAAGCTGTTAACCGATCATTTTATTTGAGTTGTTTCCACCCCAGTATTTCTATGAACCAATATTTGTTTGGGCACACTTAATCAATTCTGGGTATATATAGAAGTGGAATTGCTTGGCCCTATGATAATTATGTGTGTGTTCTTGAGGAACCACCACATTTCTCTATAGAGCTGCATCATTTTCCATTCCAGCTAGCACTGTATCAGGGTTCCAGTTTATCTACATCCTCTCAATTGAAATGCATTTTCTGAATCATTGATTATGAGTGTCTGTTCCATGTGCTTTTTGGGCATTTGTCTATTTTATTTGGAGAAATATCCATTTAGATGTTTGGCCTTTTAATTTTGTTTAAGTTGTAAGTTAGTTATGTTTTGGATACCAGAAGTTGAAAATTTAAAATTTGTTGCATACACTTATGCACACAGTAATCATCCAGGTTCCTCAGAATCTAGGGATTATGCTCCACCATCTAGAGACTATGCATACCGTGATTATGGTCATTCTAGTCAGGATGAACATTCCTCTACAGGAAATAGGTACTATAATAATACTTTCTGCATTTGCCAAATAGAGTTCTTGAATTGTTCATTCCAACTAACATTGCATCAATGTATCAATTTATCTACATTTTCTCAAACACTTACTATTTCCTGCTTTTTAAAATTTATTGCCTTTCCAGTGTGTACGTGAATTATGGTATCTCATTTTGGATTTGAAATGTATTTCTGAATCACAGATTATGAGTATCTGTTTCATGCGATTTTGAGACATTTGGCTATTTTATTTGGAGAAATATCTATTTAGCTGTTTGGCCCTTTAATTTTGTTTAAGTTGTAATTTAGGTATTATGTATGCTGTAATTTAGTTATGATGGATATTTTGGACACTAGAATTTGAAAATTTAAAATTTATTGCTTAAACTTATGCACACAGAAATCATCCAAGTTCCCAAGAAATGAGGGATTATGCTCTAACACCTAGAGGCTATGCATACCATTATTACAGTCGTTTGAGTCAGGATGAACATTCCTTTAGAGGATATAGGTACTATATAAGTACTATATAGGTACTATAATGTTTTGTGGATTTATAAAACAGCTTTCTTAAATTGTTCATTCTGACAAAAGAAACCTTTTTTTTTTTTTTCAATTTAGTGATCTTGATGGCTGCTGTGAGGTAGAGAACATTCTGAATGTCCAAGTGGAAGTTCTTACAGAGATGCATTTCAGAGTTATGGTATGAGTCCAGGTTGGATTTTTAAATTATAGAATTATATTAAATAGACCAGATCATTATTTTAAAGAAAACTAAGGAAATTATAAAGGACAAATATAACATGTTTAAATATTGAGTATTCTTAACAGCATAAAGTGTAGGGAATGATATAAAGGTGAGAATTTCATTTCACGTTCAGTTAAATGTGATTCAACGTTTACTTTAGAATTAAATTTGTTAAGCTTCAAAATACTACTCTTACACTTCTTTTAAAAAAAACCTTCTGACTATTGCAGGCATAATTAATATCTGTAAATGAAGGCGGAGGAAAGCAGATATTTCCAAGTAGTAGTTTAACTAATTAATACTTTAGTGATAGCACTAAAAATGTTTAAATGTAGTCCAACATATTATTTTATCAACCCTGCAGGGACCTCTGATGGTGCACCACCTGTCCAAGGGCCTCAGATGCCTTATGGTGGAAGAAGCCACCATGATTATAACAATTTATGAGATAGATATGGCAGAACTTGGGAGAGTTACCTAAGAAGCTGCAGTAATTTTTATTCCTGCGGTTGTGAGCACAGTGGCAGAAAAGACGGAAGGAATCCATTTTCTCTGGACAGGGTGCACACTGCTCCTTGTGAAGCCTATGGTAGCTCAAGTTATGTGACATCTATAGGAGATGGTGGCAGAAGCCGATCTGAAAAAGGAGACTGAAGTAGATATTAAAGCAAGTATTCAAAATAATAGTTATTGCATACTAAACCTTGTTTGCAAATCGAACATTGAAATTTTATTTCTGCCTTGTTACATGTGTCTTACTAAAAGAAACTTGTTGTTTTTGTGGAGAGAGGTAGAAATGCAGAAACTAACTTACTCCATGAATTTTTTGAGCTATTTAAAGGAAAATGAATTTTTTTCAAAGTAATTTCATACTTGTTACTGTTAGTTATAATATCTGGAATAAAATTTTCATAATCAATTTTTACATGTAATGCAAAATGCCTGATGTTACTGCTTAGCTACACATGCTTAAAAGCAAATTAAATAGAAGAGTAAATTGCGTTGTGAACACTTTGTTTCTTTGAACATAAATAGATACAAAATCAGGCATATATTATGTCTCCCTTTCAAGTTGCATAAGTTTTCTAATTAGGCTGTGTTTCTCTTTAAAAAATTACAAGATTAAAACATTAGCGAAATCTCCAGAAACACTACAAAACTGTTTGCCTCACCATACAATGTTTATCTTATAGAGTAATAGTACAGGTCAAAGGAAATAATTAGATGTGGTTGATACTAAAGTTTAAGACATCTGGAACAATCTACTTGAAGCATTCTGTGACTGAAGGGGGATATTGGCTTGCAGATCACTTTAGGTCGGGAGTTCAAGACAAGCCTAGCCAACACCATGAAACCCCATCTGTACCAAAAATACAAAAATTAACCGGGCATGGTGGCCCATGCCTGTATTATGTTACAGTTAATTGGGAGGCTCAGACAAGAGAATCGTTTGAACATGGGAGCCTCAGACTGCAGTGAGCCGATATTGCACCATGCACTCTAGCCTGGGTAATGGAGTGAGACACCAACTAAAAATAATTATATAAATCAACAAATACATAAGTAATAATGTATCCATCAGTTCAACTAGTTATTTCTTTTTTTTCTTTTTTAGAGACAGAGTCTCACTATGTTGTCCAGTCTGGACTGCAGTGTCACCATCATAGCTCACTGCAGCCTTGGACTCCTGGGTTCAAATGTGCAAACCTTCCATTTCAGCCTCCCAAGTAGCTGGAATTACAGACACACACCACCATCCCCAGCTCTTGTGTTTGTGCATGTATGGTAGGGACAATGTTTCGTATATATTGTTCACGCTGGTCTCAAAATTCCAGGCCTAAGTGATCCGCCTTCCTTGGCCTCCCAAAGTGTTGTGATTGTAGCTGTGAGCCACTGAGTCTGGCATATCATTTGTCAGTATAAGTGACATTCCACCTTCACTCTTTTAATTCTTTTGAGATATACAATAAACCATTATTAAGTGTAGTCATCCTGGGCTACCGAACACTGGATCGTATTCCTTCTAAGCAACTGTCATTTAACCCACCCCCAACCCTTCTATGATACCTTCCTTACCAGTATACATTGCTTGTATCAAATATCATATAATATCACATGATATCACCAAAAGTATCTACAAACGTTACATACAATTTTTTAAAATAAGTAAAAGAAATAATAGAAAGGGTATCTCCATTAAGGTGATAAAATGGGAGGCTCTAATTTGTCCCTGCATCCACAAATGCAACAAATAAAATGCCTCACCCACATCAATTCCCTGTGAGATAAACACAGAAAGTATTTGAGATACTCTTGCACACATACGATTATGAAAATACTCACTTAAAAAGAGGTAATAAAAACTGAATCATAAATTTTTTCTAGAGTTTATGTCTGACACAGTGCCCTAGAATGAATAGAGAACTATTATTTCACAGCTTCTCTCAGATGACCGAAGTATTAAATCACATATGTAGCACCCCACCTGTTAAATGCTACAGCTGCTTCTCCACAAAATGATACCTAGCTTGCCTATCTCTGGATTCTAACACAGACTTGCATTCATAATTCTCCTAGGACCTCCAAGATAAAAGACGGATTTAAGTAAACATTCAAGCACTTCTGAAACTGTTTCCTCCTGGCTTACTGGATCTCACACACTCAAGAAAGCTCAGTTCCCACTTTGTACCTCGAAGAACGTAGATTGTGCATCTAATGCCTTGACTTTTTTTTTTCTTTATTCTTTTGAGGCGGAGTCCCGCTCTGTTGCCCAGACTGGAGTGTAATGGCATGATCTCGGCTCACTACAACCTCTGCCTCCTGGTTCAAGTGATTCTTCTGCCTCAGCCTCCTGAGTAGCTGGGATTACAGGCATCCACCATCACACTTTGCTAATTTTCGTAGTTTTAATAGAGACGGGGCTTCAAAATGTTGGCCAGGCTGGTCTTGAACTTCTGACCTCAGGTGATCAACCCACCTCAGCCTCTCAAAGTGCTGGGAGTGCAGGAATGAGCCACTGTGCCCAGCCTTTTCTTCAGCCTTTAATATCATCCATCTTTGAAAACATTAGCAATTAAAATATTATTATTATTATTATTATTATTATTATTATTTGAGATGGAATCTCACTTTTGTTGCCCAGGCTGGAGTGCAATGGCACCTTCTCAGCTCACTGCAACCTTCACCTCCTGGGTTCAAACAATTCTCCTGCCTCAGCCTCCCGAATAGCTGGGATTACAGGCATGCACCACCATGCCTTGCTAATTTTGTGTTTTTAGTAGAGACCAGGTTTCTCCATTTTCCTGATTATACACCCTAAAGAAATGAAATACATGAAGTTCCAGAAGTTTTACAGTTCATAATTCTTACAATTAACAGACTAATCTTCAGGGAAAAAGTATTTTATTGGTAAAATTCTGGCAAGATCATCAATTTTTACAGGGTAAGTGTGCAAATAATTTTCAAGGGAGAAATTACCAACTTTTGTTTTCAAGTGATTTATTCATGATATGAAGTTTTGTTTTCATTCACTTATAATGTAGCATTGTGAGGATGAAGTGAAAGGATAAAACTCCCTAGTCTTGTATATGTTATTGTCTAGGTGTGATGGCTCAGTTCTTTAATTCCAGCTCTTTAGGACGCCAAGTCTTGCAGATCACATTAGGTCAGGAGTTCAAGACCAGCCTGGCCAAAACCCTGAAGCCCCATCTCTACCAAAAATACAACAATTAGCTGGGCTTGGTGGCCCATGCTAGTAGTATGTTAACTAGTAGTAGTTAATTGGGAGACTCAGGAAGGATAATTTTTTTGTCTCTGTGAGCCTGAGGCTGAAGTGAGCTGATATTGCACCATGCACTCTAGTCTGGGTGACAGAGTGGGACTCCAAGTCACAAATAATTATATAAATCAATAAATATATAAATAATAAATAGTGTATCCTTCAGTTCAAGCACTTATCATTTTTTTTCTTTTTAGACACAAGGTTACACTGTTGTCCAGCCTGGACTGCAGCAGCACCATTGTAACTCACTGCAGCCTTGAACTCCTGGGTTCAAATGTGTGAGCCTTCCATTTCAGCCTCTCAAGTAGAAAGAATTACAGACACACACCACTGTGCCCCACTTTTGTGTGTGTGTGTGGCAAGGACAATGCTTCAGATATATTGTTCAGGGTGGTCTCAAACTCCCAGGCTTAAGTGTCCTCCTTCCTTGACCTCCCAAAGTGTTGCAATTATAGCCCTGAAACACTGAGTTTGGCATATTGTTTCCAGAGTTGGTTCCTTCTGGTAGGTTCTCGGTCTTTCTGACTTCAAGAATGAAGCCGTGGACCTTCACATAGAGTGTTACAGCTCTTAAAGATAGTGTGTCCAGAGTTCATTCGTTCAGATGTTCAGATATGTCCAGAGTTTCTTCCTTCTCCCAGGGGACCTCCTGGTCTCCCTGACTTCAAGAATGAAGCTGCAGACCTTCATGGCTGGTATTGAATCTCCTAAAGTTGGTGCAGACCCAGAGCGAGCAGCAGCAAGATTTATTGACAAAGCTTCCACAGCATGGAAGGGGACCTGCATGGATTGCCACTGCTGGGTGGGTTGGCGAGCTTTATTCCCTTATCTGGCCCCACCCACATCCTGCTGATTGATCCATTTTACAATGTGCTGATTGGTCCATTTTACAGAGCGTTGATTGTTGTGTTTAAAATCATTTAGCTAGACACAGAGCAATAATTGATGCTTTTTTACAGAGTGCTGGTGAATTTACATTCCTTTTGCTAGACACAGAGTGCAGATTGGTGCATTTACAATCATTTAGCTAGACAGAAAAGTCCTCCCTGTCCCCACTCAACCCATGAAGTCTAGCTGTCTTCACATCTCAATGCTCTAACTGCTGTTGGGAATTGGGTGATGACCACCCTAGCTACTTACTGCTGGATAGAGGTAAAGAAGGGGTCTCTGGTGGTAGTGTCCTCCAGAGGGGAATATTCTAGGCCAGCCAAAGGGCCAGTGGGTTGATCCAGGTTCCTTGGTAGAAGTTATTAGTTGAGCTCATTGGGGTTCCATTTGTAAGATCAACTGTAGCTTGATGGCCTCAATCCTAGAGGAAACAAATTTGGCAGGGTGGTTAAAAATACAGGACCTGAAGGAAAGTAATAGCAAGATGGCTGTCATGGGACCTGGAAAGAGGAGAAGTCATATGGCTCAACTCCAGAGGTTGGTATAAGAGTTTGAAAGGCATTGTCTGGTTTCAGTAGCCTTTTCCTTTAAATGCTGGGTGGCATTGCATACTATCCCAGACTGGTTAGTGTAAAAGAAACACTCTTCCCTTAAGAAGGTGCAGAGCCCTCCTTTCTCAGCAGTGAGGGAGTCTAGGCCTCAGTGGTTCTGGAGAGCCACTGCTGCCAAAAAGTCTATTTGGGATTGTAGAGAAAGGATAGATTTTGTTATTTTTCACAAACTGTCTGAGAAATCCTTTGAGAGTGTGTGGTAGTAGGATAATACATGTTACACTGTTAACTTTTAGCAAACTTTACTTTTGTTGAAAACCTTCTAAGTTTGGGATTTCAAGTATTCTTTGCTATTAATAAGACCTCGTTCAGTCCCTATTCACTTAGAAATGGTATAGATGGCTCCTTCGTGATTCTGTAAGTACATTAAGGTTTGGCTGAGGGCAAACGGCTCGCACATTTAAGCAGACAAATTATTAGGCAATTTTCCTAACTGCTTCTACAACAGTTCCCTTATCATTTACTGAATACCCATTGCGTCTTTTTCCCTTAATAACCTGGGAGGAACCATCTATCATCCTGTCCTGAAGGAAATTCCTCCTAGGTCTTGTTGGACCTTTGTATGGTAATTAGTTAAGACTTTGATCCTTAGATCCCCGTTAGGAATCCTGCTGAGTTAAAATTTTTTGATAGGAGGTCTAGGGGTTCTCAGTGGCCTCAGTGCTTTCAGACTATGCCCTTGTTTACAATGACAACAAGGTGGTATTGGGGTGTTAGAGGTCATTGAGAAAACCTTAAATTATCAATTATGGTTATTAAATTTACCCTGGCTTTTAAAGGAATAGGATACACTGCTTTTTCTTTACTACTTCAATCTCTTTCTCTCTCTTTGACTCCTTCTTTGTCTGTCTCTTCCTCTCTCTCTTTCCTTCTGTCTTTGACCTTGTCTCTTTCTTTCTTTTTCTTTTTCTCTGACCCCCTCTTTGTCTGTCTCTTCCTCTCTTTCTCTCTCACTCTCTCTGAATTTCTGTCTCTTCTTCTGTTTCTCTCTTTCTCTCTCTTCTCTCTCTGCTGGTCTTTTCCTGCCTCTGCCAGCCACTTATGCTGCTGCTCTCCCCTCTCCTTCCCCTTATGATGGCTTCGGCAGTGGAACACTGCCACCACATTGGGTTTTGCAGAGTGTGCAATAACTCCATGGTTTCCTTGTGATATTTAATGGGGCTTCCCCCCGAGGTTATGAACTCATTTTCTTTCCATATTGCAGGATGGGCATGTAGGAGTAGATAAGCATACTTACTATCAATACACACATTTATTCTTCTTCCGTTTCCCCATTGTCAGGCTTGGGTAAGTGCCATTAGTTCTGCTAACTGGGCGCTGGTCCCTGGGGGAAGAGGCTTACTTTCAAGTGCCCTTACACCACTAAATATGGCATAGCCTGCCCTTCATATACCATTCTACACAAATGAACTTTCACTGGTATATAGGTTAAGGTCAGGATTAACTAAGGAGCTTTCTAAGAGAGGCTTTCGGGCAGCATAAATTTGGACTATAATTTGTTGGCAGTCATGCTTGACTAGTGTTTCCCATCCTCTAGGAGAAAAATGGCAGGGTTGAGGGCTACATATGTGCATATTTGAAACACCTGTCGCTCAAGGAGTAGTGTCTGGTATCTAAGCAGGCTGTTGTCTGATAGCCATAAACTTCCTTTGGCACCTACTATGCCCTTTACATCATGAGTAGTCCAGAGAGTGAGATCATTTCCTCATATTATTTTGACAGCCTCTTACACTAAGATGGTCACTGCCACAACTAATAGTAAACAGTGAGGCTGGCCTTTTTCTAGTACATCAATTTCCTTACTTAGGTATACCACAGGTTGTGGGGTTGTCCCATGAGTCTGAGTAAGGACTCCAAGAGCTATTCCTACTCTCTCTCTGGCATATAAATAAAAGTTTTGTCCTCTCAGAAGGCTTAAGGCTGGAGCTTGAGTTTATTTCTTCCAGTGCCCAGACTTCAAGGTTGACTCCCTCCTCCAGCAGGGGATAACAAATGGGTAACTTGTTCCCTATGTTCACGTAGATAATAGCTCCAGCTTTGGCTAATATGTCCCTCCCTAATAAGGTATTGGATGTTCAGGCATAAGAAGAAAGGCATGTGAAAAGAGCAAAGTCTCCCAGTTACAACTGAGAAGGTGGGAGAAACACTTGGTTACAGGCCAAACCAGGATTCCTCAGATAGTAACAGCCCTTGAGGACAGCTGTCCAGGACAGGAGATTAACACTGAGAAGGCCACACCAGTGTCCTGGAGGAAGTCAATTTCCTGGCCCTCAATGGTTAAATGTACCTGGGGCTCAGTGAGGGTAATGACATGAGCTGGCACTTGACCCAGACACCCTCAGGCCTGTTGTTGGATAATCTGGTTGGGGGCTTCTGGCCTAGAGAAACTTTGTCCTCTGGGGCAGAGAGCCTTCCAGTGATTGCCTCGGTAGAGTGGACATGGGCCAGGGGACAGCTTGTTTCTTGTTGGACAAACTTTTTTAAGGTGTCCTTGCAAACCACACTGGTAAGAAACCCTACCTGGTAATTGGCCTGCTCCATTTTATGTCCGGTCTGAACCACCAAGGTTTGTTTGTCTGAGGGCCATGAATAAGGCTGCAACCTTTCTCTGATCTCACTTTTCCATTTTGGCCAGGTCTTCTTGGTAGCTATTAGAGAACACTGAGGTTGCCAGGTTTACTAATGCCTCCAGATTTTGTTCAGGGTCCAGCGCTGACTTTTGGAGCTTTCTCTTGATATCTTCAGCTGATTGGGTAATAAACTTATCTTTCAGAGTCAATTGACCCTCAAGGGAATCAGGTGACAGAGGAGTAGATTTCCTTAAGGCCTTCCATAGCCACTCGAGGAAGGCAGAAGGATTTTCTTCCTTTCCCAGAGTTAGGATGGACATCATTGCATAGTTCAGGAGCATTTTCCTAATTCTCCTCAGTCCTTCTAGAACACAGGTCAGCAGATGTTTGTGACTCCAGTCCCAATAATCTGAGTTGAGTTTCCAGTGGGGATCCATATGGGGGATGACTTGCTGACTGGTAGGGAATTTGTCCCTTTCTTCAGCTGTCATTCTATCATTTACTTGACTAAGATACCAGGTATCTCCAAACTCTTGGGCTGCAGCTAAAGCCACATTATTTTCATTAAAGTCCAGGATTTGATCTAACATTAGCATAACATCTCTCCAAGTGAGGTGAAAGGTTTGCCCTAGACCCTATAAGATATCTATGTACCTATCAGGATCATCTGAAAACTTCCCTGTGTCTGCCTTGGTCTGCTTCAAATCAGGGAGAGAGAAGGGGACATGTACCCAGGTTGGGCAAAATTCCCCTCCCCCTACATCTTGAAGGGGACATAATCAATAGCCCGGAGTTTTTTTGTGGTCCTCTGTAGATTTCTTTGCTTGTTTCCTTCTGCAGGGGGAAGATTAGAGGTGGCTTATCAGTAATAGAAAGGGGAGCTATACAGAGGCTAGGATATAGGGGTAAGCTAAAAGGTACTCCTGTGGGATGTAAATGGCAAGCTTTGCAAAGCTGTGGATTCTCCTTCAATGAAAATAAAACTTGGACATCAGGTATTTCATTCCACTTGCCTTCTCTCTTATAGAAAAGGTCAAACTGCAAGATAGTATTTTAATTTTTACTTCCCTCAGTTGGCCATTTTTCCCCATTGGAGAGAATATTGAGGCCTGGTAATAGTGAAGAAAAAAATGAGCCACCTCTTTGTCAAGGATTTGTGGATCAAATTGGTCCCGATGGCTTAGGATGCACTGCAATGGTGAGCCTGTTGATGTCTGAGTGTTTCCCATCTGAAAGACAAAACTTCCCACAATTTTGGTTTGTTTGTTTCTTCCCCTGCCCAAGAACTGCAATGGTCCCTGAACCCTGCTGATTGGCATAGTTGCGCTCACTGACCCAGCAGCAGAAACACTAGTTTTCCTCCAAGACCACAAAGAAGATTGAGGAAGGTCAGATTTAGTGTCCCTTACTGATGTATTCTCAATAATCTGCACCCTTTCCTGTCCTCCTAGACCACAAAGAGGACCAAGAAAAATCGGATTTAGTGGCACTTACTGATGCATTCTTGAAAAACTGTTAGAGTCCTAAGCATTCTCCCATTAGTATTGGGACTATGCCCCTGTCCTATAAAGATATTACACCTCAAAAATGAAGTGGAGGGCCATACCCTGAGAGAGGGAAATGTTATCCAGGGTTGGAAGAGTGATGCCTTTTGTCCTCACTTGAATAGGAAGGATACCATTTCTGAAGCTCCCCATACCCTAGCTTCAGGAGTAGCTTTTGTTAGGCCTGCTAGTCTAAAGAGAGATCCTAAAATTCTAGATAAGATGTTCCCCCAGTCCCCCAGTGGGGCTTTGGGCTAAAATTATATCTTTCTGATTGGTAAGCCCGGGTGCCTAAAGAAGGGAATAGAGTCCTGGAGTTTATACTAGAAATCATTCTTAGCAGAGAAACTAGAAAAGCACCAGAGACAGGGAGTGGTTTTCAGAAGCAGGGCTAGCCTCAGAGAAGAGACAAGAGGAAGTTTGTCTGACAGGTATTAGGACCCAGGAAGCAAAGGTCAGATGTCAGGATAGATAGGATAGATGGGCGAGTCTCACTTGTGCAACGTG
This sequence comes from Homo sapiens, assembly GCF_000001405.40. Lineage (NCBI taxonomy): Eukaryota > Metazoa > Chordata > Mammalia > Primates > Hominidae > Homo > Homo sapiens. The sequence goes on along the minus strand of NC_000024.10, from coordinate 9,822,182 downwards.
ACTTTGAGAGTACTACTCATGGCTGCAGCATTAACCAACTTGTTATTGGGACTTTGGAGCTGAATGGCTTTCCTCTCTGTTGACCCCCAGCTCAGCCCAGAGGTATAGGGAAAGCAGAAGCTGGTTGCAGGCAAACCAATGCTCCCAAATCTGAAGAGTTGGGGCTTGTTAGACAGCACTTCCCCAGAAAGCATGACACCCATGTCTTTAGTCCAGCGGCCATGCTAGTCACTTTTAACTGGCTTACAGGTGGCTGGTTTTTTAGCCCCAGAATTCTGAGGAAAAATAGGACAGAATAGCAAGTGAAAGGTGTCTGATGGTACTCACTGCTTGGTGATAGGTGATAGTCCCTTCATGGTTGCCATAATGTGTCTGGAATTTATTCCTTCTAGTGGGTTCTTGGTCTTGCTGACTTCAAGAATGAAGCCGCGTACCTTCACAGTGAGTTTCGCAGCTCTTAAAGTGGCATATCCAGAGTTTGTTCCTTCAGATGTTCAGATGTGCCTAGACTTTCTTCCTTCCAGTGGTCTTGTGGTCTCAATGACTTCAAGAATGAAGCTGCAGACCTTCACAGTGAGTGTTACAGCTCTTAAAGGTGGTGTGGACCCAAACAATGAGCAGCAGCAAGATTTATTGTGAAGAGCAAAAGAACAAAACTTCCAGAGCTTAGAAGGGGACCCAAGAAGGTGGCTGATGCTGGGTGAGGTGGCTAGCTTTTATTCCCTTATTTGGATCCATGCACGACCTGCTGATTGACTCATTTTACAGAGTGCTGATTGGTCCATTTTACAGAGTGCTTATTGTTCCATTTTAGAGAGTGCTGATTGGTGCATTTACAATCCTTTAGCTAGACACAGAGTGCTGATTGGTGCATTTTTAGAGTGATGACTGGTGTGTTTACAATCCTTTAGCTAGAGGGAAAAGTTCTCCAAGTCCTCACTTGACCCAGGAAGTCCAGGTGGCTTCACCTGTCACTAGGACCTCCAAGAAAAAATGGGGATTTAAATAGACATTCAAGCACTTCTGAAATGGTTTCCCCCTGGCTTAAGGGATCTCAAGTAGTCAAAAATCTCAGCTCCCACTTTGTACCTCAAATAACTTAGATTGTACATCTAATGGCTTGACTCTTTTTTTGTTTTTTCATTTCTTTTGAGACAGAGTATTACTCTGTCACCTGGGCTGAAGTGCAATGGCATGATCTTGGCTCATTGCAACCCCTGCCTCCTGTGATTCCCCTGCCTCAGCCTTCCGAGTAGCTGGAAATACAGGTGACCACCACTATGACAGGCTAATTTTTGTATTTTTTAGTGAAGAAAAAGTTTCACCATGTTGGTCACGCTGGTCTCAAATTCCTGACCTCAGGTGATCCCCCTCCTTGGCCTCCCAAAGTTCTAGGATTACAGACATGGGCCACCACATCCAGTCATGTCCTCACTTTTATAGCTTCTGCCCAGGTATCTTGCTTCTAATCCTCCTGACTTTTGGATCTGTCAAGGTCCTCTGAGAGCAGGCACATAGGCATTTCCCATCAGTCTTCATCGTCACTCACTCTAGCAATATACTGAGCTTCTAAATTTTCCTTCCAAGAAGTCAAACTACCCAACTATTTCCCTGACTTCTCAGCTTGATGCCTAAGAGTTTTAATACTAACTTGCCAATCTCTGGAAGCTAATGAAGCCCAGCATCTTGTAGCCCCAGGGTTTTGAAGAGGAAAAATGATTTTTTTTACCATAACTCTGCATGACTATTAAACTGGCTTATTTTTGTAGTTTAAATATTTTTCCCTCCAAGCCTCAGGTTGAAATGTGGTTGTCCACACTATAAATGACACCTAGTGTGGGGCTGGATCCCTCATAAATGGCTTGGCACCCTCACCATGGTTAATAAGTGAGTTTTCCACTCTATTAGTTCCCACAATGGAATTTACATCCAAATAGGTTGTTCAAAAGAGCCTGATACTGTCTCCCATTCTCTCTCTTGCTCTCTCCACATGTGGCATGCCTGTTTTCCTTTACCTTCTGTCCTGAGTGGAAGCCTCATGAGACTCTCACCAGATGCAGATGCTGAGACCACACATCTTTTACAGCCTCCAGAACCAGGAGCCAATGAAAGCTTTTTTCTTTATAAATGTTCCAGTCTCATTCTTTTATAGGAACACAAACAGAATAAGCCATGTATCTCTGGCTGATAATGTGCCTATATCAGTAAGCAGTGGAGCTCAGCATTCACTGTTTCCTTTGTTCCACAGAGGAAAAAAAAAGTGGTTTTCGGTGGTCCCGTGAAATTGTCCTTAAATCCAACCCTTGGCTTACTCTAGCTTTCAGGTTCTCCATGGAAGCACCACAACATTTTAAACTCCTCCCTTAGGACCAGTATTTTTTTTTTTTGAGATTGAGTCTCACTCTGTCACCCATGTTGGAGGGAAGTGGCATGATCTCAGCTCACTTTGACCTCCATCTGCTGGGTTCAAGATATATTCCTGCCTCAACCTTCCAAGTAGCTGGGACTACAGGCACATGCCACCAGGCCTGGCTGATTTTTTTCTTTTTTGGTATGTTTAATAGAGAGGAGATTTCACCATTTTAGCCAGGATGGTCTCAACCTCCTGAACTTGTGATATGCCCACCTCATCCTCCCAAAGTGCTGGAGTTACAGGTGTGAGCCACTGTGATCAGCATAGACCATTCTTTTAACTTGCCTGTTTCTGGGATCTGAAGTGACAGAGTAGGCATTCTGTGATTCTGCTAATTCCTACCCTCTCCACAAAAACAAAAAAACAAACAAACAAAAACTCAGCTCACAAATATCCTTAGATAAGGACACCTTAGTGAATGATTCTATAACTTGGGATTGAATCTATGACACCTTTTTTGACTGTAGAACATAGAATAGCCATACACATAGGATAAAAGAACAGTTTTAATTTGAAGTTTTTTTTCTCCCCAAGCCAGCACAGTGTTGCATATGAAAAACATTTCCCTGGACTCACAGTTTCTTCAGATTGGAGAGAGTTGAAAGTGCACATTCAGGCTTTTCTTTTCCATTTTGCAATTCTTCACATGATGTTCTCTCTAGTCTTACCCAGTGGGTAACATCGAGGGTATCAGACAACTGGGGTCAGGTAGAAACAAACTACATGGATGGGGCTCACATTGACCATGAAAGTAATCTTACTGGTGGCTTTGCATTCCAGCCAGCAGAGGAGAACCACCAGAGAAACTAGGCAACAACATCATTCTGCAGCAACCAACCGTGGTTGATTGGTCTGCCAGGCTCAAATCATTGGCCAACTGCCAAATCCCACCCTGGCTTTCTCTGCAGAACTTCCCAGGCTGTGACAAAGAGGCAGCTTGGTAATTACCCACAGAATGTTCATGTGACCCCACCCAATCTAGGCTATCATACTTTTGACCATCTTAGCCCTGTGTGCTCCACCCATCCCCAGGCTGAATATCAGAGGCAGTTTAGGCAGTTTAGTGGTTAAGGATGAAGTTGCTGGCTCTAACTGGACCCAGAGGGCAAGTAGCTTATATAATAAGCCTTGTTACCTCTGGAAGGATGTTCACTTCTGATATATCTAATGGAAATCACTGGGGTGTTAGAATCTCTAGAGCACATGATTTTATTGAGAAACCGAGAATCCCAGTCTCAGTTCCAGCTCCTCCCTCTGCTGCTCAGAAACAACTACCATGCTGGGGAACTTGCCTGTCTGAGCCAATGAATGTAGTCTATCCAGGCTCTCTCCAGCAGAAAATGGATCTAGACTCTCCAGCCTTTGTTCCCTATTGGGAGAACCCACTCTCAGCTCTGGTTCTTCCCTATGTCAGGGAATTATAAGCTCTTTGAGAAACTTTCTGGGCAAATGCAACTTTCTTAGCCCAGACCAGGTTCTAAATGATCTGTTCAACAGCAATGTCAAGGGAGCTGATTTTCAGCCCCAGAGCCTCCTGCTGCAGGCAGAAAACTAGCCCATTTGTGCAGAGACCTTCCAGTAATCATCACAGCCAAAATTACAGCCATGCCATTCTCTGTTCCACAACAGAATCAAAGTGAACCCGGTCTCAGCTCCAGCCTGTCCAATTTCAATTTCTGAAATTGAATCATTACTAATAAATAACCTACCAGCCAAAATAAAAAAAGCCAAGAAACTGACAGATTCAGGATGCATTCTACCATATATACAAAGAGCTGCATCATATTCCACTGTGTGGGTGATCCTAGATTGTTCAACTGGTTGTGAATGTATGCTTATACACACACACAAAACGCACACAACTAGGTTTCATGTTCTGTCAAAAAGCAGCAATGGAAATGCCATGCTGGTCTCTGGTATTATCTGAAGGCTCATTGGGAAGGACCCATTCCTTTGTTTGCATTACATTTTTGCCAGGAGCCTTGTCCACAATGGCAGTTTTTCAGTGGTTTCTTACAGCTCTGTAGATAACCTGCAATTATGTTTATTTACATGCTTTACAATATCTTCGTTAGTCTTTATCTCTAAACTTGAGGCTGGGTACAATGGCTAAAGTCTATAATTTCAGTACTTTAGGAAGTTGATGTTGGAGGATCCTCTGAGCCCAAAAGTGTTAGACTACAGTGATGTATAATTCAGACTGTTGACAGAGCAAGACCCTCACTCTAAGTAAATAAATAATAAAAATACAACTGATAGTAGTATTTTTGTTTTACCATTTGGAAATACAAATTTCCTTGATCAAATACATGAATATTTGATAGCCACTAACACAACACATTTGCTTGTGCATGGGAGCCGATGCAGGAAAGCAGAGGGATTGGATGCTCTTTTCTTCTTAATGCCTGAACGCGGGTACTATGATGATAAGTGGTGAGTTTGGAACAGGAAGGCTTTCTGCCAGAGCCATCAAAGCTATGGGAATAAAACTCTCCACAAGTCAGGAAACAAAACAATCATTACTGGTAATAGTAAATGGAAAATCTTTTGCAGATTTGATTGCACTTTTAATTTAATATGGACTAGGCAGCATAATACAGACTACCCGGCCCCTAATAGTGTGCAATTTGATGACAAATGTCAATTGTGTTTGGTTGTTGGAAACTAGGTTTCAGCTCTTCCAAGAAGCTTAGTTACATGAGTAATTTTGACAATACTCATAGTTACTTGAGTATTGTCAAATATACACCAGCTTATTTTAACATTTCTGTTAGTCCACCAGAGACCTAAATATTATTAATATTATTTTAAACATAAAATATTAATGTAAACATAGTTCAAAATTCATGTGGATAATGAGTAAAATCATGTTTTTATTTTTATTCATTTCCTTTTGGTTTCATGCCTTTCATTCTCTTTTTCTCCCTCCCTTCTTCCCTCCCTCCCTTCTCCCTGTCTTTCTTTCCTTCTTTCCTTCTTTCTTTCCTTCTTTCTTTCTTTCTTTCTTTCTTTCTTTCTTTCTTTCTATCTTCTTTCTTTCTTTCTTTCTTTCTTTCTTTCTTTCTTTCTTTCTTTCTTTCTTTCTTTCTTTCTTTCTTCCTTTCCTCTATCTCTGTATCTCTGTTTAATATTTTTAGATGGAATCCTGCTCTGTTGCCTAGGCTGGAGTGCAGTGGCATGATCTCAGCTCACTGCAACCTTCCCATCCTGGGTTCCAGCAGTTCTCCAGTCACACCCTCCCGAGTAGCTATGACTGCAGGCATGTGACAACAATCTTAGCTTTTTTTTTTTTTTCTGCACTTTTAGTAAAGACCAGGTTTCACAATATTTGCTCAGGCTGGTCTCAAGCTCCTTTCCTCAAGCCATCCACCCACCTTAGCCTCTTAAAATGCTGGGATTTCAGTCATAAGCCACAATGCCCACCCAGTTTTATGTGTTTCTTTTCTCAGTGATCTCTCCTGTCTATTTTATTATTTTATTTCATTTTTATTTCTGAGACAGTGTCTTGGCTCTGGTGCCCAGGATGGAGTGCAGTGGTGTCATCTTACTTCACCGCAAACTCTGTCTCAGCGTTTCAGTGGATTCTCCTGCATCAGCCTCCCACATAGATGAGATTATATTCATGGGACACCAAGCCTGGCTAGCTTTGCTATGATATTAGACATGGGATCTTGCCATGTTGGCCAGGCTTATCACAAACTCCTGACATCAAGAGATCCACCCACCTTGGCTTGCCAAATTGCTGGGAGTGCAGGTGTGAGCCACCACGTCCTGCCTCATATCTGTTTTAAAGCTCAGTTGATAAGCAATATTGTGTTCCTGGAATGCTTTATGATTATGAAACCACTATAGCACTGTTATTTAGCCCCTTTGGATAAAATATGATAACACACAATACATACAGACACAGACACAGACACAGTCAGTGATTAAAGATCAGTGTAGGCCAGGACCTAAAATGATATATGAGTTGCTGCAGTTGACTAAAATTAAAGCAGACCAGAGTTGGCACATACCCAGAAAAGAGATGTGAACAGAGTCTTTCAAAGTACTCTGTCAGATACATGTTAGATTATTCTCCAGCCATAGCAAAGGGAAATTAAATATCTGTTGTGTTTAGAATAGTCTTGATTGTTTGACTTTTCCAAGGTATTAGCATTCATGAAGTTGGCCTTTAAAGCTCTCTAAAATTACTCAAATCAGTAGACAACTCAGTTTTTCTAGGAGTCTAAAGTGCTTTTCAAAATTATCAGAAAGTTAGTGGCTTCAAACAATAATTATAATTTATTAACTCTCAGTCTCTAAAATCTTCCACAGTCTCTCAGCCAAATGATTGTGGTTCAGGGGCACTCAGGAGGATACAATCTAGTGATGGCTCAGGATGGGGACATTGCCAGGTGTCTTCTTATTTCCCTGGTGCCATGGCTAGCATAACTCAAATAGTGGAGGTTGGGCTGCTGAGATCCTCAGGCATCTCCTTTTATTTCTATGAGTCTCTCCATGGGATGTCCATTCTGCATAGTGTTATCAGGGTGTTAGACTTCATGATGTACTGGTCTGGGGCTCCTGAGGGGTTTGTCCCCATGACAGCAGGAGACTTAGGCAGAGCTGTGTCACCTTTTCTAGCCTAGGCCAGAGGTGGCCCAATATCCAGAAAATGCTTTCACTGTTTTCTATTAATTAGAAGCAAGTACTGTGTTCTGTCACATCAGGAATATTTTCAAATTGGTTTGCAAAGAATTTCAAAGTGTGTTTTAGATCATTACAGTGGCCATGCCTAATAATTACTTATTTTTATAAGTGTTGGATGGGTTTTACCCAATGTAATATCAGATACAGACTTTTAAGCTTGAAACCTGTGTCATAGCTCTGAACATTTGGTTGTATGTTGAAATAACTCTCAAGCAAAAATTGATTTTGAAATTAGCACTATAAATAAGTTAAATAAATGAGGTAAAGTCATAAATATCTGCATGAAATGCTTATAAACAGGTCAGCCTTAAAAATGTCATGAAGACTAATATGCCACCCTTTTATTATTTCTATGGATATTACTTGGACTGGAGGACAAGGACTCAGGGGTATGCTGGTCAATCTCTGCACCTGGAAACAGTGGCTGGGGCACCAGGAGTAATACTTTGAGCCATGACCATGTAGTGAGGACAAGGAGTCCATCTGGGTTAAGGAGAGTGTCACTGTATATATATATATATATATATAAACACACACTATATATAAAAACACTATATATATAACACTATATATATATATAAAGCACAATATCAGAAACTCAGTAGTCATAGTGAAATCAAAAAATAATCACAGTCAATTTGATCTCATACCTAGACTGAAATATGAAACTTCAAAAGAAAAGAATGTTAAGAACTTTCGGCTTGTCAAAATTTTCCTACATAGATAAAATTATTGGTGACTTTCTCTCACTAGAGAACATAAACAAAAATCGATGTTTTGTATATGTGTAAATGAAAATATTTTTATTTCTATCAGTTATGACATGCAAGTAATAAAGTGAAAGTACAATAATAAATAATAAATTATATAAGGAAATTTCTGTGTCAAAAAATTTCATTGACTATTAATTTTATAAAACCATAGAGAATGCTTCATGAAACTACATTATACAGTACTTTTTAGTATTTCACTTACATTTTAAATAATCAACAAATTAAAGGAAATTCTGAATCATTATTTCTTACCAATATCATTATTCTACTCAAGAAATTCTTCTGATATTAAATATTTTAAATAAAACATTAAAAACAAATTGTATTCACTGATATCAGCTTTTGATGAAATAATACTTCTGTATTTGTAATCATGTTAAATATATCTTTCTCCTCACAGTGGATCTTTTGTAACACCAGTGTTATTATTTTCTCTGATACAAACCCTGTGATATCTCAAGGCTTTACTGTGTCCATACATTACATACCTCCAGAGAGTAGGATTCAAAGAGATGGAAAAATTATATTTGTGACCAAATTCTAGGAAAGGGAATGATAAAATGGGAGAATAATTTCTAAATTTCTAACTGTTCATCAATGGATTTGGATATATTTAGGTATAGACAAATATTTGCACACTGCAAGTTTGCACATGTGTATTTAAATTTATATGAGATACCCATAATGTATGGGTTGTGTAATCTCTTAATTAATTCTCAATTTTACATGTGGCAAATTGATAAGAGTTTACCCTCATCAAATACGCAATTTGAAGTACTATACTCCATTTGATGTAAAGCCAATAAAATCTCTGTCAACATTCATTTCAATTAATCCAATAATGTTAACTGCTGATAACTTCATTCTCCCTGTCCCCTGTTAACAGCTGAAAGTTGATTCTCACCTTAATTCAGCACTCAGGGTGTCTTCTTCAAGAGACTGTCACCTTGCTTTGGATTGTGACCTCTGACTCCACCACTTTCTTCCTGTAGCAGTCCTACCTTTGTGTATTTAATGAACTTTGTACATCGTTAAAAAATAAAAACGCAGTGAAATGTCAGGCCATGCTGTGAAATGTTCCAGTGTTTCTATATCTCAAATTGAACTTTCATGTTATAGAAGATAAGAAAAACAATTCATTTATTAGTATTCAGTCCAATGCACCCTTTCTTATTAATACGCCAAACCTGTCCCTTCAAAGCACTGACATTCAAGCACAGCTAGACGTATCAAAATTTATTCTCAACAATAACCATTATGTTAATAACTGTTGCCCAGATCTGGACCCTGCCTGTGGAATCTTTGGTTGGAAATTGCTATTATGGGTCAAACTAAGAGAATGACTATTTTTTGGCATAATTACTGCTGTCATCTTCCTGAAAAATATCACGTTAGATGGTAGCTTTTAGTTAGATCCATTCTATTAATTTTTAATATCCATCATTTATGATATTGCACAAGTAAAGACCTTTGATAACTTAAATTGTTAGCTGAGAAGTGACTAAAGTAACTCACAACAATTCAGACATTCATTTACCTACTAGAAATGCCATACATCATTAACTTCCGCTGAAAACAAAGTTGAAAAATTACAAGTGCTAAATTGTTTACTAAAGTATGTATTTCAGGGTATTTTATAAAACTATCCATGCCATGTATGATGCTTCACCAGCAAGGATAAAGCTTTAGCATATATTAAAAATAATAGTCTTTGGTTCTTAATACGTCACTACATTTGTTGTCTTCATAGCCTCAGCACAAAAACATCCATGTATGTGACTTTCAGCTGAGTTGACTACCAGTTATTAGGATTTAAGTAAACAGAATAAAAATTTCAAAATTTGGTGACCAAATATGAGAAATCACACTCTCACCATAAGTAGTAATTATTCTCAAGTGTCACCGCAAATGCAAGATTGAAAGAAGAAATTAAGTCTAATATATCGCAATATTCTAAAATCTAAAATTTCGTCTTTGAGGTCTGGTGTTTCATGCCTGGAATTGCAGCTCTCTGGGAAGCTGAGAAGGGAGAACTGCTTCAAACCCAGAGTTTGACAGCAGCATAAGCAACACAGCAAGAACTATCTCTAAAATGTAACTAATTATTTAATTAGTTAAATTGGGCATGATGGCACACATCTGCTGTTCTACTTACTCAGGAGTTCACAGTTATAGTTAGCTGTGATCACACACTGCACTTCAGCCTGGGCCATGAGGCAAGACTTTTGCCTCTACAAAATGATTCAATATAAAAAACAAAATAAATTAAAATAAAAACATTTTCAGGTGTTTTTTGGAAGTTTGTATAATTGCTCCAAAAGTAGAGACATTGTGTAAATTTGAGCAGTCAATGGAGGAATGGGCAGTGAACATTGTTTATATTGTTTTCCAAAAATTAGGATAAATATATTAGAATATTATATATAAATAAAATATAAAAAGGTTATATATCTAATAACCTTTTATACAATAAATATTGACAAATGTCAAGCCATTGTGTTTATAGACTTCTCCTTCAAAATATTCATAGTTTAATTGGAGAATGAAGAAAAGAGCAATAATTGGAATGTACTCTGGCAAGCATTACTATATACACAGTTTAGTAACTTAGTTGGAGGGGAAAGAAGTTCTTAACTGGGTTTACAGGGGTGTGGAGAACCTTCTTAGGGCCGGAACAATTGGCTGCATCTGATAGGATACAAATTTGCAAGAATAATGTTTGGGAGAAAAACATTGTAGAGAAAAAACAAACATCCTTTCTGTAAATGATGGAAGTACCAACAGTGCATATGACGCCATCTGCTGAATGCTTAGACCTTTCTAGCTCAATAAATATTTCTTGAATGAATCCATGAGTGGAAGATATTGGGAAGAGGATTCTGGAAGGGATTTTCAAAATCCTATAAAGGAAAGGTAATTAGCCTGGACTTTGCAATTTTGCTTGCTTTTCTTTGTGATATTTTTATGTTCACAACCTCACAAGCTGTTTAACTTTTTGGTCTTTTCATAAACATCATGAATGAATCATTCCTGAGAGTAATTCTCTCTTGATCTCTTGATACTGTATTTGTCTCTGATACTCCTTTGTGGGAGGCCCTGGGTTTGCATGCCCACAGCTACATCACTCCCCTCTCCCTGCCACTGTTCTGTTTCATTTCATCTGCAGGTCCATTCTCATTGTCACGGGGCTCCTTCAGTGGGTTGTTGCTGGATGGGACTGCCTGTCACCACAGATCTTTTGGCTGCAAGAGGTTTCAGAGGGTAAAAAAGACTTTGGGTAGATTGGCTGAGCTCCTGGTTGTGGGTTGTGGACATGTCGTGGGGGATGAGCATGTTTGCATTTTGCAGGAGGATTTTGCATCCTCTGACAAGAAGCATCGAACATTCCTTGGACTCCAGCACAAGGCAGCTCGTTCTCTCAGGCCAGCACTGATTTTTCTTTGCTTTCCTAGAGATTCCACATTGTCCATCAACAGCACTACTGGACACTATTTTCAGGTTTGCAATCGCCACAGATGGCCTCTGAGATGCTGTTTCAACCTCATCTGCACCCAAGAGAGGCCAGTCCGAGGTGTGAGAACATTGATCCAACTTTGACTTGCCTTTTTCATGGTGCATGCCTTTCCCAGAGAGCCCCTGCAAGGCCCATGATGAAGGGAGGCAGTGAGGTCAAGAGCCCAGCCATCATTCACTGACACCTGCCTCTGGGGTCTCAGGTATGATTCTATCACCCAAAGAACCTTGAGCAACACACCAGACTATATTTCAATTTCCATGAGACCAGATTCTGGCACACAGCTTCTCAGGATTGGAGTCAGAAGAGCAGTTTCTAGTGATGACCTCACAGTCACAAAAGGCCTTTCTTTTCAGCAGTACCCGACCACCAAGACAGCTCGGAGGATCGCTGAGGTTGAGAGATTTAGGGTTTGGCAGTGGGTTTTCACAAGCAGCCTTTTTCCAAATACCAGGCCATCTCGGCCTTTAACAATATTCTCTGCTTAGGCAGGCTGATAGCTCTGACAACTGGGCTCCCGAGTCTGACTCACAAATGTGGATGTGCTAGTCTCAGAGCCCCAAGTCTGATTTTGAGCTCTGGCTAGTGTCACCATGAATGCCACAATTGCCTAGTGACAAGTCTCTGTGGCTTGCCAGAAAAGAATACCTCCGTGGAAGTGTGTCAGCGGTGGACTCTCACCTGTCTTTTTTGTGGGATCCACAGTATAGTCCCATGATCCTAGGAGAAAGCAGACGTGAGCCAGCCTGAAGAAACGTCAAGCAGAGCCCTAGGAATAAACTGCGACATCCCTAAAAATCCAAAAGAAGCTGCAGAATTTCCAAGGCTGGCCTAGATGTTGTAGTGGTGAGTCTTTTTGAAATTTACCCCACTGTGATGTCTAGGAGCAGCCTGTCTCTGTTTTCTGGGGTTGCTCTCTCTCAAGTGGGGCTTCCCACAGAATCACGCAGCATCAGGAGCTGCCAGGCTATGTGTTTCGGGGAGAGTGTTGTGAGTGTTGGATGTCTCTGTGTGTGTGGTATTTTGTGTTTGTGTGGGTGTGTGTCTGTCCCTGTAAGTGGAGACTGCTTAAAGGAATATGGCTAATGCCCTTCAGCACTTCTTTGTTTTGAATATCAAAACCGTTTAATGGCCTGTCTGTGTGGTTCTGCTCAGCTCTGGGGCTCCGTGTTCTCTATTTCTATGAAAATGATAAATCCCCAGTGAATTGGAAGGTGGGCCAAGACCGGCTGGCATCCAAATCACCTCCCCATGCAAATAATAGTAAGAAATAATAATAATAATCCTCTAGAAAGAAAAGGAGCACACCACTCTAAAAAAGTGACATCTGCCAGTGTTTCCTTGTCCTGAGTCCAACCCAGGGAGAGGTACTAGCAGTCTTGTCCGCAGGGACCGTTGAATTTACCTCGAATTTGGTTCACAGCTGAGTGGGTGCTTCATGTTGTGAGGTGACACTCCTCCATCGTCTTGGGATTTCATCCTGGAACATACGGTATGAGCACCAATAAGGTCAGATAAGGATGAGGATACAACCTGAGCCCCCACGAGACCACGACCCACAACTTGAAGTGCAGCCAGCCTACCTGAAGTCCCTATTGCTTTCTAAAACCCTTGGCAGCTAAATAATCTGTGATGAAAGACAGTCCCATCCCCCAACAGCCCAACAAAGCCCCTCTACAAACAGAAGGCCATGCAGATGAAATGAATCAGAGGCCAGATTACCAGTAAAAATCCAGACACTGCTGCCTGCTTCTCACTCAGCAGATATCATGCAGCACCCCCAATAGAAGTGATAGAACTAGAGTTTCCTTGTCGGTGGCTGTAACTCGAATTTACAATTTTAAAAGTATGAAAGCTGTCCAGCCATTAATACATTACAGTGGATAGAAGGAAATGCTTCCACAATGGATTCCTATGAGGGTCATTCTCCATGAACTGGGACACATTTAGTGTTGAAGTCATTTATCCAGACCCAGGAAACCCTAGGCCAACAAGGAACATGGAAGTCAGGAAAAGAAGAAGCAAGCGTGGAGGTCACATCCCAAGCAGCATGAATCCATTCCAGTCCCAGTTGGCTCCAGATATGAAAGCCCTCAAATCGGGTGTTTGCCAGGATGGCCCCAGTTTGCAATCCAAATATTTCTTGCACGTTGGAGTACTCCCACTCAAACACAGGGCTGCTGTGGATTAATTGTGCAATTGAGGGAACTCGGGGAAGAAGTTTGTCATACCTTTGGTGACATTTTTTTTTGGCAGGGGAAGTTGTGGGACCCCATCCACTCCTCTCCAGATTGTATTTACACTCTACTTGACCTTAGTGCTGCTCCCACTCCATGTCCCAGGGTGAAATCCCTAGACGATGGAGGAGGGCCAACTCATAACGTGAAGCACCAGCTCAGCTGGTAGCTGAATTTGAGGTAAGTACATGGGGCTTGGCAGACAAGACGGCTAGTGTCTCTTTGTGTGTTGGCATCAGCACAATGAAACACCAGTAGATGTCTGATATTTTGGTGTGGTGTGCTGCTCTTTTATTTATTTATTTATTGTTTATTTATTTATTTTTAGAAGAGTAGCTTTTTCTTGCAGGGGAAGGTGATTTGGACGCCGGCGGGTCTCCACCCACCTCTCAATTCAGTGTGAATTAATGACTCAAAGAAAATTAAGGAACACGGAGCCCTGCAGCCCGAGCAGAGCCACATAGACTAGTCACCAAAAGGTATGGAGACAAAAAAAAAAAAAAAAAAAAGAAGCACTGAAGCGAGGTAGACACAATCCTTTAAGCAGACTCCACTTACAGGCACACACACACACAAACACACAATGCCAGACACACACACACAGACATCAGACACTCACAACACTTACCCAAAAACACACAGTTCAGCAGCTCCTGACACTGCGTGGTTCTGCAGGAAAGAGCAACAATGCAACCATGGGGAACACCGGCAGGCTACACCTTGAAATCTCAATGGGGCAACTTTCAAAAAGACTCTACCCTACAATGTCTAGGCAGGCGTGAGGAAACCCGCAGATTGTTTTGAATCCTTAGGGATTTTGCTTTTTATTCTTGAGGTTATGCTTGAAGTTTCTTGAGGCTGGTTCAAGTCTGCCCTCTTCTAGATTCATGGAACCATCCCGTGAATTGCACAGAGAAGATAGGCAAGAGTCCACCGCCAACACATCTTCATGGAGGTCTCCTTCTCTGCCAAGCAGGAGGAACTGATGCTAGGCAATGGTGACATTTATTATGATGCTAACCAGAGCTCACAATCAGGCCTGGTGCTCTGAGACTTGCACCTGTGGGTTTGTGAGACAGACTCAGGTGACCGTCTAGCTGAGCTGTCAGCCTGACCTAAGCAGAGGAAAACAGTACAGGTAGAGCCGCCCTGGTATCGTGAAAAAAAAAAAAGTGCTTCCTGCCATTATGCACTGAAGGATGCTAAAATTCTCGACCTTAGGGCCCCTTCGGGATGTTTACGTATTCAGGCCATGCTGGAGGAGGAGGTGTTTCAATACTGTAAGGTGGTGGACAAACACTGCTCTTCTGACTCCATTTCTGAAAAGGGCTGCATGCAAGAATCAGATCCTATATGAATTGGAATATAGTCTGGTGAGTTGTTGAAGGGTTTTTGTGTGATGGAATTATACCTCAGACCCCAGAGGTGTGGATCAATAAAAGATGGCTGGGCCCTTGTCTTCATTGTCTCTCTGCATTTTGGGCCTCACAGGGGCTCTCTGGGAAACGTAGGAACCACAACAAAGGCAAGTCCAGGGTGGAACAGTGTTCTCATACATCAAACTGTGTTCTCATGGGTGCAGATGAGGTTGAGAAATTTTCTCAGAGGCTTTCTGTGGTGATTACAAGCCTGAAAAATGCCAATATTGTTGTTGAGGGGCAATGTGGACCCAGCATGAAAGCAAAGATAAATCAAGGCTCTCCTGACAGAATGAGTTGACTTGTGCTGGAGTCCAAGAAATGTTCAAAGATTCCTGTGAAAGCATCCAAAATTCTCCTGCAAAGTGCAAACAATCTCAGCCACCACAATGAGACAACAGTTCACAATATGGAGTGCAGCCAGCCTAACTGAAGTCCATTTTGCTCCCTGAAATCAGTGGCATCAAAAAGATGTGTGGTGAGAGGCAGCCCATCCAGCAACAGCCAAATGCAAGACCCCCTCCACAATAAAAAAGAACATGAAAATGAAAGGAAACAGCTAGATTACCAGGTAAAAGCCAGACACGGCTGCCTGCTTCTCATAGTACAGGAATCATGCAGCCCTTTGTTAGAAGTGGGAGAACAAATTTTCCCTGTTGCTGGCTCTAACAGAAATTTATGGTTTTAAAATTATCGCAGAAGACCGGTTATAAAAACATGACAGTGTTTAGAAGGAAACACGAAATGCACTTTAATGAGGGTCATTTTTCATGAACAGGGAAATGTTTAGTGTGGAAATCATTGAGCAAGACCCAGGAAAGCCTAGGCCAATGAGTAACCTGGAAGACAGGGAAAGAAGAGGCAAGTGTGGAGGCCACATCCCACCCAGCATCATTCCATCTCACTCTCCCATTTGGCTTCGGGTATTAAAGCCCTCAAATGGGAAGTGTGCCAGGTTGGCTCTAGTTTGCACTAAAAATGTTTCCTGCAAGTTGGAGTACTCCCACCTGAACACTGGGCCATGGTGTGGACTGCTTTTGCAACTAAGGGAATGTGGGGATGCAGTTTGAAGCACCTCTGTGTCCTCAGCCTTCACCTTTTTTGCTGGTGAGGATACAGGACCCCATCAACCACTCACCAGATTGTATTCTTACCCCTATCTGACCTTATTGCTGCTCACAGTCTCTGCCCCAGAAAGAAATCCAAAGACGATGGAGAAGTGCCCCCTGATGACATGAAGCACCTGCTCAGCTGGAAGCTGAATTTGAGAGAAATTCAATGGGCTCTGTGGACAGGACTGCTAGTGTCTCTCTCTGGATTGGCTGCATTACAAATGAAACACTGAGAGGTGTCTCTTCTTGGGTGTAATGTTCTCCTCTTTTTTTTTTTCCTAGAAGAGTGCCTTTTTTTTTGCAGGGGAAGATGATGGGGGCCCTGGCTGGTCACAACCAGCCTACCTATTCATCGCTGATTCATGATCCACAGAAACATAAAGAACAGGGAGCCCTGCAGCCCAAGAAGAGTCACACAGACAGGCCATCCAAAGGTTAAAACACTAAAAAATATAAAGCACCGCAGTGTGTTAGCCACATTGCTTTAAGCAGAAACCACTTACAGGCACACACACACAAATGCACAAAGCCACACACACCCACAGATATCCAACACTCACAACACTCCCACAGAAACACATAGCCTGGTAGCTTCTGAGGCTGCATTGTTCTGCAGGAAGCCCCAACTGAAAGAGAGCAACACCAGGAAACACAGGAGGTCTGAACCTAGAAACCACAGTGGGGCACATTTCAGTAAGTCTCACCCCTACAGCATCTAGGCCACCCTGAGGAATCCTGCAGATTTTTATGGATCCTTAGGAATTTTGTGGTTTATTTCTGGGGCGCTGCTTGACATTTCTTCAGACTGGCTCACATCTGCTCTCTCCTTGGATCATGGAATTATCCCATGGGTAAGACAGAGAAGATAGGTGAGGTTCCATCACTGACACACCTCCACAGAGGTCTCCTCCTCCACCAAACTGCAGGGACTTGTTGCTGAGCACAGGCCAAATTCATTGTGATGCTAACCACAGGTCACAGCTCAGGCCTGGTTCCCTGAGACTAGCACATGTGTGTTAGCAAGGTGGACTGAGCTGTCAGCCTGCCTAAGCAGAGGAAAATGGTATGGACAGAGCCGGCCTTGTATTGGGAAAAAGACTGACTGTAATAACCCACTGCAGGACCCTAAAAGTCTCACCTTAGGACTCCTATGACCATCACCATGGTTGGGTCACGCTGGAGGAAGAACCATTTCATGACTGTGAGGTTATCGCTGGAATATGCTCTTCTAACTCCATTCCCAAGAAGGGCTGTGTGCAAGAATCAAGTCCCACGTGGATTAGAATATAGTCTGGTGAGAAGTTGAGGGGTCTTTGGGTAATGGAATTATACCTGAGACCCCAGAGGCAATCTCAGGCACACACAAACACACACACACAATGTCACACACACACAAACATTTAACACTGCAAGGTGGAGTAGTGTTCTCACAAATCGGAATGTCCTCTCACGGGTGCAGAAGATGTTGAGACAGTGTTTCAGAGGCCCTCTGTGGTGATGGAAGCCTCAAAAGGGTATCCAGTAGTGCTGTTGAGAGGCACTGTGGACTCTCAATGAAAGCAAAGGAAAATCAAGGCTTGGCTGAGAATGAGGTGCCTAGTGCTGGAGTATAAGAAATGTTCAGTGATTCCTCTCAAAGGACCCAAAAGCCTCCTGCAAAGTGGAAATATCATCAGCTGGCACAAGGAGACAAGGACCCACAACCTGGAGTGCAACCAACTTTCCCGAAGTCCCTTTTCCTCTCTGAAATCCCTGGCAGCTCATAATCTGCAACAAGAGCCAGTCCCATCAAGCAACAACCCAATAAAAGAGTACCCCCCACAATAAGAAGGCAGTGCAGATAAAATAAAACAGAGGGTAGATTACCAGGTAATAACCAGACACAGCTGCCTGCTTCTCATCCTACAGGAATCATGCAACCCTTCAACGGAAGTGGGAGAAGTGTTTCCTTGTTGGCGGTTGTAACGGGAATTTATGGATTTAAAAGCATCAAAGCTATCCAGACATTAAAACATGACAGTGTTTAGGAGGAAACACTCACACATTGGATTCCCATGAGGGTTGTGCTCCATTAACTGGGAAATATTTAGTGTGGAAGTCCAGACCCAGGAAACCCTAGGCCAACAAGGAACATGAAAGTCAGGAAAAGAAGAGGCAAGGGAGGCCACATCCCACCCAGCATCAATCTATTCCACTCCCACTTGGCTCTGGGTATGAAAGAGGTCAAATCGGGAGTTTTCCAGGGTGGCGCCAATTTGAGCTCCAAATGTTGTTGCATGCTGGAGTACTGCCACCTGAACACTGGGCCACGGTATTGACTGCTTATGCAATTAAATGAATATGGGGATGGAGTTGGGAGCACTTTCTGTGTCATCTGTCTTCATTTTTTTCCAAGTATAGTTATGGGACCTCATCCATCTCTCACCAGATTGTATCCTCACCCCAATCTGACCCTGTTTCTGCTCACTCTGTCCCAGGATGATATTCCAAGAAAATGGAGGATTGCCCCCTCACGATATGAAGCCCCTGCTTATCTGGGATCTGAATCATAATCCAGAGAAAAATAAAGAATATGGGCCCTGCAGCTTAAGCAGAACCACACAGGTCGTGAAAAGATTGAGAAACTCAAAACAAAAAGAAGGGCTGAAGTGCATTAGCCACATTCTTTTAAGGAGACTCCACTTACGGGAACACACATACACACACACACACACACACACACACACACACACACACACACACAAACTCAGAATTCCACCTGCTGCAGGAAGAGGCTTTTTAAGACTGTGGGGTGGTTGCAGGCATTACTATTTGGACTCCATTCTCGAAAAAGGCTGTGTGCAAAAAATTGGGCCTCATGGAGAGACTATAGCCTGGTGTGTTGTTCAGAGTTCTTTGGGTGATAGAATCTTTCGTGAGACTGCAGAGGCAAGTGTCAGTGAAAGATGCCCGGGCTCTTAACCTCAATGCCTCCCTTCATCCTAGGCCTGGAAGGGGCTCTCTGGGAAAGGCAGGAACAGTGACAAAGGCAAGTTCATTGTGGAGCAGTGTTCTCACACCTCAGTCTGGCTTCTCACAGCCATCTGTGGAAATGGCAATCCTGAAAAGTATGTCTAGTAGTGTTGTTGAGGGGCACTGTGGATTTTTCATGAAAGTAAAGAAAAATCAAAACTCATGTGAAAGAATCTGCAGCATTTTACTGCGGTTAAAGCAATGTTCAATGATTTCTGTCAAAGGACCAAAAAGTGTCCTCCAATGTGCAAACAACCTCAGCTTCAACAATGAGACAACAACCCACAATCTGGAGCACAGCCAGCCTACCTGAAGTCATTTTTGCTTTCTGAAATTCCTGGCAGCTAAATAATTGTGATGAGAGGCAGTCCCATCCACCAACAGCCCGATGAAAGAACCCTTCCACAATGAGAAGGTTGTGCAGATGAAATGAAACAGAGGCTGGATTACCAGGCAAAAGCCAGACATGGTTGCCTCTTTCTCATCCCACAGGAATCATGCAGCCATCCAATAAAAGTGGGAGAACAAGAGTTTCCTTGTTAGCAGCTATAGCTGGAATTTATAGTTTTAAAACTATCAAAGCTGCCCAGTCTTTAAAACTTGACAGTATTTTGAAGGAAACAATCACACAATGGATTCCCACGTAGGTCGTTCTTCATGGAGCAGAAAACGTTTAGTATGGAAAATGGTGAGCCACACCCAGAAAACCCTAGGCTGACAAGGAACACCAAAATCATGAAAAGAAGAGGGAAGTGTGGAGGCCACATCCCACCCAGCATCAGTCCATCCAACTCCCATTTGACTATGGGTATGAAATCCCTCAACTTGGGAGTTTGCCAGGATGGCCCAATTTTGCATCTGAAATGTTCCCTACATATTGGAGAACTCCCACATGAACACTGTGCCATGTTGTAAACTGCTTGAGAAATGAAAGAAATGCTGTGGTGCTGTTGGAAGCAACTTTTGTGTCAACTATCTTCACATTTTTTGCAGGTGAATGTGTGGGTCTCTTTCCACCCCTCATCAGATTGTATCCCAACCCCTATTTAACCTTGTTGTTGTTCACATTCTCTATCCCAAAATGAAACCACAAGATGATGAAAGAGTAACCCCTCATGACCTGAAGCACCTGCTAGGCTGGGAAATGAATTCGAAGTAAATTGAAGGTGGACATGACTATTAGTGTCTCTCTATGGGTTGGCCCCAGGACAATGAAACACTGGAAGATGTCTCTTTGTGTTTGTGGTGTGCTTCTCTTCTTTCTAGAAGAGTGGCTGTTTTACAGATGAGAGTAATTTGGATTCCGGCAGGTCTGAGCCAGCATCCCAATTCACTGCAGATTCAAACTCCACAAAATGATAAAGAAAAGGATGGACAGCAGCCCAAGCAGAGCCACAGACAGGCCAACAAAATGTTGGAAGACTGAAAAAAAAAAAAGTGCTGCAGTGCATTAGCCACATTGCTTTAAGCAGATTCTACTTATAGGTGCACACACACACACACACACACACACACACACACACACAAAGCCACACACATACACAGACATTCAACATTCACATTACTTTCATAGAAACACACATCCTGGCAGCTTCTGAGGCTGCGTGGCTCTGCACGAAGCCCCATCTGGGAGATAGCAACTCCGGGCAACACAAATGGGCTGTACCTAGAAATCACAGTGGGGCAAATTTCAAAAAGACTCACCCTTACAATGTCTAGGCAGGTCTGATGCATCCTGCAAATCTTTTTGAATCGTTAGGAATTCCACAGTTTATTCCTGGGGCTCTGCTTGATGTTTCTTTAGGCAGGCTAATGTCTGTCCTCTCCTAGAACTATGGGAATATCCTGTGGACCCCACACAGAAGAAGGCAAGAATCCATGGTCTGTGCACCTCCACGAAGGGCTACTTCTCTACCTTATGGCAGGGACTTGTCGCTAGGCAATGGTGGCATTCATTGTGATGCTAGCCAGAGCTCACAGCTCAGGCCTGGTGCCCTGAGACTAGTGCATTGCATTGGTGAGGCAGGCTCTGGTGTCCTGTTGTCAGAGCTGTCAGCCTTCCTAAACAGAGGAAAATATTATAGGCAGTAGTGGCCTGATGTCAAAAAAAATGATGCCTCTGATAAACTCTGCAAAACTCTAAAAGTCTCAGCATTACCGCACCTTCAGGCAGTCTTTCTGGTCAGGTCCCACTGAACAAGGCAGTGTTTTGAGACTGTGAGGTGGTCCATGGAAACGATATTCAGACTCCATTCCTGAAAGAGGCTGTGTCAAAGAATCTTTGCCCATGGGGATTGGAATATAGTCTGATCAGAGGTTGAGGGGTCTTTGGATGATGGAATCATACCTGAGATTCCAGAGGTGGGTGTTAGGAAAAGATGGTCATGCCTTCGACCTTGATGCTTCCCTTCATTTTGGCCCTTGCAGTCCTGTCTCAGAAAGGTAGGAACCACAACACAGCAAGTCCAAGATGAAGCAGTGTTCTTACACCTCGGACTCTCTTCTCACAGGTGCAGAAGAGGTTCAGACAGTGTCTTCAAGGCCAACTGTGGTGATTACAAGCCTGAAAAGGCTGTCCAGTAGTGCTATTGAGAGGCACTGTGGATTCTCCATGAGAATAAAGATAAATCAAGGCTCAACTGCTAGAATGAGCTGCCTTGTGTTGGAGTCAAAGCAACATTCAAAGATTCCTGTCAGCACACAAAAAGCCTTCTCCAATTTGCAAAAAACCCAGCCTCCAAAAACAGACCTGACCCACAACCTGGAGTGCTGCCAGCCTACTCAAAATCCCTTTTGCTCCTTGAAATCTTTGGCAGTGAAAAGATCTGCGGTGAGAGGCAGTCTCATCCAGCAACAACCCAATGAATGTCACACACAGTGAGAAAGGATGTGCAGATGCAATAAAATATATTCTAGACTCCCACTCAAAAGCCAGTGGGGCTGCCTGTTTCTCATCCTATAGGAATTATGCAGCCCTCCAATGTAACTGGGTGAACAAGTTTCCTTGTTGACTGAAGTAATGGGAATTTATGGTTTTAAAAGTATCACAGCTGCCCAGTCATTAAAACATGACAGTGTTTAGAAGGAATCACTCTTGCAATGGATTCCCATGAGGGTTGTTTGCAATTAACTGAAAAATTTTAAGTATGGAAGACGTTGAGGCAGACCCAGGATACCCTAGGATGATGAGAAACATGGAAGTCAGAAAAAGAAAAGGGAAGTATGGAGTCCACCTGCCACCAAGCATCAACCCATCCCACTCCTATTTGGCTCTGGGTATGAAAGCCATAAAATCAGGGGTTTGCCAGCATGGCCCCAGTTTGCATTCCAAATGTTCCCTTTGCATTTGAATACTCCCACCTGAATACTGGGCCATGTTGTGGACTAGTTGTACAGTTAAAGGAATGTGGGTATGCTGTTGGAAGCAAATTCTCTGTCAACTGTCTTCATGTGTTTTGCAGATGAAGGTGTGGGTCCTCATTCACCCCTCAGAAGATTGCATCCTCATCCCAATCTGATCTTATTTCTGCTCACACTCTGTCTGAGAATGAAATCCCAAGATGATGGAGGAATACCCGCTCAAGACCTGTAGCACCTGCTCAGCTGGGAATGGAATTCAAGGTAAATTCAATTGGCACTGCAGATAGGACTGCTAGTGTCTATCCCCGGATTGGCCTCATTACAATGAAACACTGGGAGATGTCTGCTTTTAGGTGTGATGTGCTCCTCTTCTTTCGAGAAGAGTGGCTGTTTTTATAGAGGGAAGTTGATTTGGTTTCTGGCAGGTCTTAGCCAGCCTCTCAATTTACTATGTATTCATAATCCACAAAAAAATAAAGAACACAGAGCCCCACAGCCCAAGCAGATGCACGGACAGGCTATCAAAAGGTTAAGAGAGCAAAAACAAACAAACAAAAAGAAGCACTTATGTGCATTAGCCACATTCCTTTAAGCAACCTCCATTTACAAGTGCACTCACACACACACACACACACACACACAATGCCAAACACACACACAGACATACAACACTCACAACACTCCCAAAGAAACACACAGCCCGGCAGCTTCTGAGGCTCTGAGGTTCTGTAGGAAGCACCATCTGTGAGAGAGCAACCCTGGAGAGCACAGTTGGGTTGCGTTCCAGACTCAACCCTACAACATCTAGGCAAGCATGAAAAATCCTGCAGGTCCTTTGGATTTTTAGGTATTTCGCGGTTTATTCCTTGGGCTCTGCTTGAGGTTTCTTAAGGTAGGCACACGTCTGCCCTCTCCTAGGATCATGGGATCATACTATGGACCCCACAGAGAAGACAGGCAAGAGTCCACTGCTGACACAACCTCCAAGGAGTTCTCCTTCTCAGCCAAGCCTTGGAGGCTTGTCTCTAGGCAGTAGTGCATTCATTGTGATACTAGCCAGAGCTCACAATCAGGCCTCATGCCCTAGGACTAGGGCGTACTCATTTGTGAGGAAGACTAAAGTGTCCAGCTGTCAGAGCTGTCAGCCTGCCTAGGCAGAGGAAAATGGTATAGGCAGAGCAAGCCCAGTACCAGAAAAAAAAGGCTACCTGTGAAACCTACTGTGGGACCTTAAAAGTCTCAACTTCCCAGGACCCCTTTTGTGCCATCTGTGATTGCTTCCTGCTGGAGAAGGAGGCATTTTAAGACTGTGAGTTTGTTGCTGGAAACTTCTACTCTAATTATATTCCCAAAAGAGGCTGTGTGCAAGAATCAAGTCCCATGGGATTTGGAATATAGCCTGGTGTGTTTTTTAGGGTTCTTTGGGTGATAGGATCATACCTGAGACCCCAGAGGCTGGCGTCAGTGAAAGATGGTTGTTCTCTTTACCACACTGTCTCTCTTCATCCTGGGCCTCACAGAGGCTCTCAGGGAAAGGCAGTAACCATGACAACGGCAAGACCAAGGTGGAGCTGTGTTCTCACACCTCTGATTGGCTTCTCACAGTTGCAGATGATGTTGAGTCAGTGTCTCAAAGGCCGTCTGTGGTGATAGCAATCCTGAAAAGGGTGTCCAGCAGTACCATCAAGAGCCACTGTAGATTCCTCATGAAAGCAAAGATAAATCAAGGCTCACTGAGAGAATGAGCTGCTTTGTCCTGGGGTCCAAACAATGTTCAGTGATTCCTGTCAGAGGACCCAAATCCCTTCTGCAAAGTGCAAACAACCTCAGGCCCCAAAACGAGACAATGACCCACCACCTGGAGCTCAGCCAGCTTTCCTGAGGTCCCTTGGCTCTCTGGGCTCTCTGAAATCCTGTCAGCTACATAATCTGTGGTGAGAGGCAGTCCCATCTAGCAGCAGCCCAATGAAAGAGCCCTTCCAAAATGAGAAAACCATGTAGATGAAATAAAACTGAGGCTAGATTACCAGGAAAAGCCAGACATGGCTGTCTGCTTCTCATCCTACAGGAGGAGGATCCACGTCTATCTGATAGACATGGGATAACAAGAGTTTCCTTGTTGGAGGCTCTAATGGGAATTTATGGCTTTAAAACTATCAAAGCTGCCTAGTCATTAAAACGTGACAGTGTTTAGAAGTAAATATCCATGCAACGGATTCTGATGAGGGTTATTCTTTGTGAAATGTGAAACGTTTCGTGTGAAAACTGTTGAACCAGACCCATTAAAACCTAGGCCAAGGAGAAAAATGGAAGTCCAGAAAAGAAGAGGCAAGTGTGGAGGCAACATCCCCACAGCATCAATCCATTTTGCTCCCATTTGGCTTTGGGTATGAAAGCCCCCAAATCAGGATTTTGCCAGAATAACACCAATTTACACACCAAATGATCCTTGCACATTGCAGTCTCCCAACCTGTACACCAGGCCACAGTGTGGACTGCTTGTGTAATTAAGGGAATGTGGGGATGGAGTGGAAAGCACCTTATGTGTCATCTGCCTTTATTTTTTTGCAGGTGAAGTTGTGGGTCTCCAACCACTCCTCACCAAATTGTAGCCTCACCCTTATATAACTTATTGCTGCTCACACTCTTATGTACGAGGATGAAATCCCAAGACTATGAAGGAGCACCTTATCGTGACATGAAGCACCTGCTAGGCTGGGAGCTGAATTCGTGGTAAATTCAAGGGGCGATGTGGACAGGACTGTTAGTGTCTCTTCCTGGGCTGGCAACTGGACAATGAAACACTGGGAGATATCTGTTTTTTCATGTGGTATACTCCTTTTCTTTCTCGAAGAGTGGCTTATTTATTTATTTATTTATTTATTTGCTGGGGGAGTTGATTTGGACATTGTTGGGTCTCAGCCTGGCTCCCAATTCACTGCAGATTGATAATCCACATAAGAATAAAAAACACTGAGCCCTGCAGCCCAAGCAGAACCACACAGAGAAACCACCAAAAGTTGGCTGACTCCAAAAAAAAAGAAGGGCTAAAATGCGTTAGCCAAATCCCTTTAAGCAGACTTCACTTACAGGTTCATATGCATACACACACAAACACACAATGCCACACACATGCAGACATTCAATACTCACAACACTCCCACAGAAACACACACCCCAGCTGCTCCTGAGGCTGTGTGGTTGTGCAGAAAGCCCCACTTTGGAGATTGCAACCCCAGGGAACAGAGGCAGGAGTAATTGAAAATCACAGTTGGGCAAGTTTCAAAAAGACTCACTTCTACAATGCCTACACAAGCCTGAGTAATCCTGCAGACCCTTTTGTATCCTTAGGAATTTCTCAGTTTATTTCTGAGGCTGTGCTTGATGTTTCTTCAGGCTAGCTCACGTCTGACTTCTCCTGGGATCAATAGACTATCCTGCGGTCCCACAGAAAAGACAGGCAAGAGCCTACGGTTGACACACCTCTACAAAAGTCTCGTCCTTCACCAAGCTGAAAGGACTTGTTACTAGGCAATGGTGACACTAATTGTGAAGCTAGCCAGAGCTCATAATCAGGCCTTTTGCCCTGAGACTAGCACATGCACATTCATGAGGCAGGCTTGAGTGACTGGCAGTCAGAGCTGTCAGCTTGCCTTAAGAGGGGAAAATGGTATAGGCAGAGCCGGCATGCTATTGGGAAAAAGGCTGCCTGTGAAAACACACTGCAGGACCATAAATGTCTCTACTTAAGGGCTCCCAAAGCCATCTCCATGGATGAGTACCACTGGAGGAGGAGACATTTTGAGAATGTGTGGTGGTCACTGGAAACTGCTCTTCTGACTCCATTCCTGAAAGAGGCTGTGTGCCAGAATCGGGTCCCATAAGTATTGGAATACAGTCAGGTGTGTTTTTGAGGGTTCCTTGGGTGATAGAATCATACCTGATACCACAGAGGTTGTTGTCTGTGAACGATGCCTGGGCTTTTGATGTCATTGCCTCCCTTCACCCTGGGACTTGCAGGGGCTCTTTGGGAAGGGCAGGAACTAAGACTAAGGCAAGTCCAAGGTGGAGCAGTCTTCTCCCACCTCAGACTGAACACTAGCGTGTGGAGATGAGGTTGAAACATTGTCTCAGGGGCCATCTGTGGCAATGGCAAGCCTGATAAGTGTGTCCAACAGTGCTGTTGAGGGGTACTGTGTCTTCCCCATGAGAGCAAAGATAAATCAAGCCTCACCTGAGACAATGAGCTGCCTTGTGCTGGCATCAGGCAATCTTCGATGATTCCTGTCAGAGGACCCAAAAGCCTCCTGCAAAGTGCAAACAACATCAGCCCCCATAACAAGACAACAACCCACAACCTGGAGCACAGTTGGCCTACCCAAAGTCCCTTTTGCTCTCTGAAATATTTGGCAACCCAATAATCTGTGATGAGAGGCAGTCTCATCCAACAACAGCCTAATAAAAGAGTCCCTCCACAATAAAAAGGCTGTGCAGATAAAATAAAACATAGGCAAGATGACCAGGCACAAGCCACAAACAGCTACCTGCTTCTCATCCTACAGGAATCATGCAGTTCTCGGATAGAAGTGAGAGAACAAGAGTATTCTTGCTGGTGACTGTAACAGGAATTTGTGGTTTTGCCCAGTCATTAAAACATGACACTGTTTAGAAGAAAATACTCACGTAGTGGATTCCAATGAGTGTCGTTCTCCATGAACTGGGAAATGCTTAGTGTGGAAGTCATTGAGCCAGATGCAGGAAACCCTAGGCCCGAAGAGAAACATGTAATTCAGGAAAACAAGAGTTAAGTGTGGAGGCCACATCCCACCCAGCATCAATTCATTCCACTCCCATTTGTTTCTGGGTATGAAAACACTCAAACTGGGAGTTTGCCAGGCTGGTCCCAATTTGCATTCCAAATGTTCCTTGCACATTGGAATACTCCCACATGAACACCCAGGAATAGTGTGGACTGCTTGTGCAATTTAGGGAATGTGGGGATGGAGTTGGAAACACATTCTGTGTCAGCTGTTTTCACTTTTTTTTTGCAGGTGAAATTTTGGGACCTCATCTACCTTTCACCAGATTATATCCTCACCTCTATCTGTCCTTACTGTTGCTCACACTTTATGTCCCAGAATGAAATCCCAAGGCAATGAAAGAGAGCCCCCTCACAACATGAAGGACCTGCTCAGCTGGGAACAGAATGGGAGGTAAATTCAAGGGGTAATGCTAAAGGGACTGCTAGTATCTCTTCCGTAGTTGGTTGCAGGACAATGAAACACTGGAGATGTCTGAATTTTGGTGTGGTGTGCTCCTCTTTTTTCTAGAAGAGTGGCTTTTTTTGCAACGGTCGGTGATTTGGACTCCAGCAAATATCAGCTTGCCTCCCAATTCACTGCAGAATCATGATGCACAGAAACATAAAGAACATCGAGCCCTGCAACTCAAGAAGAGCCACACAGACAGGCCACCAAAAGGTTGGGACACTCAAAAAAAAGAAGCACTGAAGTGCATTAGCCACATTCCTTTAAGCAGACTTTATTACATACATGTGCACACACACACACACCATGTCACAGACACACACAGACATCCAACAATAGCAACACTCCTACAGAAACACAGTCTGGCAGCACCTGTGGCTGCATGATTCTGCAGGAAGCTGCACCTTGGAGAGAGCAAACCCATAGAACACAGGCAGGCTGTACCGAGAAATCACAGTGGGGCAAGTTTCAAAATGACTCACTACTACAACCTGTAGGCAGGTCTGAGGAAACCTAAGATTCCTTTGGATTTTTAGGGATTTTCAGGTTTATTCATGGGTCTTTGCTTGACATTTCTTTAGGCTGGTTAACCTCTGCCCTCTACTAGGATCAGGGGACTATTCTGTGAATCCCACAGGGAAGAAAGATGACAGTCAACGGCTGCAGCACCTCCACAAAGTCTCCTTCTCTGCCAAGGCCCAGGGATGTGTCTCTAGGCAATGGTGACATTCATTGTAATGCAAGCCAGAGCTCACAATCAGGCCTAATGCCTGAGACTAGTGCCTGTGCATTCATGAGCCAGGACCAGGTGCCCAGCTGTCAAAGCTGTCAACCTGCCTAAACAGAGAAAAATCATATAGGCAGAGCCAGCATTGTATTGGGAAAAAGGCTGCATGCAACATCTCACTGTGGTACCCTAAAAGTCTGGACCTCAGAGCCCCTTCATGCCTTCTCTGATGTGGGATCCCACTAGAGAAGGAGGAGTTTCAAGACTGTGATGTGAGGTGGTTCCTGGAAACTGCTCTCCTGACTCCATTTCTGAAATAGGCTATGTGCAAGAATCAGGCCCCAGGGGCATTGCAATATAGTCTGGTTTGTTGTTGAGGGTTCTTTAAGTGATAGAGACATACCTGAAACCCCAGAGGTGGGTGTCAGTGAATGATGGTTGGGCTCTTTATCTAACTGCCTCCCTTCATCCTGGGTCTTACAGGGGATCTCTGCACAGGGCCAGAACAAAGGCAAGCCCAAAACGAAGCAGTGTTCTCACATCTCAGACTGGCTTCTCATGCATGCAGATATGGGTGAGAAAGTGTCTCAGATGCCTTCTGTGGTGAGGCCAAGCCTGAAAAACCTGTCCAGTAGTGCTATTGAGGGGCACTGTGGATTCCCCTCGAAAGCAAAGAAAAATCAAGGCTTGCCTTAAAGAATGAGGTGCCCTGTGCTGGAGTCTCTGCACTGTTCAGTGATTCCTGTCAGAGGACTCAAAAGCCTACTGCAAAGTGCAAACAACCTGAGCCCAACAGTGAGACAACAACCCACAACATGGAGCACAGTCAGCCTACCTGAAGTCCCTTTTGCTCTCTGAAATCCCTGGAAGCTTAATAATTTGTGGCAAGAGGCCATATCATCCAGCAATAGCCCAATGAAAGAGCTCTTTTACAATGTGAAGGCTGTGCAGATAAAATGGAAGATAAGTTAGATTACCAGGCATAAGCCAGACACGGCTGCCTGATTCATATCCTATAGGAATCATGCAGCCCTCCTATAGAAGTGGGAGAACAAGAGTTTTCCTGTTGGTAGACATTAATGGGAATTTACAGTGTTAAAAGTATGAAACTGTCCAGTCATTAAAAGCTGACATTGTTTAGAAGGAAACACTAACTCAATGGATTCCCATGAGGGTTGTTCTTTGTCAACTGGGAAATATCTAGTGTGGAAGTCATTAAGCCAGACCCAGGAAACCCTAGGCCAATGAGGAACACGGAATTCAAAAAAGAAGAGGCAAGTGAGGAGGCCACAGCCCACCCAACATCAATCAATTCCACTCCCTTTTGGATACAGGAATGAAAGAACTCAAATAGGGAGTAGACCAGGATGGCCCCAATTTGCACTGCAAATTTTTTTTGCACATCAGAGTACTTCAACCTGAACGCTGAGCCACAGTGTGGACTGCTTGTTCAATTCAGGGAAGGCAGGTATGGAGTTGGAAGCACCTTCTGTGGCATCTGTCTTCATTTTATCTTCAGGTGGAGTTGCAGGACAAGTCCACCCCTCACAAGATTTTATGCTAACCCTTATCTGACATTATTGCTGCTCACACTTTATGTTTCAGCATAAAATCCCAAGACGATGGAGAAGTGCACTCTCATGACATAAAACACCTGCTCAGCTGGGAACCGAACTGGTGTTCAATTCAAGGGCACCTCTGGACAGGACTGCAAGTATCCATAGTTTGGCCTCAGCACAATGAAAAATTGGGAGATGCCTGTTTTTTGGTGTGGTGTGCTCCTCTTCTTTCTGGAAGAGTGAATTTTTTTTTTTTGCAGGCAGAGATAGTATGGACACCACCACATCTTGCAAGCCTTCCAATTCACTGCAGATACATAATCCACAGAAAAAAAAAAAAGCATGGAGCCCCGCAGTCCAAGCAGAGCCACACAGACAAGTCACTGAAAAACTGGGAGACTCATAAAAAAGAAGGGCTCAAGTGCATTAGCCTCATTTCTTTAAGCACACTCCACTTACAGGCACACACACACACAAACACACCATGTCACACACACACAAAGACATTTAACAGTTGCAACATTCCCACAGAAAGAAACAGCCCAGCAGCTCTTGAGGTTGCATGGTTTTTCAGAAAGCCACACCTGTGAGAGAGCAACCCTGGGGAACATAGGCAGGCTATACCTAGAAATCACAAAGGGGCAGCTTTCAAAAAGACACCCCACAATGTATAGGCAGGCCTGACAAATCCTGAAGATAGTTTTGTATCCTTAGGGATTCCATGGTTTATTTTTGGTGCTGGGCTTCGTGCTTCTTCAGACTGCCTCACTTCTGTTCTCTTCTAGCATCATGGGAGTATCACATGAATTCCAGAGAAGATAGGCAAAAGTCCTTCCCTGATGCACCTCCATGGAAGACTCCCTCTCTGCCAAGACACAGGTACTTGTCACAAGGCAACTGTGACATTCATTGTGATGCTAGCCAAATCTCACAATGATTCCTGCTACTCTGAGACTAGCCCATGCACATTCATGTGGCAGGCTCAGGCACTGGGCTGTCAAAGCTGTCAGCCTGCCTAAGCAGAGAAAAACGCTACAGGCAGAGCCAGCCTGGTATCGGGAAAAAGGCTACCTGCCAAAACCCACTGCAGGACCTTGACTGTATCAACCTCAACACCCCTTTGGGCCATCTCCGTGGTCAGGTCCCATTGGAGGAGGAGGTGTTTCAAGACTGTGAGGTGGTCACTGCAAACTTCTCTTCTGATTCCATTCCTGAAAGAGGCTCTGTGCAAGAATTGAAACCCAAAGAGATTGGAATATAGTCTGATGTGTTGTTGACTGTTCTTTGAATGATAGAATCATACCTGAGACCCCAGAGGTCAGTGTCATTGAAAGACAGATGAGATCTTGACCTCACTGTCTCCCTTAATCCTAGGCATCACAGGGCCTCTCTGGGAAAGGCAGGAACCACGACAAAGTCAACTCTAAGGTGAGGTTGACACCGGGTCTCAGGGGCTCTGTGTGGTGATGGTAAGCCTGAAAATGGTGTCCTGCATTGCTGCTGAGGGGCACTGTTTATTCCCCATGAAAGCAGAGAAAAATCAATGCCTGCCTGAGAGAAAGAGTAGCCTTGTGTTGGAGTCCAAGCAATGTTTAATGATTCCTCTCAGAAGAACCAAAACCCTCCCGCAAAGTGCAAACAACCTAAGCCCCAGAAACGAGACAACGACTCATAACATGAAGTGCAGTTAGCCTACATGGCCATAGTCCCTTTTGCTCTCTGAAATCACTGGCAGCTACATAATGTGTAGCAAGAGGAAGTCTCATCCAGCAACAGTTCAATGAAAAAACCTCTCCAAAATGAGAAGGCTGTACAGATGAAACGAAACAGAGTATAGATTACCAGGTAAAAGCGTGACATGGCAGTCTACTTCTCATCCTACAGGAATCCCTCTGATAGATGTGAGAGAACAAGTGTTTTGTTTTTGTTTTGAGTACTCTCACTTGAACACTGAGCCATGGTGTGGACTGCTTGTTCGATTAAGGGAATGCAGGGATGGATTTAGAAGCACCAACTGTGACATCTGTGTTATTTATTTTATTTTATTTTTTGCAGGTGAAATTGTGGGACCCCATCCATGCCTCACCAGAGTGTATCACCACCCCATCTGACCCTATTCCTGCTCATACTCTATGTCCCAGGACGAAATCCCAAAATGATGGAGGAGTGCCTCCTCATGACATGAAGCACCTGCTCGGCTGGGATCCGAATTTGAGGTAAATTCGAGGGGCCATGTTTACAGGACTGCTTGTGTTGGGCCACCCTGTGTTGGCCACAAAACTGTGAAACACTGGAAGATGTCTGTTTTTTGGTGTGGTGTTCTCCACTTCTCTGAAGAACGGTGGCTTCTTTTTGCAGAGGGAGTTGATTTGGACACCAGCGATTCCAGGTCCATCTCTCAATTCACTGCAGATTCATGATCCACATAAAAATAAAGAACATGGAGACCTGAAGCCTAAGCAGAGCCACATAGGCAGGCCACCAAAAGATGGGGAGACAGAAGAAAAAAAAGCACTGAAGTGCATTAGCTGCATTCCTTTAAGGAGACTCCACTTAAAGGCACACACACACATGCACACAAAAGGACATAAACACACAATGCCTCACACACACGCACATATCCAAAATTCACAATGCTGCCACAGAAACACATGGCCCAGCAGCTCCTGATCCTGTATGGTTCTGCAGGATGCCACACCAGGGAGAGAGCAACCCTAGGGACACAGGTGGGCTGTACCTAGAAACCATAGTAGGGCAAGTTTCAAAAAGTCTCACACCTACAATGTCTAGACAGGCCTAAGGAATCCTGCAGACCTTGGATGCTTAGGAATTTTGCAGTTTATTCCTGGGGCTCTGCTTGACATTTCTTCAAGCTGGCTCATGTCTGCTCTTTTCCATGACAAGGGGACAATCCTGTGGATCCCATAGAGAAGACAGGTGAGAATCCATAGCTGATGCACCCTCACAGAGGTCTCTATCTCCACCAAGCTGCAGGAACTTGTCGCTAGGCAATGGTGAGATTCATTGTGAGGGTACCCAAAGCTCACAATCAGGATAGGTGCCCTGAGGCTAACACATGTGCATTCATGAGGTGGACTAGGGCCCTTGGCTGTCAGAGCTGTCAGCCTTCCCAAACAGAGGAAAATGGTACAGG
Source organism: Homo sapiens (assembly GCF_000001405.40). Classification (NCBI taxonomy): domain Eukaryota; kingdom Metazoa; phylum Chordata; class Mammalia; order Primates; family Hominidae; genus Homo; species Homo sapiens. Next base: position 9,788,944 of record NC_000024.10, on the reverse strand, counting down.
CAGAGCTGGCCAAGTATCACAAAACAGGCTGTCTGTGAAAAACCACTGCAGGACACTAAAAGTCTAGACCTCAGAGACTCTTCCAGCCTTCTCCACTTCTCCATGGTCAGGTCCTGCTGGAGAAGGAGGCATTTGGAGACTGTGAGGTGGTTGCTGGAAACTGCTCTTGTGACTCCAGTCCCAAAAGAGGCTGTGTGCAAGTATCAGGTTCCATGTTGATTGGAGTATATTCTGGTGTCTTGTAGAGGGTTCTTTGGGTCATAGAATCATACGTGAGTCACAGGGATGAAATTCAGGGGGACTTACAGACAGGACTGCTAGTGTCTCCCCCTGGTTTGGCCACAGGACAATGAAACACTGAGAGATGTCTGTTTTTTTTTTGGTGTAGAGTCCTCCTGTTCTTTCTAGAAGAGTGGCTTTTTTTTTTTTGGCAGAAGGAGGTGATTTAAACAATGGCAGGTCTTGGGCCACCTCCCAATTTACAGAGGATTCATGATCCACAGAAAAACTAACAAACAAGGAGCCCTGCAGCCCAAGCACAGCCACACAGACAGGCCACCTAAAAGTTTGGTGACTCAAAGAAAGAAGCAATGAAGTGCATTAGCTACATTCATTTAAGCAGAATCCACTTACAGGGACACACATACACATACACAAACACACAATGCCACACACACACACACACACTCAGACATCCAACACCTGCAACACTCTCACAGAAACACAGACCTGCAACTCCTGAGGCTGCCTGGTTCTGCAGGAAGCCCCACTGAAGAGAGAGCCACCCCTGGGAACACAGGTAGGCTGTACCTGGAAATCAGACCGGGGCAAGTTTCAAAAAGACTCACATCTACAACCTTTAGGCAGGCCAGAGGAATCTTGCAGATTTTTTGTATCCTTAACAATTTCACAATTTATTCCTGGGGTTGTGCCTGACATTTCTTCAGGCAAGCTCATGTCTGACCTCTCTTGGGATCATGGAACTATCCCATCTATCCCAAAGAGAAGATAGATGTGAGTCCACAGCCTATGCAACTCAACGGAGGTCTTCTTATCCTTCAAGCTGCAGGGACTTGGCGCTAGGCAACAATGACATTCATTCTGGTACTACCCAGGGCCCACAATCAGGCCTGGTGCTGTGAGACTAGTGCATGTACATTCTTGAGGCAGGTTCTGGTGCCAGGCTGTCAGAGCTGTCAGCCTGCCTAATCAGTTGGAAATAGTACAGGCAGAGCCACCCTGTTATCAAGAAAAAGGGGGCCCGCAAAAACCCACTGTGGGACACTAAATGTCTCAACCCCAAGACCACTTCAGGCCGTTTCCATGGTTGGATCTCTCTGACGGAGAAAACGTTTTGAGACTCTGAGGTGGTCACTGGAAACTGTTTTTCTGACTTCATTCCCAAAAGAAGCTGTGTGCAAGAATCAGATACCATGAGGATTGGAATACAGTATGGTGTGTAGTTGAGGGTTCTTAGGGTGATAGAATCATACCTGAGACCATAGATGCAGATGTCAGTGAAGGATGGCCGGACTCTTGACCTCACTGTCTCCCTTTATCCTTGGCCTCACAGAGGCTCTCTGGGAAAGGCAGGAACCAAGATGAAGGAAAGTCCAAGGTGAAACAGTGTTCTCACACCTCGTATTGTCCTGTAACAAGTGCAGATGATGTTTAGACGGTTCTCAGATGCCATCTGTAGAGATGGCAAGCCTGAAAATGGTGTCCATTAGTTCTGTTGAGGAGAACTGTGGATTCCTTGTGAAAGAAAAGAAAAATCAACACTCACCCAAAAGAACAAGATGCCTTGTCCTGGAGTCCAAGAAATGTTCAATTATTCCTTTCAGAAGACCCAAAAGCCTTCTGCAAAGTGCAAACAACCTCAGCCCCCACATTGAGACAATGACCCACAACCTGGAGCACAGACAGCCTAATGGAAGTCCCTTTTGCTCTCTGGAATCCCTGGCAGCTACATAATCTGTGGTGAGAGGCAGTACCACCAAGCAACAGTTTAATGAAATTGCCCTTCAAAATTGAGAAGGCCATGCAGATGAAATGAAACAGAGTCTAGATTACCAGGTAAAAGTCTAACACAACTGCCTGCTTCTCATCCTACAGGATTCATGCAGCCCTTCGATAGAAAAGAGATAACAAGTTTGCTTTTGGCTGATGTGACAGGGATATATGGATTTAAAAGTATCTTATTTTCCCAGTCATTAAAACATGACAGTGTTTAGAAGGAATTATGCAATGGATTTCCATGAGGGTCATTATCTGTGAACTGGGAAATGTTTAGTGTAGAAGTCGTTAAGCCAGAACTAGGAAACCCTAGGGCCATGAGAATCATGAAAGGCCTGAAAAGAAGAGGCAAGACTGGAAACACCATCCCACCCAGCATCAATCCATCCCACTCCCATTTGGCTCTGAGTATGAAAGGTCTCAAATCGGAAGTTTGCCAGGATGGCCCCAATTTGCACTTCAAATGTTACTTGAGCGTTGGAGTACTGCTACCTGAAAGCCGAGCCATGATGTGGACTGCTTCTGCAATTCAGGGAATGCAGGGATAGAGTTGGAAGCACCTTCTGTATTATCAGTGTTTTTTATTATTATTATTATTTGCAGGTGAAGTTGAGAGACCCCTTCCACCTCACACCAGATTGTATCCTCATGTCTATCTAACCTTACTACTCATCACACTCTATGTCCCCAGATAAAATTCCAAGATGACGGAGGACTGCCACCTCATGACGTGAAACACCTGCTCCTCTGGGAACCAAATTTTAGGTAAATTCAAGGTGCACTGCCCACAGGACTGCTTGTGCCTCTCCCTGTGTTGACCATAGGGATATGAAACACAGGGTGATGCCTGCTTTTTTGATGTGGTGTGCTCCTCTTATTTCTTTTTTTTTTTATTATACTTTAAGTTTTAGGGTACATGTGCACAATGTGCAGGTTAGTTACATGTGTATACACGTGCCATGCTGGTGTGCTGCACCCATTAACTCGTCATTTAGCATTAGGTATATCTCCTAATGTTATCCCTCCACCTCCCCCCACCCCACAATATTCCCCAGAGTGTGATACTCCCCTTCCTGTGTCCATGTGTTCTTATTGTTCAATTCCCGCCTATGAGTGAGAACATGCGGTGTTTGGTTTTCTGTCCTTGCAATATTTTACTGAGAATAATGATTTCCAGTTTCATCCATGTCCCTACAAAGGACATGAACTCATCATTTTTTTTTCTTTTTTTGAGACGGAGTCTCGCTCTGTTGCCCAGACTGGAGTGCAGTGGAGCGATCTTGGCTCACTGCAAGCTCCATCTCCTGGGTTCATGCCATTCTTCTGCCTCAGCCTCCTGAGTAGCTGGGACTGCAGGTGCCCACCACCACGCCTGGCTAATTTTTTTTGTATTTTTTAGTGGAGACGGGGTTTCACCGTCTTAGGCAGGATGGTCTTGATATCCTGACCTCATGATCCACCTGCCTCGGCCTCCCAAAGTGCTGGGATTACAGGTGTGAGCCACAGCATTTTTTATGGCTGCATAGCATTCCGTGGTGTATATGTGACAGATTTTCTTTATCCAGTCTATCATTGTTGGACATTTGGGTTGGTTCCAAGTATTTGCTATTGCGAATAGTGCTGCAATAAACATACGTGTGCACAAAAATTAATTCAAGATGGATTAAAGACTTAAACATTAGACCTAAAACCATAAAAACCCTAGAAGAAAACCTAGGCATTACCATTCAGGACATAGGCATGGGCAAGGACTTCAAGTCTAAAACACCAAAAGCAATGGCAACAAAAGCCAAAATTGACAAATGAGATCTAATTAAACTAAAGAACTTCTGCACAGCAAAAGAAACTACAATCAGAGTGAACTGGCAACCTATAAAATGGGAGAAAATTTTTGCAACCTACTCATCTGACAAAGGGCTCCCCTTATTTGTAAAACAGTGACTTTTTTTGCAGAGGTGGTTGATTTGGATGCCGGCGGTTCCCAGCCCACCTCCAAATTCACTGGGGATTTATTATACACATAAAAATAAAGAACATGGAGCCTTGCCATCCATGCAGAGCCACATAGACCACCAAAAGGTGGAGAGACACAATAAAAAGAAGCACTGGAGTGCGTTAGCCACATTCCTTTAAGCAGACTCCACTTACAGGAACACACACACACACAAAGACAGAAACACACAATACCTCACACATCAAACATTCACAACATTCTCACAGAAACACTTCACCTGGCGTCTCCTGACACTGTGTGGTTCTGCAGGAAGACCCACCTGGGAAAGAACAACCCTGAGAAACACAGGCAGGCAGTCCCTAGAAATCACAGTAGGACAATTTTCAAAAAGACTTACTCCTACAACGTCTAGTGAGGCCTGAGGAATCCTGCAGATTTTCTTGGATCCATAGGGATTTTGCATTTTATTCCTAGGGTTCTGCTTGATGTTTCTTCATGCTGGCTCATGTCTGGCCTTTCCTAGGACAATGAAATAATCCAGTGGATCCCACCTAGAAGACAGGTGAGAGTACACTGCTGACCCATCTCCACGGAGGTCTCTATGTCTGCAAAGCCACAGGGACTTTTTGCTAGGCAATGATGACATTCATTGTGACACTAGTGAGAGCTCATCATCAGGCCAGGTGCTCTGAGACTAGCACATGCACATTTGTGAGGCAGGCTATGGCCCCTGGCTGTCATATTGGTCAGCCTGCCTAAGCAGAGGAAATTGGCACAGTCAGATCTGGCCGAATGTCGCGAAATAGGCTGCCTATGAAAACCCACTGTGGGACACTAAAATCTAGACCTCAGGTCCCCTTCAGATCATCTCCATGATCAGGCCCCTATGGAGGAGGAGATGTTTTGAGGCTATGAGTTTGTCACTAGAAACTGCTTTTCTGACTCCATTCCAGAAAGAGGCTGTGTGCAAGAATCGGGTCCCTTGTGGATTGAAATACAGTTTGTTGTATTGTAGAGGGTTCTTTGGGTGATAGAATCATACCTGAGACCCCAGAGGTGGGTTTCAGCAAATGATGGCTGGGCTCTTGACCTCAATGCCTTCCTTGATCCTGGACTTCACAGGGGCTATCTGAAAAAAGCAGAAACCAAGACAAATGCAAGTCCAATGTGGAGCAGTGATCTCACAAGTTAAACTGGCCTTTTACAGATGCAAATGAGCGTGAGTGTCTCAGAGTCCATTTGTGACCGTGGCAAGCCTGAAAAGCATGTCCAATAGTACTGTTGAGGAGTACTGTGGATTCCCCATGAAAGCAAACAAAACTCAAGACTCACCTGACAGAATGAGGTACGTTTTTCTGTAGTCCAAGCAATGTTCAATGATTACTGTTACAGGACCCAAAATTATCTTGCAAAGTTAAAACCACCACAGCCCCTACAAGGAGAAAATGACCCATAACCTGGAATGCAGCCAGCCTACACAGAGTCTCTTTTGCTTTCTGAAATTCCTGACAGCTAAATAATCTGTTGCTGGAGGCAGTCCTATCGAGCAACATCTCAATGAAAGAGCTCCTCCACAATGAGATGGCCATGCAGATGCAGTGATACAGAGGCTAGATTACCAGAAAAAAAGTGAGACATGGCTGCCTTCTTCTCATCCTCCAAGAATCATGCAGCCCTTCAATAGAAATGGGAGACAAAGTTTCATTGTTTGTGGGTCTAATGGGTATTAACAGTTTTAAAAGTAACAAAACTGCCCAGTCATTAAAATATGACAGTGTTTACAAGGAAACACTCAGGCAATGGATTCCCTTGAGGGTCGTTCCACATTAACTGGATAACATTTATTGTGGAAGTCATTGAGCCAGAACCAGAAAACCCTAGGATGATAAGAATCATGAAAATCAGGAAAAGAAGAGGCAAGTCTGTAGGCCACATCCCGCCAAGCCTCAATCCCTTCAACTCCCATTTGGCTATGGGTATGAAAGCCCTCAAATCGGGAGTTTGCCAGGATGGCCCCAGTTTGCACTCCTAATATCCACAGCATGTTGGAGCACTCTCACCTGGACCCCTGGCCATGGTGTGGACTGCTTCTGCAATTAAGGATTTACCGGGATGGAATTGAAAGCACCTTCTGTGTTACCTGTCTTCATTTGTTTTGCAGGTGAAGTTTGGGATTCCATCCACCCCTCACCAGATTTTATCCTCACCCTTATCTGAACTTATTCCTTCTCACACTCTATGTCCCAGGATTAAATCTCAAGATGATGAAGGAATACCCCCTCATGACATGAAGCACCTGCTCATCTGGGAAGCTAATTCAATGTAAATTCAAGGGGACCTAAGAACAGGACTGCTAGTGTCTCCATGGTTAGGCTGCAGGACAATGAAACACTAGATGTCATTTTTTTTTTTGGTGTGGTGTGCTTCTCTTCTTTCTAGAAGAATGGCTTTCTTTTTTTTTCTCTCCTTTTTTTTTTTCTTTTTTTGCAGAGGGACATGATTTAAACTATGGCAGGTATCAGCCCACCTCCCAATTCACTGTGGATTCATGATCCACAGAAAAATAGAAAACCTGGACCCCGCAGTCCAAGCAAAGCCACACAGACAGGGCACATAAAGGTTTGGTGACTCAAAAAAAAGAAGCAATGAAGTGCATTATCCACAGTCATTTAAGCAGACTCCACTTACAGGCACACACACATACACACACACACAAAACCACACAATGTCTCACACACACACACACAGACATCCAACATTTACAACACTCCCACAGAAACACACAGCGTGGGAACTCCTAAGGCTGCCTGGTACTGCAGGACATTTGAATGTGGGAGAGAGCCCCTCTCCCCGCCCCGCCCTGGGGAACACAGGCGTGATGTACCTATAAATCACAGTGGGGCAAGTTTCAAAATGACTCACAACTACAATGCCTAGGCAGGCTTGAAGAATCCTACAGATTTCTTTGCATCCTTTGGGATTTCAGAATTTATTTCTGGAATTGTGCTTGATGTTTCTACAGACTCTCACATCTGCCCTCTCTTGGGATCATGGGACTGTCCTGTCTGTCTTACAGAGAAGACAAGTGGGAGTCCATGGGCAACAAAACTGTATAGAGGTGCCCTTCTTCTCCAATTCACAGGGACTTGGCATTAGGCAACAATGACATTAATTGTCACTCTACTGAAAGGTCACAGTCAGGCCTGGTGCTGTGAGACTAGCGCATGCACATTTGTGAGGCAGGCTCCGCCATCAGTCAGTCTGAGCTGTCAGCCTGCCTATGCAGTAAAAAATGGTACAGGCAGGGCAAGCCTGGTATCAAGAAAAAGGCAGCCTGGAAAAACCCAGAGCAGGACACTAAAATTCTCAAACTCAGGGCGCCTTTAGACAGTTTTTGTGGTTGGGTCTTGCTGGAGGAGGAAGGGTTTTGAGACTCTGAGGTGGTCACAGCAAACTGTTCTTCTGACTTCATTCCCAAAAGATGTTCTTTGCGACAGTCTGGTACCATAGGGATTGCAATATAGTATGGTGTGTTAAGGGTTCTTTGTTGATAGAATCATACCTAAGACCCTAAGGGCAGAGGTCAGTGAAAGATGGCTGGGTTCTTGACCTCACAGCTTCCCTTAATGCTGTGCCTCACAGAGGCTTTCTGGGAAATACAGGAAGCAACACAAAGGCAAATCCAATATGAAGCAATGGTCTCACATCCGTATTGTCACCTCTTGGGTGCAGATAAGGTTTAGACAGTGTCTCAGACACCATCTGCAGTCATGGCAAGCCTGAAAAGGGTGTCCAAAAAAAAGTCTCACCTGAGAGAACAAGCTTCCTTGTGCTGGAATCCAAGCAATGTTCAATGATTCCTGTCAGGAGACCCAAAACACCCTACAAAGTGCAAACAACCTCAGCCCCCACAATGAGACAACGACCCACAATGTGGAGTGCAGGCAGCCTATTGAAAGTCATTTTGCTGTCTGAAATCACTGGCAGATTCATAATCTGTGGTGAAAGGCAGTTCCATCCAGCAACAGTTCAATGAAAGTGCCCGTCCAAAATAAGAAAGTTGTGCAGATGATGAAACAGACTCTAGATTACCAGGAAAAACTTGACACACAAGCCTGCTTCTCATCCTACAGGAGTCATGGGCCCCTCCAATAGATGTGAGAGAACAAGTTTTCTTTTGGCAGCTGTAACATCAATATATATTTTTAAAAGTATCAAATCTTCCCAGTCCTTAGTACATGACGCTGTTTAGAAGGAAACATTCACACAATGGATTCCCATGAGAGTCATTCTCCATGAACTGGGAAACGTTTAGTGTGGTAGTCACTAGGCCAGACCCAGGAAACCCTAAAACAATGAGAATCATGGAAGTCATGAAACAAAGAGGCATGTCTGGAAGCCCCATCCAACCAGCATCAATCCATTCCACCCACATTTGACTTTGGGTATTAAAGCCCACAAATCGGCAGTTTGCCAGGATGGTCCCAATTTGCACTCCAAATGTTCCTTGCACATTGGAATACTCATACCTGAACACTGAGCCATTGTCTGGACTGCTTTTGCAATTAAGGTAAAGCAGGCATGGAGTTGGAAGAAACTTCTTTGTCATCTGTCTTTATTCTTTTTTTGCAGGTAAAGTTGTGGGACCCCATCCACTTTTCACCACATTGTATTCTCACCCCATCTGACTTTATTGCTGCTCACACTCTATATCCCAGGATAAAATCCCAAGACAATGGAGGTGTGCCTCCTTAGGACTTGAAGCACCTGCTCAATTCAGAACAGAATTTGAGGTAAAATTAAGGGGCCCTGCCGACAGAACTGCTAGTGTCTTTTCCTGTGTTGGCCATAGGAATATGAAACACAGGGAGATGTCTATCTTTTGGTGTGGTGTGCTTTTCTTTTTTTCTAGAACAGTGGCTTTTCTTGCAGAGGGAGTTGTTTTGGACACCAGCAGTTCCCTGCCCACATACCAATTCACTGTGGATTTTGGATCCACATAATAATAAAGAACACGGTGCCCCACTGCCCAAGCAGAAACACACAGACAGGTGACCATAAGGTGGGGAGACTTAAAAAAAAGCGCTGAAGTGCATTAGCCACATTTCTTTAAGATAACTCCACTTACATTCATACACACATAGACAGCCAGAAACACACCATGCCTCACATGCACACATATCCGATATTCCCAACACTTTCACAGAAACACACAACCCAGCAGTGCCTGACACTATGTCGTTCTTCAGGAAGCCTTACCTGGGAGACAGCAACCTTGAAAAACCCTGGTGGGCTGTACCAAGAAGTCACAGCAGAACAAGTTTCAAAAAGACTCACCCCTACAATGTCTAGGCCAGCCTGAGGAATCCTGCAGGTCATCTTGGAAACTTAGGGATTTTGCAATTTATTCCTGGGGCTCTGTTTGATGTTTCTTGAGGTTGGCTCAAGTCTGCCCTCTCCTAGGATCATGGAACAATCCCACAGAGGAGACAGTTGAGTCAACTGCTGATGCACCTCCTCAGAGGTCTCCTTCTCAACCAAGCTGCAGGGACTTTTCTCTAGGCAATGATAACATTCATTGTGATGGTAGCCAACTCTCACAATCAGGCCTGGTCCCCTCAAACTAGTGCATGCATATCTGTAGGCAACATCTTGTTCCAGGCTGTCAGAGCTGTCAGCCTGCCTAAGCAGAGGGAAATTGTACAGACAGAGCCATCCTGGTATTATGAAAAAGCTGCCTATGAACACCCACTGTGGGACCCTTTGATCCCAATATACTCCCTTTGATCCCAATAGCCCTCAATATCAGCACATGATTAACATGGCTTTAGTTACTTAAAGTATAGAAGACATTAGAAGACAATGGCAGAAACAGACTGGGTTTGCAGGCATGAATAATTCACAGTATTGGAGATAGCCCACCAGAAGTTTGTAAATAGAGATGCAGTAAGCTGCAGAGGGAACCTCAGAGAGAGTGAATGCCGAGCCTGGTGAAACGTTGACCTTCTAGCTGCGGCTATTAGAGGGGCCCCCCCAAAGTGGTGAGAGAAGGGGGGCCCTAGGAAAAATACCCAGTCTGGTCATCCATGCTTGCTGTGTAACCAGTGTCCTTGCTGTAAGGAAATAGGGCATTGGAAGGACAAGTGCCCCAGATTGAAAGGGAAATAAGGTGACTCTGAGCAGGAGTCCTCAGACAAAGATGAAGGGGACTTATTCAATCTAGCAGAAGTGTTATTGGACTGTGGGGGTCCGGGCTGATGTGCAGTAGTAACCATCCTGGTCGCCCTCTTTTCCACAAAGACTAGTAATATAATCAGATACACAGGGGTCCTGACAAAGTAAGCTTTCTGTTTGCCCTAGACCTGCACTTTAGGGGATGGGGGGGTCATTAAGTGATTCACCACTTCCTGTACATGCTTGACTGCCCCTTGCCTTTGGTAGGAAGGACTTACTTAGCAAGCTGAGAGCCACCATCTCTTTTACAAAACACAGCTCTTTACAGTTAAAGTTACTTGGAAGGAGAGTCATCATGGCCCTTATTGTTCCTAGCGAGAAGGAATGGAGATGCCTCTTAATTCAGTTAAGCTAAGATGTAAGACCAGCTCTGGCTAAGTGATGGCCAAAAGTGTGGGCAGAAAAGAACCCTCCAGGATTGGCAATTAACTAGGCCCTCTTACTCATAGGAGATAAGCCTATGGCCCAGCCAGCCAGGAAAAAACAGTCCCTAGTCCCCAGAGAAGCTCTTGAAGGTACCCAGGTCCATCTCAAGCACCTGAGGGCCCTTGGAATTATAGTCCCTTGTTAGTATCCATGGAACACTCCCTGCCTGTCTGTTCCAAAGCCAGGGATCAAGGACTACAGGCCAGTACTGGAGTTGTATTCAGTCATCCAAGCTACAGTGACTTTGCCCCAGTTGTACCTAACTCCTACAAATTGTTGGGGTTGCTGCCAGCTGAGGACAGCTGAAGGATGCCTTCATTAGCATCAGCCTAGCCCTTGAGAACCAGAAACTCTTTGCCTTTGAGTGGGAAGATGCGGGGCCAGGTGTCACCACTCAGTACACTTGGACCTTGCTTCCCCAAGGGTTCAATAACTCCCCCACTATCTTTGGGAAGGTACTGGCTCGGGACTTCCAGAAGTTTCCCACAGAGACCTAGACTGTTTTTTGCTCCAGTCTGTTGATGACCTCCTGCAGGGACACCCAACAGTAATCGGGTGCCCCAAGGGAATGGATACCCTGCTCTGGCACCTGGGGGACTGCGGGTATGAGGTGTCCAAAGAAAGCTCAGATCTGCTGACAGCATTTATGTTATCTGGGATTTACTATCCTACAATGGAGCACAGCCTAGGATCAGAAAGAAAGCAGGTCATTTGCAACCTACTGGAGACTAAAACCAGAAGGCAGATGAGAGAATTCTTAGGAGCTGTATTTTCAGTACTGTAGGAAGTCACAAAGGGAGGTAACAGAGAGAATTTTGAATGGGAGTCCCAACAGTAATGAGCTTTTCATGAATTAAAAGAGAAACTTACATCAGCCCCAGCTCTGGGGCTGCCTGACCTCACAAAGCCATTTACACTATATGTGTCAGAGAGAGAAAAATGGTAGCTGGAGTTTTTACCCACACAGTGTGGCCCTGGCCAAGATTGGTAGCCTACTTCTCCAAACAGCTAGATGGAGTTTCTAAAGGTTGGCCCCCATGTTTGAAGGCCTTGGCAGCAACTGCCCTGCTAGCACAAGAAGTGGATAAACTAACTCTTGGGCAAAACCTGAACATAAAGTCTCCCCATGCTGTGGTGTTATTAATGAATACCAAAGGACATCATTGGCTAATGAATGCAAGGGTAAGTAGCTACCAAAGCTTGCTCTGTGAAAATCCCCACATAATCATTGAAGTCTGCAACACCTTGAACTCCACCACCTTACATACACCTTACTGGTGTCAGAGAGCCCAGGTGAACATAACTGTGTAGAGGTGTTGGACACAGTTTATTTTAGCAGACTCCCCATTGAGACCATTCTTGGGCATCAGTAGATTTGGAGCTGTACATGGATGGGAGTAGCTTGTCAATCTACAAGAAAAGCAGTCATACACTGCAGAGGAAACAAGCAAACTTCCACTCGATTGCCTTGGAGAACTCCCGAGCTGACTCAGAGTCTCGGAAAGCAGCATCCACCCACTATGGGGCATCAGTCACAATCCTGTTGCTCCATCAGGTACCTGACCTTGTACCTATTTATTCTAAAGAAAAGAAAGACTTTCTCCAAGCAGAGGGAGGGCATGTGATAGAAGAGGGAAAGATTCTGTTATTTGATGGAAGAATAGCCATGTCACAACTACTAGTAGCCACAGTGGTACTGGCTGTGCATGAGACCACCCACCTAGACCAAAACTCAGTGTGTCACCTTTCCACAGAAAAATGCTAGGCAAGGTCTAACCGTCTTGCCCAACATACAAGCTTATGGATTAGCCCGCTTTGAAAACATCCAAGTAGACTTCACCAAGATATCCAAATGTAGAGGTAACAAGTATTTGCTAGTTCTAGTGTGTACATACTCTGGGTGGGTGGTGGCCTATCCAACAAAAACTTAGAAAGCTCGTGAAGTACACTATGTGCTTCTCCAAGATGTCATCCCTAGGTTTAGACTGCCCTTATGAATGAGCTCAGACAACATGCCATCATTTGTTGCTGACTTGGTACAAAAGGCAGCAAAGGTATTGGAAATGACATGGAAACTACATACTGCTTATTGACCGTAGAGTTGCGGAAAGGTGAAGCAGATGAACTGGACTATCAAAAATAGTTTAGAAAAAGTGTGTCAAGAAAGAGGATTAAAGCCGGCACAAGCTCTCCCTAAGGTATTGTTTAAGATTAAATGTATTCCTTCTAAAAGAACAGGATATTCACCTTATGAAATATTATATCATAGGCCCCCTCCCATACTACGGGGACTCCTAGGCACTCATTGAGAGCTAGGTAAAATTGAGTTACAGCAACAATTACAGGCTCTAGGGAAAATTACAGAAACAATTTCAGCCAGGGTAAATGACTTTCTTCCCAGATGATCGGGTGTGGATCCCGGATCGGAAAGTAGCCCCCTTGTGGCCACAGGTGGAAAGGACACCAGGCCTTCGTCTTGACCACTCCCACAGCCACAAATGTAGAGAAAATTCTAGCGTGGATCCATCATAGCCACCTAAAACTGCAGCACCTGAGACCTGGGAGGAGAGACCAAGCCCAGATAACACCTCCAAGGTGACTTTGAAGAAGATGACAAGCCCTACTCCAGTCATACCCAGGAGCTGACTGGTCCACGCATGGCCAAAACATGAGGAAACTCATTGTAGGACTCACTTTTCTTAAATTTTGGATGTGTACAGTAAGGACTTCAACTGACCTTCCTCAGACTGAGGACTGTTCAAGTTACTGAGGTAGGGAAAAAAGTTAAAGCAGTCTTTTTGTTTTATAGTTATTATGAATGTATTGCAACTTTAAAAGGGATGACTTTGTATAACGCCACCCTGCACAAGGTATGCAGCCCAGGAAGTAACCAGCCTGATGTGGGAAAACCCATTATAACTACTTGATCCCTGTCGGAAAACAGGAGAGTATGTAATTCTAAGAATCAATGGAAATGGACTGGATCCCCAAGTAAATATTTTAGTCTAAGGGAAGGTCCACAGGCACTCTCCCAAGCCAGTGTTTACTCCCTGTATGGTACCTGTACTTTTACCACCTTAGTTCATCAAAAGACCACAGCACAAGTGCATTACATAAATCACTATCAATCTGTTTTGCAGAAAGACCTGGGTAATGAAGATGAGAAAGAGAACTCTCACTAGTGAGTGCAGCTCTCAAAGAGGGGGATGAGGAGGAAGGCTATTTCTCTTACTGTCCCCTGTTCTCTGAATAGAAGGAGGAAGTAAAAGCTGAAAAACATCAGGAATGAAATCATTGACAAGACCAGCTGGTGCCACTAATGAACAGGCCTGAGGTTAAAAGTTTAACCCACCACTCTAACCACACGTGCTATCTCTAGATCTCAATCTATTACAACCCTTTCACGTGTAACCCCTTAAAGTTGTAAGCACTTAAAAGGGACAGGAACTGTTTCTTCCAGGAGCTCAGTTCCTGAGACAGGAGTCTGCCAACACTCCCAGCTGAATAAAGCCACTTTCTTCTTTAATCCAGTGTCTGAGGGGTTTTGTTCATGGCTTGTCCTGCTACAAAGGAATGCAGCAATGGGGTTGACTGGTTCTGCAAGAAGCCCCCACCTGGGAGACAGCAACCCCAGGGAAAACAGCCTGGCTCTACCTAGAAATCACAGTGGGGTAAGTTTCAAAAAGGCTCACCCCTACAATGTCTAGGTTGAATGAGGAATCCTGAAGATCATTTTTTATTATTAGGGATTTCATGGTTTATTGCTGGAACTTTACTTGAGGTTTCTTCAGGCTGGCTCACATCTGCCCTCTCCTAGGATCATGGAACAATACCATGGATCCCACAGTGAAGACAGGTGAGAGTCCACCTTTGACACAACTCCACGGAGGTCTTCTTCTCCACCAAGCCACAGGAACTTGTTGCTAGGCAATGGTTACACTCATTGTGATGCTAGCCAGAGCTCACAATCAGGCCTGGTGCCCTGAGAGTAGTGCATGCCCATTCCTGTGGCAGCCTATGTTTCCTGTCTGTCAGAGCTGTCAGCCTGCTTAAGCAGAGTAAAATGGTACAGGCAGTGCAGCCTGGTAGCGAGAAAAAAGGCTGCCTGTGAAATCCCACTGTGGGACCATAAGTGGGGACCTCAGGGCCCCTTCATGGCATCTCCATGGCCATGTCATGCTGGAGAAGGAGGCGTTTCAAGAATGTGAGCTGATCGCTGGAAACTGCTCATCTGACTCCAGTCTCAAAAGAGGCTATGTGCAAGAATCGGGTATGATGGGGATGCAAATATAGTTTGCTGTGTTGTTGAGGGTTATTTGGATGATAGAATCATACCTGAGACCCCAGAAGCTGGGGTCAGTGAAAGATAGTTGGGCCCTTGACCTCACTTCCTCCCTTCATTTTGGGCCTCACAGGGGCTCTCTGGGAAAGTCTGGACCTAAGACAAAGGCAAGTCCAAGGTGGAGCACTGTTCTCACACCTTGGACTGACCACTCATGGGTGCAGATGAGGTTGAGACAGTGTGTCAAAGGCCATTTATGGCATGGCAAGGATAAAAAGTTGTGTCAGTACTGCTGTTTAGGGGTACTGTAGATTCCCCATGAAAGCAAAGAAAAATAAAACCTCATCTCTCTAGAATGAGCTGCCTTGTGCTGGAGTCCAAGCAATGTTCAATGATTCCTGTCAGAGGATCCAAATGCCTCCTGTAAAGTGGAAGGAACTTCAGCCCCCCAAATGAGACAATGACCCAGAACCTGGAGTGCAGCCAGCCTACCTGAAGTCCCTTTTCCTCTCTGAAATCCTGGTAACTAAATTATCTGTGTAGAGAGGCAGTCCTACTGAAAAACAGCTGAATGAAAGAGCCCCTCCACAATAAGGAAACCAGGCAGATGAAATGAAACAGAAGATAGACTACCAGACAAAAGCCAGACATGAATGCCTGCTTCTCACCCTGCAGAAGTCATGCAGCCCTTTGATAGGAGTGGGAGAGGAAGAGTTTGCTTTTTGGTGGCTGTAACAGGAATTTACTGTTTTAAAAGTATCAAAGCAGCTCAGTCATTAAAACGTGATGGTGTTTAGAAGGAAACACTCACACAGTGGATCACCGTGAGGGTTGTTCTTTGTGAACTGGGAAATGTTCTGTGTTGGAAGTCATTGAACCAGACCCAGGAAACTGTAGGCCAGTGAGGAACATGGAAGTCAGGAAAAGATGAGGCAAGTGTGGAGGCCACATTCCACCTAGCATGAATTTATTCCACTTCCATTTTGTTCCGGGTATGAAAGCCCTCAAATCGGAAGTTTGCCAGGATGGCCCCAGCTTGTACGCTCACCTGAACACTGAGCCATGGTGTGGACTGCTTCTTCAACTAAGGGAATGTGGGGATGGTGTTGGAAGTACCTTCTGAGTCACCTGTCTTCAGGTGACAACCTTCACCTGATTGAATTCTCACCCCTATCCGATGTTATGGCTGCTTATACTCTGTGTCCCAAAATAAAATCCCAAAATGATGGAGGAGTGCCCCCTCAGGACGTGAAGCACTTGCTAAGCTGGGGACTGAATTTCAGGTAAATTGAAGGGGCCCTGAAAACAAGACTGCTACTGTCTCTGTCTGGGTTGGCCACATAACAATGAAACACTAAAGATATCTATGTTTTTGTGTGGTGTGCTCCTCTTGTTTCTAGAAGAATGGCTTTGTGCTTTGTAGGGGGAGATTATTTGGACATGGGTGGGTTATGGCCTGCCTCTCAATTCACTGAGACTTATGATGTGGCTCAAGCAGAGCCAAAAGGGTTGGAGACTCAAAAAACTAGCCCTGAATTGTGTTAGCCACATTCATTTAAGCACTCTCCACTTACAGACACACACACACAAACACACACACACACAAAATGCCACACACATGCAGGCCTCCAACACTCACAACACTCCAACAGAAACACACAGGCTGGCAGCTCCTGAGGCTTCGTGGTTGTGCAAGAAACTTACCCTGGCAGAGAGCAACCCCAGGGCATACTGGCAGGCTTTACCTGGGAAGCACGGTGGGGCAAGTTTCAGAAAGACTAACCAATACAGCATCTAGCCAGTCCTAAAAAATCCTGCAGTTCCTTTTGGATCCTTAGCAATTTTGTGGTTTATTCCTGGGGCTATGCCTGATGTTTCTTTAGGCTGGTTCATGTCTGCCCTCTCCTAGGATCGTGGGACTATCCCGAGGCTTCCACAGGGAATAAAAGTGAGAGTCCACTGCTGATGCACCTCCACAAAGGTATCCTCCTCAGCCAAGTCACAGGGACTTGTCGCTGGGCAAATGTGACATTCATTGTGACTCTAACCAGAGCTCAGATCTAAGCCCTAGTGTCCTGAGACTAGCATTAAAATTCTCTACCTTAGAACCCCTTTGGGATGTCTGCATCTTTGGGTACCACTGGAGGAGGACGCGTTTCAAGACTGTGAGGTGGTTGCTTAGGAGAGCTCTTCTGACTCCATTCCTGAAAGAGCCTTTGTGCAAGAATCAGGACCCATCTAAATTGGAATATAGTCTGGTGAGTTGTTAAAGGATTTTTGTGTAATGGAATTATACCTGAGACACCAAAAATGAGTGTCAGTAAAATATAGCCAGTCCCTTGATCTCATTGCTTCCCTTCATCATGGTCCTCACAGGGGCTCTCTGCAAAAGGCAGGAAACATGAAAAAGGTAGGTCCAATATCAAGAAGTTCTTACACCGAACTGGAGTGTCATGGGTGCAGTTGATACTGTGAAATTGTCTCAGAGGCCGTTTTTGGCAATTGCAAGCCTGAAAATGGTGGCCAGTATTTCTGCTGAGGGGCAATGTGGGCCCAGCATGAAAGCAAAGAAAAATCAAGGCTCACCTGTGAGAATGAGTGGACTTGTCCTGGATTTCCAGAAATGTTCAAAGATTTCTGCCAGAGGAACCAAAAGCCTCCCACAAAGTGCAAACAACCTCAGATTTTACAACAAGCCCATGACACAAAACCTGGAACACCACCAGCCGACCAAAGTCTTTTTGCTCCCTGAAATTCTGCTTGCCAAAAGAACCATTGTGAGTGGCAGTCCCATACAGCAAAAGCTCAATGAAAGAGTCTGTTTACAATGAGAAAGGAAGTGCAGATGAAGTGAAACACAGCCTTGGTTACTAGGTGAATCCAAACACGGCTCCCTGCTTCTCATCCTACGGGAGTCAAGCAGCCTTCCAATAAAAGTGGGAGAACGAAAGTTTCCTTGTTGGCAGCTGTAATGGGAATTGATGCTTTAAAAATAAATACAGCTGCCCATTCATTAAAATGTGACAGTGATTAGAAGGAAACACTCATGCAATGGATTCCAATTAGTTCGACCTCCATGAAGTGGGAAAGGTTTAGTGTTGAAGATTTTGAGCCACATGCAGCATGCCATAGGCCATAGAGGAACATGGAAGACATGAAAAAAACAGGCAAGTGTGGAGGCCATATTTCACCCAGAACTAGTCCATCCCACTCCCATTTGGCTTTGCCTATGAAAGCGCTCAAATCTGGAGTTTGCCAGGATGTCCCCAGTTTGCACTCCAAATGTTCTCTGCATGTTGGAGTACTCCCACCTCAACAATGGGCCATGGTGTGGACTACTTGTGCAAATAGTGGAATGTAGGGATTCAGTTGGAAGCATCTTCTGTGTCATTTGTCTTCACCTTATTTGCAGGTGAAGTTGTGAGACCCCATCCACCCCTCACAAGATTGTATCCCCACCCTGTCTGACCTTACTGCTGCTCAAACTATCTGTCCAAGGATGAAAACCCAGGACAAAGGAGGAGTAACCCTCATGATGTGAAGCACGTGTTCACCTGTGAATATAACCTGAGGTAAATTCAAGGGTTGTTGTAGACAGGATTGCTATTGTCTCTCCCTGGGTTGGCCACATGACAATGAAAACCTGGGAGATGTCTGCTCTTGGGTGTGGTTTGACTCTCTTCTACCTAGAAGAGTTGCTTTTTTTGCAGGGCATGGTGACTTGGACAGCAGCATGTCTCGGCCAGCCTCCCAACTCACTGCAGATTCATGATTCACAAAAAAATAAAGAACATGGAGTTCTATGTCCCAAACAGAGGCGTACAGGAAGACAACAAAAGGTTGGAGACTCAACAAAATGAAGTGCTGCAGTGTGTTAGCCACATTCCTTTAAGCAGACTCCATTTACAGGCACACACACACACACACACACAAATGTACAAAGTCAAACACACAGGCAGACATCCAACACTTGCAGCACTCCCACAGAAACACACAGCCTATCAGCTCCTGAGGCAGTTTGGTTCTGCAGGAAGCCACACCTAGGAGGGAGCAACACCAAGGAACACAGGAGGGCTGTACCTATACATCACAGTGGGGCAAGTGTCAAAAGCACTCACCCCTCACTCACTCACAGGGGTGAGGATACAGTGCCTAGGCAGGCCTGAAGCATCTTGCAGACCCTTTTGGATCCTTCTGGAATTCATGGTTTATTCCTGGTGCTCTTATTGACATTATTTCAGGCTGGCTCATATTTGCCCTCTCCTAAAATCAGGAGACTATACAGTAATTCCCACAGAGAAAACAGGTGAGAGTCCACCACCGACAGCACCTGTAAAAAGGTCTTCTTCTCCGCCAACCTGCAGGAACTTGTCTCTAGGAAATGGTGGCATTCACTGTGACGCTAATCAAAACTCACAGCTCAGTCTTTGTGCCTTGAGACCAGTGCCTTCGCATTCAAGAGGCATGTTCTGGGGCCTGGCTGTCAGAGCTGTTAGCCTGACCAAAAAGAGGAACAAAGAAAAGGCACTGTGATAAACCACTGCTGGACCCAAAAAGTCTAGGCCATAGGGCCCTTTTGGGCAGTCTCTGAGGTCGAGTTCCACTGAAGGAGAACTCATTTTGAGACTGTGAAGTGGTCGCTGCAATCAGATACTCTGCCTCCATTCTGGAAAGAGGCTGTGTGCAAGAGGCAGTTCCTATGGGGATTGTAATACAGTCTGGTGAGTTACCGGGCCTCACAGGGGCTCTCGGGAAAAGGTAAGAACCACGACAAAAGAAAGTCCAAGATAAAGCATTGTTCTCACACCTTAAACTGGCTGTTCTCACACCTTAAAATGGGTGCAGGTGAGGTGGAAACAGTTTCTCAGTGGCTGTCTGTGGTGAAAGCAAGCCAGAAAAGGGTGTCCAGTAGTGCTGATGAGGGGCAATGTGGAACCCTCATGAAAGCAAAGAAAAATGAAGGCTCATCTGAGCAAATAAGCTGACTTGTGCAGGAGTCCAAATAATGTTCAAAGATTTTTGTCAGAGGACCCAAAAGCCTCCTACAAAGAGCAAACAACATCAGCCTCCACAAGGAGAAAAAGACCCAAAATCTGGAGTATAGCCAGCATACACAAAGTCCTATAGGCTTCCTGAAGTTCCTGGCAGCCAAAAGATCTGTAGGGAGGAGGCAGTCCCATCCAGCAAAAGCCAATGAAATATCCACTCCACAGAGAGAAAGGACTTGCAGATGAAGTGAAACAGAGCTAAGATTACCAGGCAAATGCAGACATGGCTGCCTGCTTCTCATCCTAAAGGAATCATGCAGTCTTCCAATAAAAGTGGGAAAACAAGAGTTTCTATGTTGGTGGATGTAATGGGAATTTATGCTTTTAAAAGTATCACAGCTGCCCAGTCATTAAAATGTGGCAGAGTTTAGAAAGAATCCCTCATGTAATGAATTCCCAAGAGAGTCATCCTCTGTGAACTGGGAAACTTTTAGTGTGGAATACGTGTAGCCATACCCAGGAAAACTTAGGCCAAAGAAGATCATGAAAGTCAGGAAAAGAAGAGGCAAGTGTGGCAGCCACATTCCATCCAGCATCAATCCATCACCCTCTCCTTTGCCTTTGGGTATGAAAGCCCTCACATTGGGAGTTTGCCAGGATGGCCCCAGTGTGTACTCAAAATTTTCCCCATACATTGGAGTACTTCCACCTGAACACCAGGCTGTTTAGCTGGAAACAATCTCTGTGTCGTCTGTCATCCTTTTTCTTTTTTTTTTTTTTTTACAGGTGCAGTTGGGGTATCCCATGCACCTCCCCAGATTTCATCTTTACTCCTATCTGACATCATTGCTGTTGACACTCTATGCACCAGGATGAAATCCAAAGATGATATTTGAGAGCCCCCCGACCTAAGACATGAATTATTGGCTTGGCTGGGAATCGAATTCAAGGTGAATTCAATGTGCCCTGTGCACAGGACTGCTAGCATCTCTCCCTGGGTTGGCTGCAAGACAATGAAACACTGAGATGTCTCATTTTTGGTGTGGTGTGCTCCTTTTCTTTCTAGAAGAGTGGCTTTTCTCACACACACAATGCCACACACACACTCAGACATCCAACATTCACAACACTCCCACAGAAACATACAAACCAGTTACTACTCAGACTGTGCTGTTGTGCAGGTAGCACCAACTGGGTCTGCAGGTAGCCCAAGCAGACCCACACAGAAAAGCCACCAAAAGGTTGGGAGATGTACATACAGCAAACACTGAAGTGCATTAGCAATATTCCTTAGGCAGACTGCACTTACAGTCTCTCACACACACACACATACAAACACACAATGCCACCCACATGCATGTAGACATCCAACACTCACAGCACTCCACCAGAAAGGTTGGCAGACTAAAGAAGAAGTGCTGAAGTGTGTTAGGCACATTATTTTAAGCACACTCCACTTACAGACACATAAACACGCACATACACAAACACACAATGCTACACACACACACACAGCCATCCATCACATGCAAGACTCTCATAGAAAAGCAAAGACTGGCAGCCCCTGAGGCAGTGTTGTTCGGAAAGAATCCCAACCTGGGAGACAGCAACCCCAAGAAACACAAGGGAACTGTACCTAGAAATCACGGTGGTGCAAGTTTGAAAGAGACTCAACCCTACAAACTTCTGGGTAGTCCTGAGAAATCCTGTATATCCTTTTGCATCCTAAGGGATTCTGCAGTTTATTCCTGGAGGTGTACTTGACTTTTCTTCAGGCTGGCTCATGCCTGCCCTTTTCTAGGATCATGGGACAATCCCATGAACACCACAGAGAAGTCAGGTGAGAGTCCACGGCCGATGCATCTCCAAGGAGGTCTCCTCTGCCAAGCCACAGGGCATTGTCACAAGGCAGCAGTGACATTCATTGTGATGCTAGCCAGCACTCACACTCAGGCCTGGTGCTCTGAGACTAGCACATGTGCATTTCTGAGGCAGGCTCAGGCACTCATCAGAGCTGTCAGCCTGCCTAAGCAGAGGAAAATGGTACAGGCAGAGCCTGCCTGGTATAGGGAAAAATGCTGCCTGCAATAACCCACCACTGGACATAAAAATATAGATGACAGGGCCCTTTCAGGCAGTCTCCAAGGTTGGGTTCTGCAGAAGGAGAAGTCACTTTGAGACTGTGAAAGGGTCGCTGCAATCTGCACCTCTGCCTCCATTCCCAAAAGAAGATGTGTGCAAGAGTTAATTCCCATGGGGATTGAAATACCATCTGGTGAGTTTTTGAGGCATCTCTGGGTGATGGAATCATCATTGAGACCCAAGAGGTGGGTGTCAGTGAAAGATGGTTAGGCCCTTGACCTCACTGCCTCCCTTCATCCTGGGCCTCACAGGAGCTCTCTGGGAAATACAGGAACCACAACAAAAGCAAGTCCCAGATAAAGCATTGTTCTCATATCTCAAACTGGCCTTTCACAGATGCAGATGTGGTTGACAGAGTATGTCTGAGGTGGTCCATGGCAATTGCAAGACAGAAAATGGTGTCCAGTACTGCTAATGAGGGGCAATGTGGACTCCCCTTGAAAGCAAAGAAAAATGAAGGCTTATCTGAGCAAACAAGCTGACTTGTGTGGGAGTACAAGCAAAGTTCAAAGATTCCCATCAGAGGACCCAAAAGCCTCCTGCAAAGCGCAAACAACATCAGCCCCCACAAGGACACCATGATCCACATCCTGGCATGTAGCCACCATATGCAAAGTCCTTTTGGCTTCCTGAAATTCCTGGCAGTGAAAAGATCTATAGCAAGAGGCAGTCCCATCCAGCAAGAGCCAATGAAAGATCCACTCCACAGCAGGGAATGACATGCAGATGAAGTGAAACAGAGCCAAGATTAGCAGGAAAATGCAGAACACAGCTGCCTGCTTCTCCTCCTACAGGAATCATGCAGCTCTTTGATAAAAGGAGAATAAAAATTTCTGTATTGGCAGTTGTAACGGGAATTTATGCTTTTAAAAGTCTCATATTGCCCAGTCATCAAAATGTGACAGAGTCTAGGAAGAAACACTGATGCAATGGATTCACATGAGAGTGGTCCTCTGTGAACTGGGAAACTTCTAGTGTAGAAGATGTGGAACCAGACCCAGAAAACCCTAGGCCAAAAAGGAACATGAAGACACAAGTGTGGTGGCCACATCCCACCCAGCATCAATCCATCACACTTTCATGTGGCTCTGGGTATGAAAGCCCTCACATTGAGAGTTTGCCAGGATGGCCCCAATTTGTTCTCAAAATGTTCTCTGCATGTCCACCTGAACACCAGGCTATTTACTTGGAAGCAGCTTCTGTGTCATCCATCTTTATTTTATTTTTTTCAGGTGATATTGCAAAACCTTATACACCCTTCACCAGATTTTGTCCTTACTGCTATTTGACTTTATTCCTGCTCATACTGTATGTTCCAGGATGAAATCAAAAGATGATGGAGAAGTGCCCCCCGCCACAAGATGTGAATCACTTGCTCAGCTGGGAACTGAATTCAAGATTAATTCAAAGTGCCCAGTGGACAGGACTGCCAGTGTCTATGCCTGGGTTGGCCTCATGACAATGACACACTAGGAGATACCTCTTTTTGGCATGGTGTGCTCCTCTTCTTTTTAGAAGAGTGGCTTTTTTTGAACACACAATGCCACACACACGCTCAGACATCCTACACTCAAAATACTCCCACAGAAATACACAGCCCAGCAGCTACTGAGGCTGCATTGTTGTGCAGGAAGCACTACCTGGAGAAAGTCCCACATCCCAAGCAGAGAAACACAGGCCACCAAAATGTTGGAAGACTCAAAAACAGAAAGCACTGAAGTGCATAAGTAATATTCCTTTAAGCAGACTCCATTTATAGTCACACACACACACACAATGCCACACAAAGATGCAGACATCCAACACTCGAAATCCTCCACCAGAAAGGTTGGGAGACTAAAAAAAAAAAAAAAAAAAGAGAAAGACAAAGGGCTGAAGTGGGTTAGCCACATAATTTCAAGCACACTCCACTGACAGGTGCACACACACACCCAATGCCACACACAGATGCAGACATCCAACACTCGCAACACTCCCACAGGAAAACACAGCTCAGCAGCTCCAGAGGCTATGTGATTCTGCAGGAATCCCAACCTGGGAGAGAGCAAGCACAAGAAACCCTGGTTGGCTACACCTAGAAATCACAGTTAGGCAAGTTTCAAAAGACTCATGCTTACAACATCTAGGGTGGCCTGAAAAATCCTGCAGAGGTTTTTGCCTGTGTGTAAGCAAGGTGGCATCCTAAGCAGAGAAAAATGGTACAGGCAGAGTAGGCCTGTTTTTAATAAAAAGGCAGTGTGTGAAAACCCACTGTGGGACCCTAAATGTCTCGACCTGAAGGCCCCTTTGGGCTGTCTCCATGGTCAGGTCCCACTGCCGGAGGAAATATTTTGAGATAGTAACCTGTTCGCTGGAAACTGCCCTTCTGACTCCATTTTTGAAACAGGCTGTGAGCCATAATCTGGTCCCATAAGAATTGGAATATAATCTGTTGTGTTGTTGAGGGTTGTTTGGGTGACAGAATCATACCTGAGAACTTAGAGGTGGGTGTCAGTGAAAGAAGGTTGGGCTCTTGACCTCACTGCATCCCTTCATCCTGGGTCTCTCAGAAGCTCTCTGGGGAAGGTAGAAACCACAACAGTGGCAAATCCAATGTAGAGGAGTGTTCTCATACCTTGGACTGGTCTTTCACTGTGCAGTTGAGGTTATTCTTACACCTCAGACTGGCCTTGGACTGTGCAGATAAGGTTGAGACAGTGAAACACTGCGAGATGTCTGTTTCTGGTGTGGTGTGCTCCTCTTCTTTCTAGAAGAGTGGCTTTTTTTGTGGGGGGAGTTGATTTGGACAATTGTGTGTCTTGGCCCACCTCCCAATGCAATGCAGATTCATGATCCACAGAAAAATAAAGAACATGGAGCCCCAAAGCACAAGCAGAGCAACAGGCAGGCCAACAAAGATTGAAACATACAAAAAAAAAAAAAAAAGCAGCAGCACTGAAGTGCGTTAGCCATATTATTTAAGCAGACTCCACTTACAGCCACAAACACATTCTCAAACACGCAATGACACACACACACACATATCCAACAGTTGCAACACTCCCACAGAAGAACATAGCCCAGCAGCACCCGAGGCTGCATAGCTCTGCAGGAATTCCCACCTGGGAGAGAGCAATCCCAGGGAACATAGACAGGCTGTACCTAGAAACCACAGTGGGGCAAGTTTCAAAAAGACTCACCCCTACAATATCTAGGCAGGCCTACAAAATCTTGCAGATCTTTTTGGATGTTTAAGGATTTTGCGGTTTATTTCTGTAGCTAAGCTTGATGTTCCTTCACGCTGGCTAACGTCTGCCCTCTCCTAGGATCATGAGACTATCTGTGGATTTCACAGAGAAGACAGACGAGAAGACACCGCTGACACTTCTCCACGGAGGTCTCCTTTTCCACCAAGATGCAGATGCTTCTTGCAAGGCAATGGTGACATTTATTGTGATGCTAGACAGAGCTCACAATCAGACCAGGTGCGCTGAGACTAGCGCAAGTGCA
Source organism: Homo sapiens (assembly GCF_000001405.40). Taxonomy (NCBI): domain Eukaryota; kingdom Metazoa; phylum Chordata; class Mammalia; order Primates; family Hominidae; genus Homo; species Homo sapiens. The sequence goes on along the minus strand of NC_000024.10, from coordinate 9,763,413 downwards.
TTTGTGAGGCAGACTCAAGTCAGGTTGTCAGAGCTGTCAGCCTGCCTCTGCAGTGGATAATGGTACAGGCAGAGCTGGCTTGGTATTGGGAAAAAGGCTGACTATAAAAACCCGCTGCAGGACCCTGAAAGTCTTGACCTCAGGGACCCTGCTAGCCATTTCCTTGTTCAGGTCGCGCTGGAGGAAGAGGTGTTTCGCGACTGTGAGGTGGTCGCTGGAAACTGCTCTTCTAACTCCATTAGCGAAAGAGGGTGTGTGCAATAATTGGGTCCCAAGGGGATTGGAATATAATCTGGTGTGTCGTTGAGTGTTCTTTGGGTGACAGAAACATACCTGAGACACCAGAAGTGGATGTCAGCAAAAGATGATTGGGCTTTTGAACTCAATGGCTCCCTTCATTCTGAGCCTTGCAGGGGCTATCTATGAAAGGCAAGAACCATGACAAAGGCAAGTCTAATGTGGAGCAGTGTTCTCACATCTTGGAATGGCCTCTCACTTGTGCAGATGTAGTTGAGACAGTGTCTCAGAGGCCATCTGTGGTGATGGCAAGCTTGAAAATGGTGTGCAGTGCTGCTGTTGGGGGGCACTATGGATTCCCCAAGAAAACAAAGAAAAACCAAGGTTCACCTAAGAATGAGCTGCCTTTGCTGGAGTCCAGGCAATGTTCAAGATTCCTGTCAGAAACCAAAAGCCTCCTGCAAAGTGCAAACAACTGCAGCCTCTACGATGAGACAATGATCCACAATATGGAGTGCAGCCAGTTTATCAAAGTCCCTTTTACTCTCTGAAATCCCTGGCAGCAAAATAATCTGTGGCAAGTGGCAGTCCTAGCCAGCAATAGCCCAGTGAAAGGGCCCCTCCACAATGAGAAGTCCATGCAGATGAGATGAAACAGGGGCTAGATTATCAGGCTAAAGCCAGACGTGGCTGCCTCCTTCTCATCCTAGAGTAAACATGCAACCCTGTGATAGAAGTGGGAAAAAAAACAGATTCCTTGTTGGTGGGTGTAACAAGAATTTACCGTTTTAAAACTATCAAAGCTTCCCAGTCTTTAAAAGGTGACAATGTTTAGAAGGAAACACTCATGCAATGGATTCCCAGGAGGGTTGTTCTCTATGAATTGGGAAACATTTAGTGTGGAAGTCATTGAGCCAGAAAGAGGAAACCCTAGGTTGATGAAAAACATAGAAGTCAGGGGGAAAAAGGCAAGTACGGAGGCCACATCCAACCCAGCATCAATCAATACTCCTCCCATTTGGCTCATGTATGAAGGCTCTTAAATTGGGAGTTTGCAAAAATGGCCCCAATTTGCCCTCCAAATATTCCTTGCAGATTAAAGTACTCCCACCAGAACACCGAGCCATGGTGTGGACTGCTTGTGCAATTAAGGGGATGCAGAGATGAAGTTGGAAGCACTTTCTGTGTTATCTGTCTTTATGTTTTGCTGGTGAAGTTGGGAGACCACTTTCACCCCTCACCAGATTGTATCCTCACCCCATCTGACCTTATTTCTGCTCACAATCTATGTCCCCGAATGAAATCCAAGATGATGGACAAGATCTTCCTCATGACATGAAGCATCTGCTCAGCTGGAGACTGAATTTGATGTAAATTCAAGGGGCCATGCACACAGGTCTGTGAGTGTCACTTTCTGGTTTGGACTCAGGTCAATAAAACACTGGGAGATCTCTTTTTTTTGGTGTGGTATGCTCATCTTCTTTCTAGAAGAGTGGCTTTTGTTGCAGGGGAGGTGATTTGGATGCTTGTGTGTCTCGGCCCACCTCCCAATTCACTGCAGATTCATGATCCACAGACAAATAAAGAACATGAATCCCGGCAACCCAAGCCGAGCCACACAGACAGGCCACTATAAGGATAAGAGACTCAAAAATAAAAGAAATGCTGCAGTGCATTAGCCACATTCCTTTAAGCAGACTCCACTTACAGGCACGCAAACACACACACAAATACACAATGCCACACCTACCCACAAAGACAACCAACACTTGCAACATTCCCACGGAAACTCACTGCCTGGCAGCTACTGAGGCTGTGTGGCTCATCAGAAATCCCCACCTGGGAGAGAGCAACCCCGGGTAACACATGCATGTTGTACCTAGAAATCACATTGGGACAGGTTTCTAAAAGACTCACCCCTACAACCTCTAGGCAGGCCTGAGGAATCCTTCCAAATCCTTTTGGATCCCTAGGCAGTTTGCCATTTATTCCTGGGGCTCTTCTTGACCTTTCCTCAGTCTGGCTCTCATCTGCCCTTTTCTAGGACTATCCTGTGAATCCCACAGAGAAGACAGGTGTGGTTCCAATGCCGGTGCACCTCCAGGGAATTCTCCTTTTCTACCAAGCTCCAGGCCTTCTGCCATGATCATGAGACTATTTGTGGATTTCACAGAGAAGATAGGTGAGAGTGTACCACTGACACACCTCCACAGAGGTCTCCGTCTCCAGCAAGAGGCAGGGACTTGTCACTAGGCAATGGTGACCTTTTTTGTAACTTTTGCCGAAGCTCACAATCAGCCCTGATACCTTGAGACTAGCACATGTGCATTCATGAGGGTGGCTCAGGCGCCTGACTGTTGGAGCTGTCAGCTTGCCTAAGCAGAGGAAAATAGTACAAGCAGAGATGGCCTGGTATCAGGACAAAGTCTGCCTGCGAAAACCAACGGCTGGACTGTAAAATTTGCAAAGTCAGGGCCCCTTCAGTTCATCTCCATGATTGGTTCCCGCTGGAGAAGAAGGCATTTCAAGATGGTGACATGGTCTCTGGAAACTGCTCTTCAGACTCCATTTCTGAAAAAGTCTATGTGCAAGTATCGGGTTTCATGGGGATTGGAGTATAGTCTGGTGAGTTGTTGAGGATTCTTTGGGTGATACAATCATACCTGAGACCCCAAAGGTGGGTGTCAGAGAAAGATGGCCGGTCTCTTGGCCTCACTGCCTCCCTTTATTTTGGACCTCGCAGGAGCTCTCTGGGAAAGGCAGCAACCTCAAAAAGGCAAGTCCAAGAAGGAGCAGTGTTCTCACATCGTGGACTGTCTTCTCACAGGTGCAGATGAGGTTGAGACAGTGTCTCCAAGGCTGTCTGTGGCCATGGCAAACCTGAAAAGTGTCAAGTACTGCTGTTGATGGGCACTATGCATACCTTATGAAAGCAAAGAAAAATCAATGCTCACCTGAAAGAACAATCTGCCTTGTGCTGCAGTCCAAGCAATGTTCAAAGATTCCTGTCAGAGGACCGAAAAGCCTCCTGTAAAGTGCAAACAACCTCAGCCCCCACGTTGACACCATGGCTCACAACCTGGATTTTGGTGAGCCTACCCAAAGTGTCTTTTGCTCCCTGAAATCCCTGGCAGCCAAAAGATCTGTGATGAGAGGTAGTACCATCCAGCAACAGTCCAGTGAAAGATCCCTTCCACAATGAGAAACGACATGCAGATGAAATGGAACAGTGCCTAGAATGCCAGCCAAAAGTGAGATATGACTGCCTGCTTCTCACCCCAGAGATCTTGCAGCCCCTGATAGAAGTGGTAGAACAAGAGTTTCCTTAATGGCAGCTGTAACAGGAAATCATGGTTTTAAAAGTATCACAGCTGCCAAGTAATTAAAATGTGACATTGTTAATATGAAATACGCACACAATGGATTCTCATAAGGGTCATAATCACTGTATGGGGAAATGTTTAGTGTCGAAGACGTTGAGCCAGACCCAGGAAACCCTAGGCTGATGAGGAGCATGGAAGTCAGGAAAAAAAGAGGCAAGTGTAGACGCCACATCCCAGCCAGGATAAATTCATGGTACTCCCATTTGGCTTTAGTATGAAAGCCCTTAAATTGGCAGTTTGCAGGATGGCTTCAGTTTGCACTCCAAATGTTCCCTGCACCTTGTAGTACTCCCACCTGAACACCGGGCCATGGTGTGGACTACTGTGTCATTAAGGGAATGCAGGGATGCAGTGTGAAGCACTTTCTGTCTTCTGTCTTCACCTTTTTTGCATGTTAAGGTGCAGGTCCTCATCCACCCCTCACCACATTGTATCTTCATCTCTCTGTGACCTTATTGCTACTGATATTCTCTGTTCCAGAATGAAATTCCAAGATGATGGAGGGGTTCTCCTTCACGATGTGAAGCACCAGCTTGGCTGGGAACTAAATTCGAGGTACATTTAAAAAGCCCTGCAGACAGGACTGCTGCTGTCTCTCCCTGGGTTGGCTGAAGGACAATAAAACACTGGGAGATGTCTGTTCTTGAGGGTGGTATGGCCTTCTTCTTTCTAGGAAAGTGGTTGTTTTTGGGAGAAGGAGGTGTTTTGTTACCTGGCGGGTCTCATCCTGCCTTAGACTTCATTGCAGATTCATAATCCATAGAAAAAGAAAGAATACAAAGCCCCGCAGCCTGAGACAATCCACTAAAAAGTTGGAAGACTTAAAAAAAAGGGGGCTGCAGTGCTTTAGCAACATTACTTTAAGCAGACTCCCCTTACAGACACCACACACACACACACACACACACATAGACACAGCCATACATACACGCAAACATCCAACACTCACAACACTCTCACAGAAACACAAAGTCTGGCAGCTTCTCAGGCTTTGTGGTCCTGCAGGAAGCCCCACCTGGGAGACAGCCACCCCAGGAACACAGGTGGGCTTTACCTAGAAATCACAGTGGGGCAAGTTTCACAATGACTCACCCCTGCAACATCTAGGCAGGCATTAGAAATTCTACACATATTTTAAATCATTAGGAATGCTTCAGTTTATTCCTGAGGCTGCCCTTGAGGTTTCTTGAGGCTGGCTTCTGTCTGCCCTCTCCTAGCATCATGGGACTGTCCCATGCATTTTACTTAGAAGACAGGTGAGAGTCCACTACCAATGCCCCTACATGGAGGTTTCCTCCCTCAATCCACAGGGACTTGTCACTAGGCAATGGCGGCATTTATTGTGACACTAGTCAGAACTCCCAAACAGGCCTTTTGCACTGAGAGTAGAGCATGCACATTTGCCAGGTAGATTCGGGCCCCTGGCTGTCAGAGTTGTCAGCCTGCCTAAGCAGAGGAAAATGATATAGACAGAGATGGCATGCTATCATGAAAAAGTCTGTCTGTGATAACCAAGTGCAGTACCGTAAAATTATTGACCATGGAGCCCCTTCACGATGACTCCATGGCTGGGAACCACTGAAGGAGGAGGCTTTTCCAAACTGAGGTGGTCTCTGAAGACTGCTCTTCTGACTCCATTCCTGAAAGAGGCTGTGTGCAAGAATCAGGTTCCATGGAGATTGGAATATAGTCTGGTGAGTTGTTGAGGGGATTTTATGTGATGGAATTATACCCGAGACCCCAGAGTCAGCTTTCAATGAATGGGGCTCGGCCCTTGACTTCATTGCCTCCTATCATCCTGGGCCTGGCAGGGGATCTATGAGAAAGGCAGGAACCACGACAAAGGCAGGTCCAAAGTCAAGCAGTATTCTTACATGTCGAACGGGTCTCTCACTCATGTAGATGATGTTGAAAAATGTTCACAGAAGGTGTCTGCGGAAATTGCAAGTCTGACAATCATGTCCACTAATGCTGTTGAGGGGCAATGTGGACCCAGCCTGAAAGGAAAGAAAAATCAAGGCTTGCTTGAGAGAAGGAGCTGGCTTGAGCTGGAGTATAAGAAACTTTCAAAGGTTCCTGTCAGAGGAACCAAAAGCCTCCTGAGAACTGCAAACAACCTCAGCTCTCACAATGAGACCACGAACCACAAGCTGGAAGGCAGCCAGCCTATGCAAAGTCATTTTTGCTTTCTGAAATCAGTGGCAGCAAAATCTGTATTTAGAGACATTCCCATCTAGCAACATTCAATGCTATATGCCCTCCACAATGAGACAAGACTTGCAGATGAAATAAAACAGAACATAGATTACCAGAAAAAAAGCTAGATACGTCTGTCTGCTTCTCATCCTACTGGAATTATGCAGCCTTTTGATAGAAATGGGAGAAGAACTGTTTCCCAAGGGCCAGACATGGTGGCTCATGCCTGTAATCCTAGAACTTTAGGAGGCTGAGGTGGGAGGATCATGAGGTCAGGAGATTGAGACCATCCTGGCTAAAATGGTGAAACCCCATCTCTACTAAAAATATAAAAAATTAGCCAGGAATGGTGGAAGGCTCCTGTAGTCCCAGATACTCGGGAGGCTGAGGCAGGAGAATGGTGTGAACCCAGAAGGCAGAGCTTGCAGTGACTGGAGATCATGCCACTGCACTGCAGCCTGGGCAACAGAATGAGACTCTGTCTAAGGAAAAAAAGAAAAAGAATTTATTTGTTGGTGGCTGTAATGGGAATTTATGGTTTTAAAAGTATCACAACAGCTCTGCCATTAAAATGTGACAGTGTTTAGAAGGAAGCACTGATGAAATACATTCCCATGAGGGTCATCCTCTGTGAACCAGGAAACGTTTATTGTGAAAGACATTTAGCCAGACCCAGGAAATTCTGGGCCAATGAAGAACACGAAAGTGAGGAAAAGAAGAGGCAAGTGTGGAGACCATATCCCACACAGCATCATTCCATCCCACTCCCCCTTGGCTCCCTGTACAAAAGCCCTCCAATAGGGAATGTGCCAGCATTGCCAAAGTTTGCACTAACATTGTTTCCTGCCACTTGGAGTAGTCACACCAGAACACAGGGCCATGGTGTGGAATCCTTTTGCAATTAAGGGAATGCTTAAATGCAGTTGGAAGCACCTTCTGTGTCATCTGTTTTTACCATTTCTGCAGGTGAAGGTGTGGGACCCCATCCACCCTTCACCAGATTGCATCCTCACCCGCATCTTACCTTATTGCTGCTCAAACTCTGTGTCCCAGAATGAAATCCCAGGATGATGGAGGATTGCCCCCTCACAACGTGAAGCAGCTGCTCAGCTGGAAACTGAATTCAAGGTTAATTCAAGGAGCTCTGCAACATGACTGGTAGTGTTGATTTTTGGGTTGACTTCAGGACAATAAAACATTCTCCAGGAATCATGCAGCTTTTCTATAGAAGTGAGAGAACAAGAGTTTCCTTGTTTGTGGCTGTTGCATGAATTTACAGTTTTAAAAGTATCACAGCTGCCCAGTCATTAAAACATGGCAGTGTTTAGGGGGAAATACTCACACAATAGAATCCCATGAGGATCATTTTCCATGAACTGGGGAATGTTGAGTTTAGAAGACGTTGAGCCAGACCAAGGAAACTACGCCAATGACGAACAAAGAAGTCAGGAAAAGATGAGGCAATTGTGGAAGCTGCATCCCACCCAGTATCAATCCATCCCACTCACATTTGGCTCTGCGTTTGAAAGCCCTCAAATTGAGAGTTTGCCAGGATGGCCCCAGTTTGCACTCCAAATGTTCCCTGTGTGTTAGAGTACTCCCACATGAAAATGGGGCCATAGTGTGGACAGCTTGTGATATTAAGGGAATACAAGGACAAGGATATAGTTGGAAATAACTTCTTTGTCATTTGTCTTCACCTTTTTTCAGGTGAAGGTGTAGGACCCCATCCACCCCTCACCAGATTGTATCCTCACCCCTATCTGACCTCACTGCTGCTCACACTCTCTGACCCAAAGTGAAACCCCAAGACAATGGATTAGTGCCTCCGTACAAGGTGAAGCACCTACTCAGGTGGGAATCAAATTTGAGGTAAATTCAAGGGGCCCTGTGAACAGTGCTACTGTCTATCACTGGGTTGGCTGCAGGATTAAAACACACTGGAAGATGTCTGTTCTTGAATGTGGTGTGCTCCTCTTCTTTGTAGAAGAGAGACTGTTTTTACAGGGAAAGGTGATTTGGACCTCTGCCAGCATCCCAATTCACAATAGATTCATTATCTACAGAAAAATAGAGAACATTGAGCCCTGCAGCCAAAACAGTGACACCAACAGGCCACCAAAATGTTAGGAGACTTGAAAAATGAAGTGCCACAGTGCGTTAGCCAGATTTTTTTTAAGCAGACTCCATGTACAGGCACACACACACAAACAAAAAAACACCGAAAGCCACACACACACAAGCAGACATCCAGCACTCCCAATGCTCCCATAGCAACACTCAGCCCTGCAGCTTCTGGGTTGTGTGGTTCTGCAGGAAGCTCCACCTGGGAGAGGGCAGCCATGGGGAAAACAGGCTCTACATAGAAATCAGAGTAGGGCAAGTTTCCAAAAGACTCACCCCTACAACGTCTAGGCAGGCCTAAGGCATTCTGCAGATATTTTTGGATCCTTAGGGATTTCAGGGCTTATTCCTGGCTCTGATTGATGTTTTTTTTTCAGTTTGGTTCACCTCTGCCCTCTCCTGGGATCATGGGACTATACTGTGAATCCCACAGAGATGGCAGGCGAAATTCCAACACCAATACCCACCCCCCGCCCCCACGAAATTCTCCTTTTCCGCCAAGCCATAGGGACTTGTCAGTAGTCAATGGTGGCATTGACTGTGACGCTAGCCATAGTGCACATCTCATGCCTGGTGCCCTGATACTAGCACATATCCCTTCATGAGGCAGGTTGTTGTGCCTGGCTCTAGGAGATGTCAGCCTGCCTAAACAGAGGAAAATGGTACAGACAGAGCTGATCTGGTGTCAGAAATAATGCTGCCTGTGATAATTCACTGTGGGACTCTAAACTTTTGAGCTTAGGGCATCTTTGGGCCATCTCTGGGTCGTTCCCTCTGGAGGAGGAGACATTTTGATACTGTGAGGTAGTCGCTGGAAAGTGCCCTTCTGACTCCATTCTTAAAAAAGGCTGTGTGCAGGAATCGTGTCCCATGGGTATTGAAATATAGTCTGGGGAATTGTTGAGAGGTCTTTGCATGATGGAATCATACCTGAGACCCCAGAGGCAGATGTCAGTGACAGACTACCAGGGCCTTGGCCTCACTGCCTCCCTTCATTTTGGGCCTCACAAGGTCTCTCTGGGAAAGGTAGGAACCACGACAAAGACAAATCCAGTGTGGAGCAGTGTTCTCACACATCGCACTGGCCTTTCATAGGTGCAGATGATGTTGGGACAGTGTCTCAAAGGTTGTCTGTGGTGATTGTAAGCCTGTAAAGAATGTCTATTAGCACTGTTGAGGAGAACTGTGGACCCCCCATGAAATGAAAGAAAAATCAAGACTCCCCTGATTGAATGAGGTTACTTGCCCTGGCATCCAGGCAATGTTCAAATATTCCTGTCAGAGAACCCAAAGCCTTCTACAAAGTGAAAACCACCTGAGCCTCCACAATGAGAAAACAACCCACAACCTGGAGTGTAGCCAGCCTACCTGAAGTTTCTATTTTTCCCTGTAATCCCTGGCAACCAATAGATCTTTGGCAAGAGGCACTCCCACCCAGCTATAGCACAGTGAAAGAAACCCTCCACAATGAGAAAGGATGGGCAGATCTAATAAAACAGATCCTAGATTACCAGAAAAAGCCACACAGGGCTGCCTCCTTCTCATCCTACAGGAATCATGCAGCTCTCCGATAGAAGTGGGAGAAACAGAGTTTCCTTCTTGGCCACTGGAATGTGAATTTATTGTTTTAAAATTATCACAGCTGCCCAGACATTAAACTGAGACAGTGCTTAGAAAGAAATAATCACACAATGGATCCCCATGAGATCATCCTTGTGAAGTGGAAATGCTTGTTATGGAAAACTTAGATCCAGACCCAGGAAACCTTAGGTCGATGAGGAACATGGAAGTCAGAATGCAAAGATGAAAGTGTGGAGGCCACATGCCACCAGCATCAATCCCTCCCAGTCCCATTTGGTTCTGGGTATGAAAGCCCTCAAATATGGAGTTAGCCAACTTGGCCCCAGTTTGTACTCCAAATGTCCCCTGCACGTTGGAGTACTCCCGCGTGAACACAGGGCCATGGTATGTGCGGCTTGTGCAACTAAGAGAATGCTGGGATGCAGTTGGAAGCAACTTCTGTGTTATCTGTCTTCTTTTTTTTTTTTCTTTTTTTGCAGGTGAAGGTACAGCATGGCATCCACCCCTCACCAGAGGGGTATCCCCACCCCTATCTGACCTTATTACCTTATTGCTGTTCAAAGTCTCTATCCCAGACTGAAATCCCAAGACAATGGAGAAGTTCCCCCTGATGATGTGAAGCACCAACTCCTCTGGGAATCAAATTCGAGGTAAATTTAATAGGCCCGGTAGAGATGAATGATAGTGTCTCTCCTTGGATTGGCTGAAAGACAATTAAACACTGGTATATTTCTGTTCTTGGTTGTGGTGTTCTTCTGTTCTTTCTAGAAGAGTGGCTTTTTTGGCAAAGGAAGGTGATTTGGACAGTGGTGTTTCTCAGCCAGCTTGCCAATTCACTGCAGATTCATGATCCTCAGAAAAATAAAGAATATGGATCCCAGCAGCCCAAGTAGACCCACACATACAGGCCACTACAATGTTTGGAGACTCAAAAAAAAAAAAAGAAAAAAGAATCACTGCAGTGCATTAGCCACATTCCTTTAAGCAGACTCCACTTAACAGGCACACACACACTCAATCACACATACACACTACCACATACATGCAGATTTCCAACATTTGCAACACTCTCACAAAAACACACAGCCCAGCAGCTTCTTAGGCTTCTTGGTTCTGCAGGAAGCCCTGCCTTTGAAAGAGCAACCCCAGGGAACACAGGCAGCCTGTGCCTAGAAATTACAGTATGGTAAGTTTTAAAAAGACTCATCCCGACAAAGTCTGGGAGGCTTGAGGCATCCTGCAGATTCTTTTGGATCTGTACGGATTTTGTGGCTTATTCCTGGGGCTGTGCTTGACTTTTCTTCAGGCTGACTCACCTGCTCCCTCTCCTTAGGCCCATGGGACTATCGTGGGAATCCCACAGGGAAGATAGGCGAGAGTCCACCGCTGACTCACCTCCACGGAGTTCTTATCCACAAAGTCACAGGGACTTATCCCTAGGCAATGGTGGCCTTCATTGTGATGCTAGCTGGAGCCCATAGCTCAGTCCTTGTGTCTAAGAGTATGCAGGCTTTCGTGATGGGCTGTCAGACCTGTCAGCCAGCCTAAAAAAAAAAGAAAAAAAAAGATACAGGAAGAGCCGGCACGGTATTGAAAAAAATGCTGCCTACAATAACTCAATGAGGGACCATAAATGTCTCAACTGTAGTGCCTCTACAAGTCATTCCTGTGGCCAGGTCCCACTGGAGAAGGAGGTGATTCGAGACTACGAGGTGGTCTTTGGAAAGTGTTACTCTGATTCCATTCCTGAAAGGCTGTGTGCAAGAGTCTGGACAGATGGAGGTTAGAATATATTCTGGTGAGTTGTTGAGGGCTCTTTGGGTGGTGGAATCATACCTGAGAGACCAGAGGTGGGTGTCATCAAAAGATGGCTGGGCTCTTGACCTCACTGCCTCCCTTCATGCTGGGCCTTGCAGAGGCCCTCTGGGAAAGGAAGGAACCACGAAAAAAGCAAGTCCAAGGCAGAGCAGTGTTCTCTGACCTCGAGCTGACCCCTAACGGATTCAGATGAGGTTGAGACAGTGTCTCAGAGCCCGTCTGTGATGAATGCAAGCCTAAAAAGGGTTTCCAGTAATGCTGTTGAGGGGCACTGTGGACCCAAGATGAAAGCAAAGAAAATTCAAGGCCTGCCTGAGAGAACCACCTGACTTGTGCTGGAGTCCAAGTAACATTCAAAGATTTCTGTCACAGGACCCTAAATCCTCCTGCAAATTGCAAACAGCCTCAGCTGCAACAATGAGACCATGACCCACAAGCTGGAGCTCAGCCAGCCTGCCTAAATTCCCTTTTGCTTTCAGAAATCCCTGGCAGCCAAAAGATTTGTGGTGAGTGGCACCCCCATCCAGAAACAGCCCAATGAAAGATCCCCTCCACAATAAGAAAGGACATATAGATGAAATGAAATAGAGTCTAGATTTCCAGGCAAAAGACAGAAATGCCTGCCTGTTTCTCATCCTAGAGAAACTGTGTAGCCCTCTGATAGAAGTGGGAGAACAAGAGTTTCCTTGTTGGTGGCTGCAACGGGAATTTACAGTTCTAAAAGTATCACAACTCTCCAGTCATTAAAACGTGACAGTGTTTAGAAGGAAACATTCACTCAATGAATTCCCATGAGGGTCGTCCTCCATGAACTGGGAACATTTAGTTTGGAAGAAATTGAGCCAGACCAAGGAAACCCTATGCTGAAAAGGAACACGGAAGTCAAGAAAACAAGAGGCAAGTGTGGAGGCCACATGCCACCCAGTATCTATCGATTGCCCTCCCATTATGCTTCAGATATAAAAGCCCTCAAATTGGGAGATTGTGAGGATGGCCCCAGTTTGCACTCCAAATATTCCCTGAACGTTGGAGTACTCCCACCTGAACAATGGGGATTGTGTGGACTGCTTTTGCAACTAAAGGAATTTGGCAATGCAGTTGGAAACACCTTCTGTGTCATCTGTTTTAAACTTTTTTGCAAGCTAAGGTGTGGGACCCCATACACCCCTCAGCAGATTGTATCCTCACCCCTAACTGTTCTTTTTGCTGCTCACACTCTCTGTTCCAGAAAAAAAATCCCAAAACGATGGAGGAGTTGCCCCTCATGACATGTAGAACCTGCTCTCCTGGGAACCAAATTCTAGGTAAATTCAAAGGGTCTTGTGAACAACACTGCTATTGTCTCTCCCTGGGATGGCCACAGAACAATGAAAAACATTGTGATGTCTATTCTTAGGTGTGGTTTTCTCCTGTTCTTTCCTGAAGAGTGACACTTTTGCAGGTGGAGGGGACTTGGACCCTAGCAGGTCATAGCCAGCCTCTCAATTAACTGCATTCATGATCCACAGAAAAATAAAGAACACACATACCAAGTAAAACAGCAGAGACAAGTCACCAAAATTTTTGGAGACTCAAAAAAAATGCTATAGTGCAATAGCTACATTCCTTTAAGCAGACTCCACTTACAGACACACACATGCACACACACACAAACACACAATGCCACAAACACACATGCAGATTTTGAACATTTGCAACACTCCCACAGAAACATACAGCCTGGTCTCGCCTGAAGCTGTGTGGTTCTGCAGGAAACCCCACATGGCATAGAGCAACAATGCACAACACAAGGGGGGCTGTAACTAGAAATCACAGTGGGGCAAGTTTCAAAAACACACCCCTACAATGTCTAGGCAGGCCTGAGGAATCCACTTCTGCCCTCTCCTAGGATTGTGGGACTATGCCATGGATTTCACAGAGAATAAAAGCAGAGTCCACTGCAGATGCACCCCCATGAAGGTCTCCTTTTTCCACCAAGCCTCAGGGCCTTGTTGCTAGGCAATGATAACATTCATTGTGATGCTCAAAAGAGCTCACAATCAGGTCTGGTGCCCCAAGACTAGTGCAAACACATTCATGAGTTAGGTTCACTTACCTGGCTGTCAGAGCTGTTAGCCTGCCTAACCAAGGAAAATGGTACAGGCAGAACCTGCCTGGTATCAGAAAAAAAGCAGCCTGTGAAAACCCATTGCTGGACCCAAAAAAGTCTCCATCTCTGGGCCCCTTCGTCCGTCTCTGTGATCGGGTCCCATTGGAGGAGAAGGCATTTTGAGATTGTGAGGTGGTCTCTGGAAACTGCTGTTCTGACTCCATTCCCAAAAGAGAATGTGTGTCAGAATCAGGTCCCATGGAAATTGGTTTATAGTCTGGCGTGCTGTTGAGGGGTTTTTGGGTGATAGAATCAGACTTTGTTGAGGGTTTTTTGGGTAAAAGAATCATACTTGAAACCCCAGAGGCGGCACTTGACCTGTTCTTACACCTCAGACTGGCCTCTCAAGGGCACAGATGACATTGAAACAGTGTCTCAGATGTCATCTGTGGTGATGGCAAGGGTGAACAGTATGTGCAGTAGTGCAGTTGGGGGACACTGTGGATCCCCCATGAAAGCAAAGAAAAATCTAGGCTCGCATGAGAGAACAAGCTGCCTTGTGCTGGAGTACAGGCAATGTTCAACGATTCCTGTCTGAGGACGCAAAAGCCTCCCACAAAGTGCAAAGAACCTCAGCCCCCAGAACGAGACAACAATCACAACATGGAGCCCATCCAGCATACACAAAGTCCCTTTTGCTGTCTAAAATTCCTGGCAGTTAATTAAACTGTAGAGAGAGGGAGTCCCATCCAGGAACAGCCCAAAGAAACAGCCCTCCCACAATGAGAAGGCCGTGAAGATGAAATAAAATAGAGACTAGATTACCAGGCAAAAGCTAGACATGTTTGCCTGCTTCTTATCCTTCAGAAATCGTGCAGCTTTCTGATGCAAGTGGGAGAACAAGGGTTTCTTTGTTGGTGACTGTAATACAAATTTACAGTTTTAAAAATATTAAAGCTGTGCAGTCATTAAAATGTGACAATGCTTAGAAACCAACACTCACACAATGGATTCCAGTGAGGGTCATTCTTCATGAACTGGGAAATGTTTAGTGTGGAAGTTGTTGAGCCAGACCCAGGAAACCCTAGGCCAATGAGGCGCATGGAAGAAAGGAAAAGAAGAGGCAAGTGTGAAGGCCACATGCCACCCAGCATCAATACATTGCACTCCCATTTGCCTCCGTGTATGAAAGACCTCAAATCCAGAGTTTGCCAGGATGGTCCCAACTGGCACTTCCAATATTCCTTGCACATTGCAGAACTCCCACCTGAACATTGGGGCCATGGTGTGGACTGTTTGTGCAATTAATTAAATGTGAGTACAGACGTAGAATCACCTCCTGCATCAATTGTCTTCATTTTTATTGCATGGGAAGTTGTGGGACCCCTTCCACCCCTCATCTAATTGTATCCTCACTCCAGTCTCACCTTATTCCTTCTCACACTCAATGTCCCAGAATGAAAACCTAAGACAATGGAGAAGGGACCCTTCATGATTTGAAGCACCTGCATGGCTGGAAACTGAATTTGTGGTAAATTCAAGGGCACCTGCAGACAGGACTTTAATTGCCTCTCCCTGGGTTGGAAGCAGGGCAATGAAATGTGGCAGATGTCAATTTTTCCACTTTTTGTGGTGTGGTGTGTCCTTCTTCTTTCTAGAAAAGTGGACTTTTTTTTCAGGAGGAGGTGATTTGGATGCCAGTGGATCCTTGCCCGCCTCCCAATTCACTGCGGATTCACGATACACAGAAAATTTAAAAACATGGAGCCCCGCAAGCCAAGCAGAGCCACACATAAAGGCCAAACAGAAGGTTTGGAGACACAGAAAAAGAAGCAGTGAAGTGTGATAGCCACATTTCTTTAAGCAGACTGCACATACAAGCACAAACACAGAGACACACAATCACACAATGCCACACACATACACAGACTTTCAACACTCACAACACTCCCACAGAAACACACAGTCTGGCAGCCTCTGAGGTTGTGTGGTTCTGCAGGAAGCCACACCTGGCATAGAGCAACCCTGGGGAACACAGGCGAGCTGTAACTAGAAATCACATGGGGGCAAGTTTCAAAAAAACTCACACCTACATCTAGGCAGGCCTGAGGTAAACAGCAGATCCTTTTGGATTCCTAAAGATTTTGCAGTTTATTCCTGGGACTATGCTTTCATTTCCTCACACTGTCTCTCATCTGAAATCTCCTAGGATCATGGGACTATCCCGCGGATTCTGCAGAGAAGACAGGTGACAGTTCACCATGGACAAACCTCTACGGAGGTCTCCTTCTCTGACAGGAGGCAGGGACTTGTGGCTAGGCAGTGGTGATATTTTTGGGATGCTAGCCAGAGCTCACAGTCTGACCTGGAGAATAGTGCATGTGCATTCATGAAGCAGGCTCGGGCACCCAGCTCTTACAGCTGTCAGTCTGACTAGCAGAGAAAAATGGTAGAGGCAGAGCTGGCATACTATCAGAAAAAATGCTGCCTGTGAAAACCCACTGTGGGTCCCCAAAAGTCTCAACCTCAGGGCCCCTTCAGGCAGCCTCTGTGGTCGGGTCCCACTGGAGGAGGATGCATTTCAAGACTGTGAGGTTGTCACTGGAATCCACTCTTCCAGCTTCATTCCCATAGGAGGCTGTGTGCCAGAATCGAATACGATGGGGTGTCAGTGAAAGATGGCCAGGCTTTTGACCTCACTGTCTCCCTTCATCCTGGGCCTTGCAGGGATTCTTTGAGAAAGGAAGGAACCATGAAAAAGCCAAGTCCAATGTGAAACAGTACTTTGGACTGGCCTCTCATGGGTGCAGATAAAATTGAGACCATGTCTCAGAGGTTGTCTGTGGCAATGGCAAGCCTGAGAAGAGTGTCCAGTGGTGCTATTGAGGGGCACTGTGGATTCAACATGAAAACAAAGAAAAATCAATGCTCACCAGAGAGAATGGGCTGCCTTGTGATGGAGCCCAGAAATTTTCAATATTTCCTGTCAGAGGACCCAAAACCCTGCTGCAAAGTGCTAACAACCTCAGTCACCACAATGAGAAAATGACCCAAAACCTATAGTGCAGCCAGCCTACCCAAAGACCTTTTTGCTTTATGAAATCCCTGGCAGCTAAATAATTTGTGGTGAAAAGCAGTCCAATCCAGCAGCAGCCCAATAAAAAATCACTTCCACAATCAGAAGGTGGTGCAGATGAGATGAAACAAATGCTGGATTACTGGGCAAAAGCCAGACATGGCTGCCTGATTTTCATTCTTCAGGAATCATGCAGCCCTCCAATAGAAGAGGGAGAACAGGAGTTTTCTTGCTGGCAGCTGTAATGGGAATTTATTGTTTTAAAAGTATCTAAGATGCCCAGTCATTAAAACATGACTGTTTAGAAGGAAACACTCATGCAATGGATTCCCATGAGGGTGATTCTCTGTGAACTGGGAAATGTTTAGTGTGGAAGTCATCGAGCCAGTCACAGTAAACCCTCAGCCAATGATGGACATGGAAGTCAGGAAAAGAAGAGGCAAGTTTAGGGGTCACATTGCACACAGCATTAATGCATTCCACCCCCATTTGGCTGAGATATGAAAGCTCTCATGTGAGAAGTTTGCCAGAATGGCCCCAATTTGTATACCAAGTGTCCCTTGAAGGTTGAAGTAATTCCACCTGAAACCAGGACATGGTGTGGACAATTCCTTTGCAGGTGAAATTGTGGGACTCTATCCACCCCTCAGTAGATTATATACTCACCTCTATCTGACCTTATTGCTGCTCACATTCTATTTCACAGGATGAAATCCCAAGACAATAGAAGTGTGTCCCTTCATGATGTGAAGCATCTGATTGAATTCGAGGTAAATTCAAGGGGCCTTGAAGACAGGATGACTAGTGTCTCTCCCTGATTTGGCCACAGGATGAGAAAACACTGGGATATGTTTGTTTGTGTGTGTGTGTGGTGTGCTCCTCTTCTTTCTAGAGAGGGCCTTTTTTTATTTCAAGGGGAGGTAATTTGGATGCCGGGGGGTCTCAGGCCACCTCCCAGTTCACCATGGATTCATGATCAACAGAAAAATAGAGAACATGGAGCCCTGCAGCTCCAGCAGAGCCACACAAGCCAACAAAAGATAGGAGTCTCAAAAAAAAAAGAAATGCTGGAGTGTGTTAGCCCCATTCCTTTAAGCTGACTCCACTTACAGGCAAACACACACAGACACAAACACACATGCAGACATCCAACACTTGCAACACTCCTACAGAAACACACAGCCCAGCAGCTCTAGAGGCTGTGTGGTTCTTCATGAAACCCCACCTGGGAGACATCAATCCTGGGGAACAACTGGGGGCTGTATCTAGAAATCACAGTGGGGCAGTTTCTGGAAGACTAATTTCTACAATATCTTGGTGGAACTGAGAAATCCTGCAAATACTTTTGGATCTTTGGGGATTTCACAGTTTATTCCTTGGGCTATGCTTGAATTTTTTCAGGCTGGCTCATGCCTGCCCTCTCCTAGGATCATGTGTCTATCCCATGGATCCCACAGAGAAAACAAGCAAGAGTACAACACCACTGCACCTTCACAGAGGCCTGTTTCTCAGCTAAGTAGCAGGGACTTGTCACTAGGCCACGGTGACATTTAATGTGATGCTAGCCAAAGCTCACAATCAGGCCTGGTGCCCTGAGACAAGCATGTGCATATTCGTGATGTCAGCGTAGGAACTTGTCTGTCAGAGCTGTCAGCCTGCCTTAGCAGAAAAAAATGGTACAGGCAGAGCCAGGTTGGTATCATGAAAAAGGCTGCTGGCAAAAATCCACTGTGGGATATTAAGAGTCTCAACCTCAGGAATGCTTTGGGCCATCTCCGTTGTCAGGTTTCTCTGGAGAAGGAGGTGTTTCATGACTGTGAGTGAGTCTCTGGAAACTGCCCTTCTGACTCCATTCTGAAAAGAGGCTGTGTAAGAATCAGGTCGCTTGGGGATTGGAATATAGTCTGGTATGTTGTTGAGGGTTATTTTGGTGATAGGAACTTACCTGAGAACCCAGAAGTGGGTGTCAGTGAAAGATGGCTGGGCTCTTGACCTCACTGTCTCCCTTCATCCTGGTCCTTGCAGGGCCTCTCTGCAAAAGGCAGGAACCACGACAAAGGATAGTCCACAGTAAAGCAGTGTGCTGACACCTGGGGCTCACAACTCACAGGTGCAGATGAGGTTGAGACAGTGTCTAAGAGGCTGTTTGTGGTGATGGTAAGCCTGAAAATGGTGTCCAGTACTACTGTTGAGGGGCAATGTGGATTCCCCATGAAAGCAAAGAAAAATCAATGCTCACCTGAAAGAATGAGCTACCTTGTGATGGAGTCCAAGCAATGTTCAATGACTCATATCAGAGGGCTCAAAAGCCTCTGACAAAGTGCAAACAATCTCAGTCCCCACAACAGGACAATGACACACAACCTGGACTCAGCCAGCCTACCTGAGGTCACTTTGGTTCTCAGAAATCTTTGGCAACCAAATAATCTGTGGCAAGAGGCCGTTCCATCCAGCAACAGCCCAATGAAAGAGCCCCTCCGCAATGAGACTGCAGTGCAGAAGAAATAAAACAGAGGCTAGATTACCAGACAAAAGCCAGAAATGGCTGCCTGCTTCTCATCCTACAGGAATCCTGTAACCCTCTGGTAGAAGTGGGAGAAACAAGAGTTTCCTTATTGGTGGCAGTAATGGGAATTTATGGTTTTAAAAGTATCAAAGCTCCCCAGTCATTACAACCTGATAGTGTTTAGAAGGAAACATTCATGCAATGAATTCTCATGGGGGTTGTTCTTCATGAACTGGGAAATGTTTAGTGTGGAAGTCGTTGAGCCAGACCCAGGAAACCATATGCTCATGAGAAACATGAAAGTCAGGAAAAGAAGAGGCAAGTCTGGAGGCCACATCCCACCCAGCATCAATCCATTCCACCTCCATTTGACTCCAGGTAAGAAAGCCCTCAAATCTGGAGTTTGCCAGGACGGCCTCAATTTGCACTCCAAATGGTCTTTTACTGTGGAGTACTCCCAACTGAACAGTGGGCCATGGTGTGGAATGCTGGTGCTTAAAGTAATGTGGAAATGGAGTTGAAAGCTCCTTGTTTGTCATCAGTATTCATATTTTTTTACAGGTGGGGTTGCAGAACCCCATCCAACCCTTACTAGATTGTATCCACACCCCTATCTGACTTTATTTCTGCTTACACTCTATTTCTCAGGATGAAATCCCAAGATGATGGAGGCTTTCCCCCTTATGACATGAAGCACCTGCTTGGCTGACAACTGAATTCGAGGTTAATTCAAGGGGCCCTGTGGACAGGACTGACAGTGTCTCTCCTTGGGTTTGCCTCAAGATAATGAAAAACTAGGAGTTGTCTGTTTTTGGTGTGGTTTGCTCCTCTTCTTTCTAGAAGAGTGGCTTTTTTCACAGGGGTGGTGATTTGGATGCCGGGGTATCTCAGCTGCCATTGAATTCACTGTGGATTCATGATCCACAGGAAAATGAAGAACATGGAGCCCCAAACCCCAAGCAGAGCCACATAGACTGGCCACAAAAAGGTTGGAAAACTAAAAAAAAAGAAGCACTGATGTGTGTTAGCCATATTCCTTTAAGCAGACTGCACTTAAAAGCACACACACACAGACACACACCAACAAGCACACAATGCCACACACACATGCAGACATCCAACACTTGCAACAGTCCCACAGAAACACACAGCCTGGCAGCTCCTGATGCTCAGTGGTTCTGTAGGAAGCCCCACCTTGGAGTGAGCAACCTCGGAGAACAGAAGAAGGATGTACCTAAAAATCACCTAGGGGCACTTTTCAAAAATTCTCACCCCTACAGCATTTAGGCAGGCCTAATGAATCCTGCATATCATTTTGGATTATTAAGGATTTTGCAGTTTATTTCTGGGGCTCTGCTTGAGGTTTCTTCAGGCTGAATCATGTCTGCCCTTTCCTACATTCATGGGACTATTACATGTTGCTGGCAATGGTGACGTTCATTATGGTGCTAGCCAAAGCTCACTTTCAGGCCTGGTGCTCTGAGAGTGGTGCTTGCTTGTTCATGAGACAGGTTGGGCACCAGGCTGTCAGAGCTGTCAGCCTGCCTAAGCAGAGGAAAAGGTTACAGGCAGAGATGGCCTATTGTCAGGAAAAAGGCTGCATATGAAAACCCTCTGCAGGACTGTTAATGTCTTGACCCCAGGGCCTCTTCCAGCTGTATCAGTGGTTTGGTCCTGCTGGAGGAGGAGGCAATTTGAGATTGTGATGGGGTCTTTGGAAACTGCTCTCTGACTCAATTTTCAAAAGAGGCTGTGTGGAAGAATCAGATAGCTATGGGGACTGGAAGATAGTCTGCAGATGAAGGGAAACAGAGCCTAGATTACAAGGCAAAAGCCAGACATGGCTGCCTGGTTCTCCTCCTTCACGAACCCTGCAGCCCTCTGATAACGGTGGGAGAACAAAAGTTTCCCTGTTGCTGGTTGTAATAGTAGTTTATGATTTTAAAAGTATCACAGAAACTCAGTCATTAAATCGTGACAGTGTTTACAAGTAAATACTCACACAATGCATTTTTATGATGGTCTTCTGTGAACAGGGAAGAGTTTAGTGTGGAAGATGTTGAGCCAGATCCAGGAAGCCCTACACCAATGAGGACAATGGAAGTCAGTAAAAGAGGACACAAATGTGGAGGCCACAACCCACCCAGCATCAATCTATTCCACTTCCATTTGACTACAGGTATTAAAACCCTCAAACCAGGAGTTTTCCAGATTGGCCACAATTTGCACTCCAAATTTTTCCTGCAGGTTGGAGTACTCCCACCTAAACACCAGGCCATGTTGTTGACTGATTTTGCAATTATGGGAATGTGGGGATGGAGTTGGAAGCACATTCTGTGTCATCTATTTTCACCCTTTTTGCTGGTGAAGGTACGGGACCCCATCCACCCTTCACCAGGTTGTATACTCACCCCTATCTGACCTTATTGCTGTCACACTCTCTGTACCAGCATGAAATCTCAAGATGATGGAGGATTGCACCCTCAGGACATGAAGCACCTACTTGGCTGGGAACTGAATTCTAGGTAAATTAAAGGGGCTATGCAGACCAGAGTGCTAGTGTCTGTGGGTTGGCTGCTTTATAATGCAACACTGGGAGATGTCTGTTCTTGGGTGTGGTGCTCTCCTCTTCTTTGTAGAAGAGTACCTGTTTTTTTGGCAGGGGCAGACGATGGGGAACCCGGCTGGTCACAGACAGCTTAACTAGTCATTGCTGATTCCTGATCCACAGAATTCATTTACATACACACACACAGACACATACACAAACACACAAAGCCACACACACATGCTGACATCCAACACTCGCAACACTCCCACAGTAACACACAGCCCAGTAGCTTCTGAGGCTGTGTCATTCTGCAGAAAGCCCCACCTGGGAGAGAGAAACTGCTGGGAACACAGGAAGGCTGAAGTTGGAAATTACAGTGGGACACATTTCAATAAGACTAACCCCTACAATGTCTAGGCAGGCCTGACAAATTCTGCAGATCCTTTTGGATCTGTAGTGATTTTGTGCTTCATTCCTGGGGCTCTGCTTGACATTTCTTCAGGCTGGCTCACATCTACCCTCTCCTAGGATCATGGAACTGTCCCATGGATCCCACAGAGAAGACAGGTGACAGTGCACCACCATTGTACCTCCACAGAGGTCTCCTTCTCTACCAAGCCAAAGGGAATTGTTACTAGCAAAGCTGGCATTCATTGTGACACTAGCTACAGCTCACAGCTCAGGTCCATTGCCCTAAGACTAGCACATCCACATATAGTGACTCAAACTGGAGCACCAGGGTGTCAGGGCTGTCAGCCTGCCTAAGCAGAGGAAAATGGTACAGGCAGAGCTGGCTTGGTATCAGGATAAAGGCTGCCTGTGATAACGCATTGCAGTACCCTAAAAGTCTCAAACTTAGGGCCCTTATATGCCATCTCCATGGTCAGATCACATGGGAGGCAGAGCCGTTTCAAGACTGTGAGGTTGTCTCTGGAAACTACTCTTCTGACTCCATTCCTGAAAGGGGTTTTGTGAAAGAATCATGCCCCATGAGGATTGAAATATATTCTGGTGAGATGTTGAGCAGTCTTTGGATGATGGACTTATACCTGAAATACCAGAAAAGGGTGTCAGCAAAAGATGGCCTGGCACTTGACCTCTCTGCACTCATTCATCCTGGGTTGGGTAGGTGCTATCTGGGAAAAGCAGGAACCAAGACAAAGGCAAGTCCAAATTGAAACAGTGTTCTCATACCTCAAACTGGCCTCTCACAGGTGCAGATGTGGTTCAAACAGTGTCTCAGAGGCCATCTGTGGTGATGGCAAGCCTGAAAAGTGTATCCAGTAGTGTGGTTGAGTGGCAATGTGAATCCCCCATGAAAGCCAAGAAACATCAAGCATCATCTGAAAGAACGAGCTGACTTGTGCTAGAGTCCAAGCAATGTACCAATATTCCTGTCACAGAAATAAAAAGCCTCTTTCAAAATGCAAACAACCTCAGACCCCACAACAAGACAATGACCTAAAACCCGATGTGCAGCCAGTCTACTCTATAACCATTTTGCTTCCTGAAATCCCTGGCAGCCAAAATATCTGTGGCAAGAGGCATACCCATCCATTAACAGCCCAATGAAAGAACCCATTCACAATGAGAAGGAGGAGCAGATGAAATGAAGCAGAGGCTAGATTACCAGGCAAAATCTAGACACAGCTACATGCTTCTCATAATACAAGAATCATGCAGCCCTCTGAGAGCAGAGGGAAAAGAAGAGTTTCATTGTTGGTGGCTGTAATGGGAATTTAGTTTTAAAAGCATCAAAGCTGCCCAGTTATTAAAACGTGACAGTGTTTAGAAGAAAACACTCACTCAGTGGATTCCCATGAGGGATGTTCTCCATGAACTCAGAAATGTTTAGTGTAACAGTTGTTCAGCCAAACCCAGGAAACCCCAGGCCAATGAGGAACATGCAAGTGAGGAAAAGAAGAGGCAAGTTTGGAGGCCACATCCCACCCAACATCAATTCATTCCACTCCCATTTGGCTCCGGGTTTGAAAGCCTTCAAATCAGAAGTTTGACAGGATGGGCCGGATTTGCACTCCAAATGTTCCTTTCACATTGCAGTGCTCCAACTTGAACCCACATTATGGTGTGGACTACTTGTGTAATTAAGGGAATGTGGGGGTTGAGTTGGAAGCACCTTCTGTGTCATCTGTCTTCATGTTTTTTTTGCAGGTGAAGTTGTGGGGCTTCATCCAACCTTCACCAGATTGTATCCTCACTCCTACCTGACCCTATTCCTGCTCACCCTGTATGTCCCAGGATAAATGCCCAGACGATGGAGGAGTGCCGTCTCATGACCAGAAGAACCTGCTTGGCAGTGAACTGAATTCTTGGTAAATTCAAGGGGCCATGAGGACAGGACTGACAGTGTCTCTTTCTTGGTTGGCCACAGGACAATGAAACACTGGCAGATGCCTGTTTTTTTTTTCTTTTTTTTTTTTTTTGTTTTGTTTTGTTTTGGTGTGGTGTGCTCCTCTTCATTCTAGAAGAGTGGCTTTTTTTGCTGTGGTAGGTGACTTGGATGCTGGTAGGTCTCAGCCCGGCCCCCAATTCACTGTGGATTCATGAGCCACAGGAAAATAAAGAACATGGAGCCCTGCGGCCCAAGCAGAGCCACACAGACAGGCCACCAAATTTGTGAGACTCAATTAAAAAAAGAAGCACCAAAGTGTGGTAGCCACATTCCTTAAGCAGACTCCACTTACAGGCACACACAAACACACACACACAAAAAACAAAGCCACACACCCATGCCAACATCCAACTCTCACAACACTCTTTCAGAAACAGTTTGTCAGCTCCTGTGGCTGTGTGGTTTTGCAAGAAGCTAATGTGGCATAGAGCAACCCCAGGCAATACAGGTGGCCTGCTCCTAGAAATCACAGTACTGCAAGTTTCAAAAAGACTCACACCTACAAAGTCTAGGCAGGCCTAAGGAATCCTTCCGATTTTTTTGGATCCTTAGGGATTTTGAGGTTTATTCCTAGTGCTGTGGTCGATGTTTCTTCAGGCTGGCTCTCATTTGCCCTCTCCTAGGCTCATGGGACTATCCTGTGGTTTCCACAGAGAAGACAGGCAAGAGTTCACCAACCACGCAGCTCCACGTAGGCCTTTTTCTCTGCAAAGATGAAGGGACTTGTTGCTAGGCAACAATGACATTCATTGGGATGCTCACTAAAGCTCAATATCAGTCCTGGTGCCCTGAGACTTGTGCATGCACATTCGTGAGGCAGGCCCAGGTGCCTGGCCATCAGACCTGTCAGTCTGCCCAAGCAGAGGAAAATAATACAGGCAGAGCCAGACTGGTATTGGGAAAAATGCTGCCTGTGAAAACCCACTGCAGGATCCTAAAACTCTCAACCTAAGGCCGCCCCTTTCTGGCCACCTCTCTGGTCAGGTCCTACTGGAGGGAGAGGCATTTCCAGACTGTGAGGTGGTCACTGGAAACTGCTCTTCTGAATCCATTCCCAAAAGAGGCTGTGTGCCAGAAATGGGTCCCATGGTGATTGGAAAATTGTCTGGTGTGTCGTTGAGGGTTCTTTAAGTGATAGAATCATACCTGAGACCCCAGGTGTGAATGTCAAAGAAAGACAGCCTGGCTCTTGACCTCATTGCCTCCCTTTATTTTGGGCCTTGCAGGGGCCCTCTGGGAAAAGCAGGAACAACAACAAAGGCAAGTCCAAGGTAGAGCAGTGTTCTCATAGCTCATACTGGCCTCTCACAGGTGCTGATGAGATTCAGTGTCTCAGAGGACATCTGCAGTGATGGCGAGTCTAAAAAGGGTGTCCATTAGTGCTGTTGAGGGGCACTGTTGAATCCCAGTGAAAGCAAAAAAAAAATAAAAAATAAAAATATGAAGGCTTGCCTGAGAGAACAAGCTGCTTTGTGCAGGAGTTCAAGCTTTGTTGAATAATTCCTGTCAGAGGACCCAAAATCCTCCTGGAAAATGCAAACAACCTCAGCTCCCACTATGAGACAAGCATCACAACCTGGAGTGCAGCCAGCCTAACCAAAGTCCCTTTTGCTCTCTGAAATCCCTGGCAGCCAAACAGAGGCTAGATTACAAGACCAAGGCAGACACGGCTGTCAGCTTCTCACTTTTCAGGTATCATGCATCTCTCTGATAGTAGTGGGTGAACACGAGTTTCCTTATGGCAGCTGTAACAGGAATTTATCGTTTTAACAAATTCAAAGCCATGCAGTCATTAACACATGACAGCGTTTAGAAAGAAAAATTAATGCAATGGATTTTCATAAGTCCCATTCTCCATGAATTCTGAAATGTTTAATGTGGAAGTCGTTGAGCCAGACCCAGGAAACCCTAGGCCTATAAGGAACATGGAAGTCAGGAAAAGAAGAGGCCATTGTGGAAGCCACATCCCAGACATCATCAATCTATTCTACTCACATTTGACTCTGGGTATAAAAGGCCTCAAATCCAGAGTTTGCCAAGATGGCCCCAATTTGCAGTCCAAATGTTTTTTGCACATTAGAGTACTCCCACCTGAACACTGGGCCAAGGTGCAGACAGATTGTGCAATTAAGAAAATGAGGGGATGGAGTTTGAAGAACTATCTTTGTTACCTGTCTTCATTATTTTTTTTTTTTGCAGATGAAGTTGCAGAACCCCATCCACTCCTCACCAGATTTTATCCTCACCCCTATCTGAACTTTTCCCTGTTCACATTCTAGGTCCAAGGATGATATCCCAAGATGATAGAGGAGTTCCCCATCATGACATGAAGCACATGCTCAGCTGGGAGCCAAATTCTATGTAAATTCAAGGGGTCCTGCATACAGGACTGCTAGTGTTTCTTTCTGGGTTGGCCACAGAACACTGAAACACTGGGAGATGTCTGTTTTTTGGTGTGGTGTGCTTCTCTTCTTTCTAGAAGTGTGTTGTTTTTTTGTGTGTGTGTGTTTTTTTGTTTGTTTGTTTTTGCAGGGGGAGGTGATTTGGACATTGGCGGGTCCCAGCCCACATCCTAATTTACTGCAGATTCATGATCCACAGAAAAAAAATAACACAAAGCCTCGCAGCCGAAGCAGAGCCACAGAGACAGGCCAACAAAAGGTTGGGAGATCCAAAAAAATGAAGCTCTGGAGTGTGTTTGCCACATTCCTTTAAGTAGACTCAACTTACAGGCACACATAGACACACACAAACACACTCATACACAAATACACAATACCAAACACACACAGACATCCAACACTTGCAACACTCCTGAAGAAACACAGCACTTGGTAGCTTCTGAGGCTGCATGGTTTTGCTGGAATCCCCATTTGGGTGAAAGCAACCCGGGGGAACATGTGGGCTGTAACTAGAAATCATAGTGAAACAAGTTTCAAGAAAACTCACCCTTACATCATCTAGGCAGGCCTGAGGAATCTTGCGATCTTTTGGATCCTTAGGGGTTTTGCCGTTTATTCCTGGGGCTCTGTTTGATGTTTCTTTCAGCTGGCTCATGTCTGCCCTCTTGTAGGATCATGAGACTGTCCCAAGTATCCCACAGAGAAGACAGGCAAGAGTCCACAGCTGACATGCCTACAGCGAGGTCTCCTTCTCCCTCAAGAGGCAGGAACTTGTCTCTAGGCAATGCTGACATTCATTGTGATGCTAGCCAGAGTTCACAATGAGAACTGGTACCCTGAGACTAGTGCATATGCATTCCCGGGGCAGGTACAAGTGCATGGCTGTCAGAGCTGTCAGCCTGCCTAAGCAGAGAAAAAATGGTACAGGTAAAACCGGTCTGGTGTTGTGAAAATGTTGCCTGCTAGAAGCCATGGTCAGACTCTACAGTCTCGACCTCAGGGCCCCTTCAGGCCATCTGCATGGTTGAGACCGGCTGGAGGAGGAGGCATTTTGAGACTGTGAGGTGGTGGCTGGAAACTGCTCTTCCTACTCCATTCCCAAAGGATGCTTTTTGCAAGAATCGGGTCTCATGGGAATTGGAATTTGGTCTGGTGTGTTGCTGAGGGTTCTTTGGGTGAGAGAATTATACGTGAGACCCCAGAGATGGGTGCCAATGAAAGATGGCTGGGCTATTTACCTCACTGTCTCTCTTCAGCCTGGGCCTTGATGGGGCCCTCTGCAAAAGGCAAAAACCATGACAAAGAGAAGTCCAACATGGGTCAGTGTTCTCACTTCGGTCTGGTCTCTCACGGGTGCAGATGAGGTTGAGACAATGTATCAGATGCCCTCTGTGGTGATAGCAAGCCTGAAACTGACCAGCAGTGCATTTGTAGGGTACTGTGGATTCTCTATGAAAGAAAAGAAACATCAAAGCTCACCTCAGAGAATGACCTGTTTTGTGCTGGAGTCCAAGCAATGTTCAATGTTTCCAGGCAGAGTACCCAAAAGCCTCCTGAAAAGTGCAAACAACCTCAGTACTCACAATGAGACCAAAAACCACAACCCGGAGGGAGTCAGCCTACCTGAAGTTCTTTTCATCCTTGAAATCCCTGGCAGCCAATAGATCTGTGGTGAGAGGCAGTCCCATCCAGCAACAGCCCAGTGAAAGACCTTGTATACAAAGAGAAAGGACTTGCATATGCAATGAAACAGAGGCTAGATTTCCAGGCAAAAGCCCAACATAGTTGCCTGCTTTTTATGCTACAGGAATCATGCATCCCTCCAGTAAAAGTGAGAGAATAAGAATTTCTTTGTTGGTGGCTGTAATGAAAATTTACAGTGTTAAAATCATCACATCTGCCCAGCCTTTAAAACGTGACAGTGTTTAGAAGAAAACACTCATGCATTGGATTCCCATGAAGGTCGTCCTCCATGAACTGTGAATTGCTTAGTGTGGAAAGTGTGAAGCCAGACCCAGGAAATCCTAGGCCATGAGGAACATGGAAGTCAGGAAAAGAAGAGACAAGTGTGCAGGGCACATCCCACCTACCATCAATACATCCCACTCTCATTTGGCTCAGGGTATGAGAGCTCTCAAATTGGGAGTTTGTTAGAATGCCCTCAACTTGCACTCCAAATGTTCCCTGAACATTGTATTACTCCCACCTGAACACCGGGCCATAATGTGAACTGCTTCTGCAATTAAAGGAATGTGGGGATGCAATAGGAAGCAGCTTCTGCGTCATCAGTCTTCACGTTTTTTTTGCGGGAGAAAGTGCGGGAGTCTATTTACGCCTCACCAGATTGTATCCTCACCCATATTTTACCTTCTTTCTGCTCATACTCTCTGTCCTAGAATGAAATCACAAGTTGATGGAGGAGTGCCACATGACGACATGAAGCCTCTGCTTGTCTGGGAACCAAATTCAAAGTAAATTCAAAGGGCCCTTCAGATAGTTCTGCTAGTTTCTCTCCCTGGGTCTGCCGCAGGACAATGAAACACAGAGATATTTGCTTTGGAGTGTGATGCGCTGTCTCCTAATTCACTGAGAATTCATACTCCACGGAAAAATAACGGAGATGGAGCCCTGCAACCCAAGCAGAGCTACACCAACAGGCCACCAAAAGGTTTGGAGATTCAAAAAGAGGAAGTGTTGCCGTGCGTTATCCACATTCCATTAAGCAGACTCCACTTACAGCCACACACAAACACATAAACACACACACACACACACACAAACACACAAAGCCACGCAGATATGCAGACATCCAACACTTTCAACATTTCCACAGAAACACACAGCACGGCAGCTTCTGAGTTTGCGTGCTTCTGCAGGAAGCCCTAACTGAAAGAGAGGAACTTTGGGGAACACAGGTGGGCTGTACCTAGAAATCACAGTGGGGTAAGTTTCTTTTTTTTATTGTACTTTAAGTTTAAGGTACATGTGCACAATGTGCAGGTTTGTTACATATGTATACATGTGCCATATTGGTGTGCTGCACCCATTAATTCATCATTTACCATTAGGTATATCTCCTAATGCTATCCCTCCCGCCTCTCCCCACCCCACAATTCCCAGTATGTGATGTTACCCTTCCTGTGTCCACGTGTTCTCATTGTTCAATTCCCACCTATGAGTGAGAAAATGCGGTGTTTGGTTTTTTGTCCTTGTGATAGTTTGCTGAGAATGATGGTTTCCAGCTTCATCCATGTCCCTACAAAGGACATGAACTCATCATTTTTTATGGCTGCATAGTATTCCGTGGTGTAAATATGCCACATTTTCTTAATCCAGTCTATCATTGTTGGATATTTGGTTTGGTTCCAAGTCTTTGGTATTGTGAATAGTGCCGCAGTAAACAAACGTGTGCATGTGTCTTTATAGCAGCATGATTTACAATCCTTTGGGTATATACACAGTAAAGGGATGGCTGGGTCAAATGGTATTTCTAGATCTAGATCCCTGAGGAATCGCCACACTGACTTCCACAATGGTTGAACTGTTTACAGTCCCACCAACAGTGTAAAAGTGTTCCTATTTCTCCACATCCTCTCCAGCACCTGTTGTTTCCTGACTTTTTAATGATCCCCATTCTAAATGGTGTGAGATGGTATCTCATTGTGGTTTTGATTTGCATTTCTCGGATGGCCAGTGATGGTGAGTATTTTTTCATGTGTTTTTTGGCTGCATAAATGTGTTCTTTTGAGAAGTGTCTGTTCATATCCTTTGCCCACTGGTTGATGGTGTTGTTTGTTTTTTTTCTTGTAAATTTGTTTCAGTTCATTGTAGATTCTGGATATTAGCCCTTTGTCAGATGAGTAGGTTGCAAAAATTTTCTCCCATTCTGTAGGTTGCCTGTTCATGCTTATGGCAGTTTATTTTGCTGTGCAGAAGCTCTTTAGTTTAATTAGATCCCATTTGTCAATTTTGGCTTTTGTTGCCATTGCTTTTGGTGTTTTAGACATGAAGTCCTTGCCCATGCCAATGTCCTGAATGGTATTTCCTAGGTTTTCTTCTAGAGCTTTTATGGTTTTCATCTAATGTGTAAGTCTTTAATCCATCTTGAATTAATTTTTGTATAAGGTGTAAGGAAGGGATTCAGTTTCAGCTTTCTACATATGGCTAGCCAGTTTTCCCAGCACCATTTGTTAAATAGGGAATCCTTTCCCCATTTCTTGTTTTTGTCAGGTTTGTCAAAGGTCAGATAGTTGTAGATATGCGGCATTATTTCTGAGGGCGCTGTTCTGTTCCATTGGTCTATACCTCTGTTTTGGTACCAGTACCATGCTGTTTTGGTGACTGTAGCCTTGTAGTATAGTTTGAAGTCAGGTAGCGTGATGCCTCCAGCTTTGTTCTTTTGGCTTAGGATTGACTTGACTATGCAGGCTCTTTTTTGGTTCCATATGAACTTTAAAGTATTTTTTTTTCCAATTCTGTGAAGAAAGTCATTGGTAGCTTGATGGGGATGGCATTGAATCTATAAATTACCTTGGGCAGTATGGCCATTTTCATGATATTGATTCTTCCTACCCATGAGCATGGAATGTTCTTCCATTTGTTGGTATCCTCTTTAATTTCATTGAGCAATGGTTTGTAGTTCTCCTTGAGGACATCCTTCACATCCATTGTAAGTTGGATTCCTAGGTATTTTATTTTCTTTGAAGCAATTGTGAATGGGAGTTCACTCATGATTTGGCTGTTTGTCTGTTATTGGTGTATAAGAATGTTTGTGATTTTTGCAAGTTGATTTTGTATCCTGAGACTTTGCTGAAGTTGCTTATCCACTTAAGGAGATTTTGGGCTGACATTATAGGGTTCTCTAGATATACAATCATGTCATCTGCAAACAGGGACAATTTGACTTCCTCTTTTCCTAATTGAATGCCCTTTATTTCCTTCTCCTTCCTGATTGCCCTGGCCAGAATTTCCAACACTGTGTTGAATAGGAGTGGTGAGAGATGGCATCCCTGTCTTGTGCCAGTTTTCAAAGGGAATACTTCCAGTTTTTGTGCATTCAGTATGATATTGGCTGTGGGTTTGTCATAGATAGCTCTTATTATTTTGAGATATGTCCCATCGATACCTAATTTATTGAGAGTTTTTAGCATGAAGGGTTGTTGAATTTTGTCAAAGGGCTTTTCTGCATCTATTGAGATAACCATGTGGTTTTTGTCTTTGGTTCTGTTTATATGCTGGATTACATTTATTGATTTTCATATGTTGAACCAGCCTTGCATCCCAGGGATGAAGCCCACTTGATCATGGTGGATAAGCTTTTTCATGTGTTGCAGGATTCGGTTTGCCAGTATTTTATTGAGGATTTTTGCATCAATGTTCATCAAGGATATTGGTCTAAAATTCTCTTTTTTGTTGTGTCTCTGCCAGGCTTTGGTATCAGTATGATGCTGGCCTCATAAAATGAGTTAGGCATGATTCCCTCTTCTTCTATTGATTGGAATAGTTTCAGAAGGAATGGTATCAGTTCCTCCTTGTACCTCTGGTAGAATTTGGCTGTGAATCCATCTGGTCCTGGACTTTTTTTGGTTGGTAAGCTATTAATTATTACCTCAATTTCAGAGCCTGTTATTGATCTATTCGGAGATTCAACTTCTTCCTGGTTTAGTCTTGGGAGAGTATATGTGTTGAGGAATTTATCCATTTCTTCTAGATTTTCTAGTTTATTTTTGTAGAGGTGTTCATAGTATTCTCTGATGGTAGTTTGTATTTCTGTGGAATCAGTGGTGATATCCCCTTTATCATTTTTTATTGCATCTATTTGATTCTTCTCTCTTTTCTTCTTTATTAGTCTTGCTAGCAGTCTATCAATTTTGTTGACCTTTTCAAAAAACCAGCTCCTGGATTCAAAGCAGTGTGTAGAGGGAAATTTATAGCACTAAATGCCCACAAGAGAAAGCAGGAAAGATCTACAATTGACACCCTAACATCACAATTAAACGAACTACAGAAGCAAGAGCAAACACATTCAGAAGCTAGTAGAAGGCAAGAAATAACTAAGATCAGAGCAGAACTGAAGGAAATAGACACACAAAAAACCCTTCAAAAAACAGTGGGGTATAGGCTTCAAAAGGCTCACCCCTACAACATCTAGGCATGCCTGAGTCATCCTGCAGATCCTTTTAGATCCTTATGGATTTCATGGTTTATTGCTGAAGCTCTGCTTGATGTTTCTTCAGGCTTGTTCACATCTGCCCTCTTCTAGGATCATGGGACTATCTCGAGGATCCACACCTCCACAGAAGTCTCCTTCTCAGCTGCCAAGATGCAGAGACTTAGGCAACTATGACATTCATGGTGATGCTAGCCAGAGCTCAAAGCTAAGGCCTTGTGCCCCTGACACTAGCGAATATGCATTTGCGAGGATGGCTCATGCACACAGCTCTCAGACCTGTTAGCCTAGGCAGAGGAAAATGGTACAAGTAGAGCCAGCTTTGTATTTAGAAAAAGGCTGCCTGAGATAACACACTGCGGTACTCTAAATGTCTTCAACTTAGGACCACGTCTTGTGATCTACATGGTCGGGTCCCACTGGAGTATGAAGCATTCCAGGACTGTGAAGTGGTGGCTGGAAACTGCTCTTCTGACTTCATTTCCAAAAGAAACTGTATGCAAGAATCTGGTCCCAAGGGGATTGGAATATAGTACGGTGAGTTTCCTTGTTGGCGGCAGTAATGGCAATTTACAATTTTAAAAATATCAAACCTGCCGAGTCATTAAAACATAACTGTGTTTAGAAGGAAACACTCATGCAATGGATTCCTAAGAGGGTTATTCTCCATGCAGGGGGAAACCTTTAGTGTGCAAGTGATTAAGCCAGACTCAGGAAACTGTAGGCTGACAAGGAACATGGAAGTCAGGAAAAGAAGAGAAAAGTGGCCACATCCCATTCAACATCAATCCTTTCCACTCCCATTTGGTTCTGGGTATGAAAACCCTCAAATTGGGAGTTTGCCAAAACAGCCCCAATTTGCAGTCCAACTTTTCCTGAAATATTGGAGGACTCCATCTGAACACTGGGTCATTTTATGGACTGCTTGTGCAATTAAAAGAATGTGGGAATGGTGTTGGAAACACCTTCTGTGTCATGTAATTTTTTTTGCAGGTGAAGTTGCAGAACCCCATTTACTCCTCATCAGATTGTATCTTCCCTCCTATCTGACTTTATTGCTGCTCACACTCTATGTCCCAGAAGGAAATCCCAAAATGATGGAGGAGTGTTTCCTCATGATGTGAAGTGCCTGCTGGGCTGGGAATTTCAAGGTATATTCAAGGGGACCTGCAGACAGGACTGCTAGTGTCTCTCTGTGTGTTGGCCACAGGAAAATAAAACACTGGGAGATGTCTCTTTTTTGGTGTGGTGTGCCCTCTTCTTTCTAGAAGAGTCAATTTTCTTGCAGGGTGAGCTGACTTGGATGCCTGCAGGTATCAGCCCACCTTCCAATTCACTGTGGATTAATAATCCATAGAACACGGAGCTCTGGACCCCAAGCAGAGACACACAGAAAGGCCACCAAAAGGTTTTGAGTCCCCCACCAAAAAAGTGCTGAAATTCATTAGCCATACTTCTTTAAGCAGACTCCACTAACAGGCACACACACACACAGGCATGCATGCAAACACACACACACCAAGCCACAAACACAGAAAGACATCTAACACTTGCAGAAAACACTCCCATGGAAACACAGCCTGGCAGCTTCTGATGCTGCCTGGTTCTGCAGGAAGCCCCCACTGGGAGAGAGCAAACCTAGGGAACATAGTTGGGCTGTAACTAGAAATCACAATGGGACAAGTTTCAAAAAGATTGACCCTACAATCTCTAGGCAAGCCTGTGGCATTGTGCAGATTTTTTTTTTTTTGTATGCATAGGGATTTCTTGGTTTATTTCCAGCGCTCTTCTTGACATTTCTTCAGGCTGGCTCACATCTGCCCTCTCAAAGCATCATGGGACTATTCCTTGGATCCCACAGGGAAGACAGGGGAAAATCCACAGCCAAAGCATCTCCACGAAGGTCTCCGTTTCTGCCAAGCTGCAGGGAGTTGTCACTAGGTAAAGGTGGCATTCACTGTGACTCTAGCCAGAGACCACAGCTCAGGCCTGGTGCCCTGAGACAAGCACATGGGCATTCACGAAGCCAACTCTCAAAGCTGTCAGACTGCCTAAGCAGAGGAAAATGATACAGGCAGAGAATGTTTGGTATCGGGAAAAAGGCTGCCTATTATAAGCTACTGTGGGATCCTAAAAGTCTCCACCTGAGGGCTGCCTTCAGGCTGAGGCATTTCCAGACTCTGAGGTGGTTACTGAAAACTACTCTTCTGACTCCATTTTTGAAAGAGTCTGTGTGCAAGAATCGGGTCCCATGGGGATTGGAATATAGTCTGGTGTGTTGTTGAGGGGTCTTTAGCTGACAAAATCAAACCTGAGACATCAGAGGTGGGTGTCAGTGAAAGATGACTGGGTTCTTAACCTCACTTCCTCCCTTCACCCTGGGCCTCACTGCCGCTCTCTGGGAAAGCCAGGAACAACAACAAAGGAAAGTCCAAGGTGGAGCAGCATTCTCACACCTCGAAAGGCCAATCATGCATTCAGATGATGCTAAGAGAATGTCTCAAATGCCCTCTGTGGTGATTGCCAGCCTGAAAAAAGTACTCAGTACTGCTGTTAAGGGACACAGTGAACCACACATGAAAGGAATGAAAAATCAAGGCTCTCCTGAGAGAATGAGCCGATTTGTGCTGGAGTCCTAGCAATGTTTCAAGATTCCCATCAGAGGACCCAAATCCTCCTGCAAAATTCAAACAACGTCAGCGTCCACATACAGACCATGACCCATAACCTGGAGCACAGAAGCCTATGCAAATTCCCTTTTGCTCCCTGAAATCTCTGGCTGCCAAAAGATCTGTGGCAAGAGGCAGTCCCATCCAGCAACAACCCAATGAAAGACACCCTCCACAATGAGAAAGTACGTGCAAATGAAATGAAACAGATCGTAGTTTACCAGTTAAAAGCCAGACACGATGGCCTGCTTGTCATCCTACAGGAATCATGCAGCCCTCCAATAGAAGTGGGAGAAAAAGACTTTCCTTGTTGGTGGCTGTAATGGGAATTTATGGTGTTAAAATATCACAGCTGCCCAGTCATTAAAATGTGACAGTGTTTAGAAGGAAACACTAGGGATTCCCATGAGGGTTGTCCTCCATGAAGTGAAAACATTTAGCGTGAAAGACTTGGAGCCAGACCCAGGAAAACCTAGGCCCACGAGAAACATGGAAGTCAGAAAAAGAAGAGGCAAGTGTGGAGGCCACATCCCACCCACCTTCAATCCATCTCACTCCCACTTGGCTGTGGAGATGAAAGCCCTCAAATCTGGAGTTTGCCAAGATATCCCCAGTTGCAGTCCAAATGTTCCCTGAACTTTGGAGTACTTCCAACTGAACACCATGCCATGAGGTTGAAAGCACCTTTTGTGTCATCTGTCTTCATTTCTCTTGCAGGTAAAGTTGTGTCACCCATGCACCCCTCACCAGATTGTATCATCACCCCTATTTGACCTTATTGCTCTCCACACTCTATGTCCCAGGATGAAATCCCAAAATGATAAAAAAATGTGCCCACCCCCCACAACATATGAATCACCTGTTCGGCTGGGATGCGAATTCGAGGTTAATTTAAGAGGCCCTGTGGACTGGAATGCTAGTGTCTCTCCTGGGTTGGCCAAAAGACAATAAAACACTGAAAGATATCTCTTTCTTGTGTAGTGTGCTCCTCTTCTTTCTGGAAGGGTGGTTTATGGCACACACAATGCCACATACAGACTCAGACATCCAACATTCGCAACACTCCCACAGAAACACCCAACCCAACAACTACTCAGGATGCATTGTTGTGCAGGAAACACCATGTGGGAGAGAGCCCCACAGCCCAAGCAGAGTCACACAGACAAGCCAACAAAAGTTTGGGAGACACAAAAAAAGGAAGTGCTGAAGTGCATTACCAACATTCCTTTAAGCAGACTGCACTTACAATCACACACACACATACATGCAAACACAAAATGTCACACACACACACACACAGACATCCAACACCCACAACACTCCACCAGAAATGTTTGGAGGCAAAAAAAAAAAAAAGAAGAAGCACTGAGTACATTAGTCACATTATTTTAAGCACACTCCACTTACAGGCACACAAACACACACAATGCCACAGACACATGCAGACATCCAAGACTTGCAACACTCCTGCAAAATAAGTAAATAAATAAATAAATGTTGGGCAGCTCCTGTCGCTGTGTGGTTCTGCAGGAATCCTAATCTGCAAGAGACCAACACCAAGAAACACAGGGGAACTGTACCTAGAAATTACAGTGGGACAAGTTTCAAAAAGACTCACGCCTACAATGCCAGACCTGAGGATTCCTGTGTATACTTTTGGATCCTTTGGGATTTCACAGTATATTCCTGGAGCTGTGGTTGATGTTTCTCCAGGCTAGGATCATGGGACAATCCCATGGATACCACGGAGACTAGTGCCTGTGCATTCATGAGGAAGGATCAGGCACCTGTCTCTCAGAGCTGTCAGCCTGCTTAAGCAGAGGAAAATGGTACAGGCAGAGCTGGCCTGGCATGGCCAGAAAAACTGCCTGTGATAACCCACGGCCAGACCCAAAAAGTCTAGACCATAGGACTGTTTTGGGCAGTCTCCGGGGTCAAGTTCTGCTGAAGGAGTTGTTTTGAGACTGTGAACTGTCTTTGCAACCTGCACCTCTGCCTTCATTCCCCAGAGAGGCTGTGTGCAAGATTCCATTCCCATGGGGATTGGAATATGTCTGGTTAGTTTTTGATGGGTCCTTTGGTGATGGAACCATAACTGAGACCCAAGAGGCAGATGTCAGCAAAAGATGGCCAGCCCCTTGATTTCACTGCCTCCCTTCATCCTGGACCTCACAGAGACTCTTGGGGAGAGATAGGAACCACAACAAAATCAAGTCCAAGATAAAGTGTTTGCACACCTCAAACTGGCCTCTCACAGGTGCAAATGAGGTTGAGACACCATATCAGAGGCCGTCTGTGGCAACTGCAAGCCAGAAAAATTGTGTCCAGTAGG
Organism: Homo sapiens; assembly: GCF_000001405.40. Taxonomy (NCBI): domain Eukaryota; kingdom Metazoa; phylum Chordata; class Mammalia; order Primates; family Hominidae; genus Homo; species Homo sapiens. The sequence continues at coordinate 9,725,867 of NC_000024.10, read as the reverse complement.
GCTGATGCAGAGCAATGTGGGCCTCCCATGAAAGCAAACATAAATGAAGGCTCACCTGAGAGAACAAGCTGACTTGTGCGGGAGTCTAAGCAATGTTGAAAGATTTTTGCCAGAGGATTTAAAAGCCTCCTGCAAATGCCAAAAAACATCAGCCCCCACAAGGAGACCATGGCCCACAACCTACAGCATAGTCAGCATAGAAAAAATCCTTTTTGGTTCCTGAAGTTTTTGGCAGCCAAATGATTTGTAGCAAGAAGCAGTCCCATTCAGCAAGAGCCAATGAAAGATCCACTCCACATCGTGGAAGGACTTGCAGATGAAGTAAAACAGAGCCAAGATTACCAGGCAAATACATACATGGCTGCCTGCTTCTTATCCTACAGGAATCATGTAGCCCTTTGATAAAAGTGGGAGAACAAGGTTTTTCATGTTGGCGGCTGTATCGGGAATTTACGCTTTAAAAATATCACAGCTGCCCGGTCATTAAAACGTAACAGAGTTTAGAAAGAAACACTCAAGCAATGGATTCCCATGAGGGTTGTCCTCCATGAACTGGGAAATTTTAGTGTGGAAGACATGGAGGAAGACCCAGGAAACCATTGGCTGAAAAGGAACATGGAAGTCAGGAAAAGAAGAGGCAAGTGTGGAGGCCACAGACCACCCAGCATCAATCAATCACACTCTCATTTGGCTCCAGGTATGAAAGCCCTCACATTGAGGGTTTGCCAGAATGGGCCCAGTTTGTAATGTTCCCTGAACATTGGAGTACTTTCACCTGAACTCTGGGCTAAGGAGTTGAAGGCACGTTCCATGCCATTTTTCTTCATTTTATTTGCAGGTGATGTTGCAGAACCCCATGTACCCCTCACCAGAATGTATCCTCACGCCTAAATGACCTTATTGCTGCTCACAATTTATGTCCCAGGTTGAGATCCCAAAATGATGGCGAATTGCCCCCCAAAGATGTGAATCACCTGATCGGCTAGGAACAAAACTCAAGGTAAATTCAAGTGGCCCTTTGGACAGGACTGCTTGTGTTTCTCCCTGGGTTGGCCACAGGACAATGAAACATTTGGAGATGTCTCTTTTCTAGAAAAGCTCCTCTTCTTTCTAGAAGAGTGGCTTTTTTGGCACACACAGTGCCGCGCACACACACACACACACACTCAGATATCCTAGACTACAACACTCCCACAGAAACACACAGCCCAGCAGCCACTGAAGTTGTGTTGTTGTGCAGGCAGCACCACCTGGAAGAGAGCCCTATAGCCCAAGCAGAGCCAAACGGACATGCCACCAAGGGTTGGGAGACTCAAAAAAATAAAAAAAAGGAAGTGCTAAAGTGCATTAGCAACATTCCTTTAAGTAGACTCCACTTACAGTCACACACACACAAACACACAATCGTACACACATAGTTATCCACCAGAAAGGTTTGGAGACTAAAAAAAGAAAAAAAGATGAAGAAGTGCTGAAGTGTTTTAGCCTCATTATTTTAAGTACACTCCACTTACAGGAACACACATACAGAAATACACAATACCACACACAAAGGCAGACAAGCAACATCACAACACTTCCACAGAAAAACAAATTCCAGCACCAACTTAGGCTGTGTGGTTCTGCAGGGATTCCCACCTTGGGGAGAGTAACCCCAAGAAATACAGGCAGGCTGTACTTCACAGTGGGGCATGTTTCAAAAAGATTCCCTTCTACAACATCTAGGTAGGCCTGAGAAATCCTGCAGATCCTTTTGCATCCTTAGGGATTTTGCAGATTATTTCTGGGGCTGTGCTTGACCTTTCTACAGGCTGGCTCACATCTGCCCTCTCCTAGCATCATGAGACAATCACGTGGATACCACAGAGAAGACAGGCATGAGTCCACCGATGACACACCTCCAAGGAGGTCTCCTTCTCCGCCAAGCCACAGGGACTTTTTGCTAGGCAATTGTGACATTCATTGTGATTCTAGCCAGAGCTCACAATCAGGCCTGATTCTGTGAGACTAGCACACATGCATTCATGAGGCAGGTCAAGCAGCCAGCTGTCAGAACTGTCAGCTTGCCTAAGCAGAGGTAAATGGAACAGGTAGAGCCAGCCTGGTATCAAGAAAAAGGCTGTCTCTGAAAACCCACTGCAGGATGCTAAATGTCTCAACCTCAGGGCCCCTTCGGGTCATCTCTGTGGTTGGATCCCGGTGGAGGAAGAGGCATTTTGAGGCAGTGAGCTGGTCACTGTCCATTCCAGAAAGAGGGTATGTGCAAGAATCTGGTCCCCTGGGGATAGGAATGTGCTTGGGTGTATTGTTGAGGGTTCCTTGGGCGATAGAATCATACCTGAGTATCTAGAGGCAGGTGTTAACAAAAGACAGCAGTGCTCTTGACCTCACTGCCTTCCTTGATCCTGGGCCTCACAGGGGCTCATTGTGAAAGACAGGAGCAACAACAAGGGCAAGGTGGAGCAGTGTTCTCATATCTTGGACTGGGCTTTCACCCATGAAGGTGAAGTTGAGACAGGGTCTCAGCGGCCATCTGTGGGGATGGTAAGCCTGAAAGTGGTGTCCTGTTGTGCTGTTGAGGGGCACTGTGAACTCCCCTGGAAAGCAAAGACAAATCAAGGCATACCTGGGAGAATGAGCTGCCTTGTTCCGCGGTCCAGATGATGTTCATGATTCCTGTCAGAGGACCCAAAATCCTCTTGCAATTTGGAAACCACATCAGTTTCAACAATGAGACAAGGACCCACCTCCTTGAGCATAGGCAGACTACTTGAAGTCCCATTTGCTGTTTGAAATCACTGGCAGCTAATCTGTGGCCAGAGGCAGTCTCATCTAGCAATAGCCTAATGAAAGAGCCCTTCCATGATGAGAAGCCCGTCCAGATGAAATGAAACAGAGGATAGATTACCAGGCAAAAGCAAGACATGGCTAAGTGCTCATCCTACAGGAATTATGCAGCCCTCCAATAGAAGTGGGAGTTTCCTTGGTGGTGGTGGTGGTAATGGGAATTTATGATTTTAAAAGTATCAAAGCTGCCCAGTCATTAAAACTTGACAGTGTTTAGAAGGAAACACTTATGCAATGGATTCCCATGATAATCATTCTCCATGAACTGAGAAACGTTTAGTGTAGAAGTGGTTGAGCCATACCCAGGAAACCCTAGGCCAACAAGAAACATGGAAGTCAGTGAAAGAAGAGGCAAGTCTGGAGGCCACATCCCACCCAGCATCCATCAATTCCACTCCCATTTGGCTTTGAGTATGAAAGCCCTCAAATCGGGAGTTTGCCAGGTTGGCCCCAATTTGCAGTCCAAATATTTTTTGCACATTGGAGTACTCTCACTTGAACACCGAGCCATGTTGTTGTCTGCTTGTGCAATTAAGGGAATGCGGGGATGGAGTTGGAAACACATTCTGTGTCACCTGTCTTCACTATTTTTACAGGTGTAGTTGTGGGACCCCATCCACCCTGACCAGATTGTATCCTCATCCCTATTTGACCTTATTGCTGCTCACTCTCTATGTCCCAGTATAAAATCCCAAGACTGTGGTGGAGTGCCCCCTCATGACATAAAGCACCTCCTCAGGTGGGAAACAAATTTGAGGTAAATTCAAGTGGCCCTGCAGACAGGACACTTAATGTCTCTCCCTCGTTTGGCCAAAGGACAGACAATGAAACACTGGGCAATATCTCATTTTTGGTGTGACGTGCTCCTCTTCTTTTTAGAAGATTGGCTTTTTTTGGTACGGAGAGATGACTTGGACACAGACATCTCTCGACCTGCCTCCCAATTGACTGCGGATTTATGATCTTCCAAAAAATAAAGAACACAGGGACCCATAACCCAAGCAGAGCCACACAGCCAAGCCAACAAAGTGTTGGAAGAAAAAAAAAAAGAAGAAGCTCAGAAGTGTGTCAGCCACATTATTTTAAGCAGAGCCACTTACAGGCACACACACACACACACACACACACACACACACAAACACGATGCCAAAAACACACACAGACATCCAACACTCACAACACTCCCACAGAAAAATACAGCCTGGCAGCACCTGAGACTGTGTGGTTCTGCAGGAATCCCGACCTAGGAGAGAGCAACCCCAACGAACACAGGGCAACTGTACCTAGAAATCATTGTGGGACAAGTTTCAAAAAGACTCACCCCTAAAACTTCTTGGCAGGCCCATGAAATCTTGCAGACATTTTTGGATTCTTAGGGTTTTCAATGTTTATTCCTGGGATCAGCTTTACCTTTCTTCATGCTGGTTCACATCTACCCTATCCTAGGGTAATGAGACTATCCAGTAAATCTCACAGAGAAGACAGGTGACAGTCCACTGCCCACACAACTACATAGAGGTCTTCTTCTCTGGCAAGCCACGGGCATTGTAACTAGGCAATGGTGACATTTATTGTGATGCTAGCTAGAGCTCACAATCAGGCCTGGTATCCTGAGAGTAGCCCATGCACATTTTAAGGCAGGCTCAGGTAACCAACTCTCAGGGCTGTCATCCTGACTAAGCAGAGGAAAATGGTACAGGCAGAACTGAACTAGGGTGGGATAAAAGGCTGCCTGAGATAACCCACTGCCTTACCCAAAAGGTCTAGACTCTAGAGCCCTTTTGGGCAGTCTCCATGGTCAGGTCCAACTGAAAGAGGAGTCATTTTGAGACTGTGAGGTGGTCGCTGCAATCTGCTCCTCTGTCTCCATTCCAAAAAGAGACTGTGTGTAAGAGTCTGCTCTCTTGGGGATTGGAATACCATCTGGTGAGTCTTTGAGGTGTCTTTGGGTAATGAAATCATCACTGAGACCTAAGAGGTGGGTGTCAGCAAGAGATGGACAGGCCCTTGACCTCACTGCCTCCCTGCATTCTGCTTATCTCAGGGGCCCTCAGGGAAAGGCAGGAACCATGACAAAGGCAAGTCAAAAATAAAGCATTGTTCTCACACTTCAAACTGGCCTCTCACGGGTGTAGATGAGATTGAGACATTGTATCAGAGGTCGTCTGTGGCAATTGCAAGCCAGAAAATGGTGTCCAGTAGTGCTGATGAGGTGCAAAGTGGACCCCCCATGAAAGCAAAGAAAAATGAAGGTTTGCCTGAGAGAACAAGTAGACTTGTGTGGGAGTTCAAGCGATATTCAAAGATTTTTGTCAGAGTACCCAAGAGCCTCCTGCAAAGCATAAACAACATCGGCTCCCCAACAAGGAGACCACAACACACAACGTGGAGCATAGCCAGTCTACACAAAGTTCTTTTTGCTTCCTGAAATTTCTGGCAGCCAAAAGATCTATAGCGAGTGGCAGTCCGATCCAGCAAGAGCCAATGAAAGATCCACTCCACAGTGAAGAAGGACATGCAGATGAAGTGAAACAAAGCCAAGTTTACCAGGCAAATGCAGAATGGCTGCCTGCTTCTCCTCCTACAGGAATCATGCAACCCTATGTTAAAAGTGGGAGAACAAGAATTTCCATGTTGGCAGCTGTAATGGAAATTTAAGCTTTTAAAATATCACAGCTGACAACTCATTAAAACATGACAGAGTTTAGAAAGAAACACTCATGCAATGGATTTCCATGAGGGTCTTCCTCTGTGAACTGAGAAACTTTTGGTATGGAAGATGTGGATCCAGACCCAGAAAACCTTAGGCTGAAGAGGAATATGGAAGGCAGAAAAAGAAGAGCAAGTGTATAGGCCACATACCACCCAGCATCAATCCATTACACTCTCCTTTGGCTCTGGGTATGAAAGCCTGCACATCAGGAGTTTAAAAGGATGGCCCCAGTTTATACTTGAAATGTTCCCTGCATGTTGGAGTACTTCCAGCTGAACACCTGGCTATGGAGTTGGAAGCACCTTCTGGGTCATCTGTCTTCTTTTTTTTTTTGCAGGAGATGTTGTGAGACCCCATGCACTGCTCACCAGATTATATCCTCAACACTACCTGAACTTATTGCTTCTCATTATGTTCGAGGATGAAATTTCAAGGCAATGCTGGAGTGGCCACTCACAACATGAAGCACATGCTTGGCTGTGAACCAAATATGAGGTAAATTCAAGCAGCTCTGAAGACAGGACTGCTAGTGTTTCTCCCCGGGTTCACCACAGGACAATGAAACACTGGGAGATGCCTTATTTTTGGTGTGGTGTGCTCCTCTTCTTTCTAGGAGAGTGGCTTTTTTTGCAGGGGGAGGTGACTTAGATGCCAGCATATTTCGACTTGCCTCCCAATTCACTGCAGATTCATGATCCACAGAAAAATAAAGACCATGAAGCCCTGCAGCCCAAGCAAAGCCACAATGACCACACAACAGAATGTTGGGAGATTCGAAAAAGAAGTGCTGAAGTGCATTAGCCACATTATTTTAAGCATACTCCACTTACAGGCACATACACACACACACACAATGCCACACACACACACAAACAACACTCACAACACTCCCACAGATAAACACACACTGGCAGCTACTGAGGCTGCATGGTTCTGCAGGAATCCCCACCTTGGAGAGAGCAACCCAAAAACAATCGGGATATACTTAGAAATCACTGTGGGGCAAGTTTCAAGAAGACTTACCCCTACAATGTCTAGGCAGTCCTGAGGAATCCTGCAGATCTTTTGCATCCTTGGGGATTTTGTGGTTTATTCCTGCGGCTCTGCTTGACGTTACTTCAGGCTGGCTCACATCTGTACCCTCCTGGGAACATGGGATTATCTCATGGATCCCACAGAGAAGACAGGCAACAGTCCAAAGCCAACACACTTCCATGGAAATCTTCTTCTCCAACAAGACACAGGGACTTGTTGCTAGGCAATGGTGACATGTATTGTGATGCTAGCCAGAGCTCAGAATCAGGCCTTGTGCCCTGAGACTAGCACATGCACATTTGTGAGGGAGGCTTAGGTACTGTGCTGTCAGAGCTGTCACCCTATCTAAGCACAGAAAAATGGTACAGGCAGAGCAAGCCTGGTATCAAAAAAAAAGGCTGCCTGCAAACCTCCACTTCAGGACCCTAAAACTGTCAAACTGATGGACTCTCCAGTCCATCTTGGTGATCGGGTCATGCCAGAGGCAGAAGCTTTATGTTACTGTGAGGTGGTCACAGGAAACTGCTCTTGTGACTCCATTCAGGAAAGACCTATGTGCAAGAATCGGGTCCAGCGGGGATTGGCATATAATCTGGTGTGTTGTTGAGGGTTCTTTTGGTGATAAAATAATACCTCAGATCCCAGAGTTTGGTGTTAGTGAAAGATGTCCAGGTTCTTGACCTCACTTCCTCCCTTTATTCTGAGCCTCACAGGGCTCTCTGGGAAAAGCAGGAACCAAGACAAAGGCAATTCCAAGTTGGAGTGGTGTTCTTGTACCTCGGATTGGCCTCTCACTAGTGCATATGAGTATAGACAGTGTCTCAGAGGCTGTCTGTGGTGATGACAAGCCTTTAAATGGTGTCCAGTAGTGCTGTTGATGGGCACTGTGGATTCCCTGTGAAAGCAACAGAAAATCAAGGCTCACCAGAGATCAAGCGGTCTTGTGCTGGAGCCCAAGTAATGTTCAATGATTCCTGTCAGAGGACCCAAAACCATCCTCCAAAGTGCAAACATCCTCAACCCCCAAAAAGAGACAACAACCCAAAACCTGGAGTGCAGCCAGAATAGCCAATCTTTTTTATGGTCTCTCAAATCCCTGGCCACTTAATAATCTATGGTGAAAAGCAGTCCAATCTGGCAACATCCCAGTGAAAGAGCCCCTCCACAATAAGAAGGCCATGCAGATGACATGAAACAGAGGCTAGATTACCAGGAAAATGAAGACACTGCTGCCTGTTTCTCATCCTGCAGGAATCACGCAGGCCTCTGATAGAAGTGGAAGAATAAGAGTTTTCTTCTGGATGGCTTTAATGGGAATTTATGGTTTTAAAACTATCAAAGCGTCCCACTCATTAAAACATGACAATGTTTAGAATAAAACACTCACAAATGGATTTCCATGAGGATAATTCTCTATGAACTGGGAAACTTTCTGTATGTGTGCTCCCTTTCTGTCTAGAAGAGGGGGTTAGAGTGGTTTTTTTGTTTGTTTGTTTTTTTGTTTTGTTTTTGCAGGTGGAGGTTATTTGGATGCTGAAACATTTTGGCATGCTTCCCAATCCACTGCAGACTCATGAATGATTCACAGAAAAATAAAGAACACTGAGCAATACAGCCCAAGCCAAGCCACACAGACAGGCCACCAAAAGGTTGGGATACAAAAAAATGAAAGAAAGAAATGCTGTAGTGCCTTAGCCACATTCTTATAAGCAGACTCCACTTACAGTAACACATGCACAAACACACACAAACCCAATGCCACACAGACACACAGACATCAAACACACAGATATCCAACACTCACAACACTCCCACAGAAACACACAATCCAGGATCCCCTGAGGCTCTGTGGTTCTACAAGCAAACGCAGGCAGTCTGTAGTTAGAAATCACAGTGGTGCAAGTTTCAAGAAGACTCATCCCTACAATGTCTAGGCAGGCCAGAGGAATCCTGCTGATCTTTTTGGATCCTTAGGGATTTCATGGTTTATTCCTGGAGCTGTGCTTCAGGTTTCTTCAGGCTGCCTCATGTCTGCCCTCTCCTAGGATCATGGGACTATCCTGTGGATCTCACAGAGAAGACAGGCGATAGTTCACTGCTGACGCACCTCTACAGAAGTCTCATTCACCAAGCTGAAGAGACTTGTTGCTAGGTAATGGTGACATTTATGCTGATGCAAGCCAGAGTTCACAATGAGGCCTGGTGCCCTGAGGATAGTGCATGCACATTCGTGAGGCAAGCTGGGGAGCATGGCTGTCAGAGCTATCAGCCTGCCTAAGTAGACAATAATGGTACAGACAGAGTTGTCCTGGTATCAGGAAAAAGGCTGTCTGCAAAAACCCACTGAAGCACACTAAAACTCCCGACCTCAGGGACCCTTCAGGCCATCGTGGTGGTTAGGTTCTGCTGGAGGAGGAGGCATTTTGTGACTGTGAGGTGGTCGCTAGAAACTACTCTTCAGATTCCATTCCCAAAAAAGGCTGTGTGCAAGTATTGGGTACCATGGGGATTAAAATATAGTCTGATGTGTTCTTGAGGGTGTTTTGTGTGATAGGATCATACCTGAGACCCCAGAAGTGGGTGTCATGAAAAGATGGTCGGACTCTTAACCTCACTGCCTCCCTTCATCTATGACCTTGCAGGGGCTCTCAAGGAAAGACAGAAACTACAACAAAGGCAAGTCAAAGTTGGATCACTGTTCTCACACCTCATACTGCCCTCTCTTGGGTGAAGACGAGGTTAAAACAGTGTCTCAGAGGCCATTTGTTGGGATAGCAAGCCTGAAATGGGTGTCCAGTAGTGCTGTTAAGGGATAATGTAGATTCCTCATGAAAACAAAGAAAAATCAAGTCTCACCTAAGAGAACGAGCTGCCTTGTGCTGGAGTCCAAGTAGTGTTCAGTGATTCCTGTCAGAGAACACAAAAGCCTCTTGCCACGTGCAAATATTCTCAGCCCCCACAACAAGACAATGATAGGGAGTGTAGTCAGAGTACCCAATGTCCCTTTTGCTCTCTGAAATCCCTGGCAGCTAAATAATCCCTAGCCAGAAGCAGTCTCATCTAGCAACAACCCAATGAAAGAGACCCTCCACAAGAAGAATGCCATGCAGATGAAATGAAACAGAGGCTAGATTACAAGGAAAAAGACAAACACGGCTGCCTGCTTTTCATCCTGCAGGAATTATGCAGCACCTCGATAGAAATGGGAGAACAAGAGTTTTCTTATTGGTGGCTGTAATGGGAATTTACAGTTTTAACAATCTCAGAGCTTCATAGTCATTAAAACGTGACAGTGGTTAGAAGAAAACACTCAAGCAATGGATTCTCGTGAGGGTCGTTCTCCATGAACAGGAAAATATTTGTTGTGGAAGTTGTTGAGCCAGACCCAGAACACAGGCAAGAGTTCAATGCTAACGCACCTCCACGAAAGTCTCCGTCTCTGCCAAGCCTCAGGGACTTCTCAGTATGCAACAGTCACAGTCATTGTGATGCTAGCAAGGTCTCACAATCAGTCCTGGTGCCCTGAGTCTAGCGCATGCACATTTGTGAAACAGGCTCCGGTGCCCATTTGTCAGAGCTATCAGTCTGCCTAAGCAGAGAAAAATAGTACAGGCAGAGCGAGCTTGGTATCAGAAAAAGTCGTGACTGCAAAAACCCACTGCAGGACCCTAAAAGTCTTGATATCAGGGCCCCTTCGGGATGTCTCCATGGTCAGTTTTTGTTAGAGAAGAAGGCATTTTGAGACTGTGAAGTGGTCACTGGAAACAGCTTTTCTGACTGCATTCCCAAAAGAGAATATGTGTACAAGAATCAGGTCACATGGGGATTGCAATATAGTCTGGTGTGTGGTTGAGGATTATTTGAGTGATAGAATCTTACCTGAGACCAACCCCAGAGGTGTGTATCAGCAAAAGATGGCCGAGTTCTTGACCTCACTGCCTCCCTTCATCTTGGGACTAACAGGGGATCTCTGGGAAAGGCAGTTACCATGACAAGGCAAGTACAAGGAGGAGCAGTGTCCTCACGCATTGGACTGGCCTCCAATGGGTGCAGATGAGGCTAAGACAATGTCTCCGAGGCCATCTGTGGTTATGGCAAGCCTGAAAAAGGTGAATATTAGTGCTGTCAATATTCACTGTGAAATACCCATGAAAGCAAAGAAAAATCAAGACATTTCTTAACAGAATGAGCTGCCTTGTGCTGGAGTCCAGGCAATGTTCAGTGATTCCTGTCAGATAACTGAAAACTCTCCTGCAAAGTGCAATCTTAGCCCCTCAATAAGGCAACCACCCACAACCTGGATGGCAGGAGCCTGCCCAAAGTCCCTTTTGCCCTCTGAAATCCGTGGCAGCTAAATAATCTGTGGCAAGAGGAAGTCACATCGAGAAACAGCCCAGTGAATGAGCTCCTCCACAATGAAAAGGCTGTGCAGATGAAATGAAACAGAAGCTAGATTACCAGGCAAAGGCCAGACATGGATTCTCATCCTATAGGTATTATGCAGCCATTCGATAGAAGTGGGAGAAAAAGAGTTTCTTTGTTGGCAGTGGTAATGGGAATTTTCAGTTTTAAAATATCAAGCTTCCCAGTTATTAAAACATGACACTGTTTAGAAGGAAACACTCAGGCAATGGAGTCCCATGAAGATCATTCTCTGTGAACTGGGAAAGCTTAAGTGTGGAAGTTGTTGAACCAGTCACAGGAAACTCTAGGTGGATGAGGAACATAGAAGTCAGAAAAAGAAGAAACTGTGGAGGCCACATCCCACCCAGAATCAATTCATTCCATTGCATTGGTCTCCGAATATGAAAGCCCTCAAATCGGGAGTTTGCCAGGATGGCCCCAATTTGCACCCCAAATGTCCGTTGCCCGTTGTAGTATTCCCACCTGAACACCATGCCATTGTGTATACTGCTTGTGCAATTAAGGGAATGAGGGGATGAAGTTGGAAACACGTGCTTTAAACACTGTCTTTATTTTTATTGCAGGTGTAGTTACAGGGCCCCAACCACCTTTCACCAGATTGTATACTCACCTGTATCTGACCTTATTGCTACTCACACTCTAGGTCCCAGGATAAAATCCCAACATGATGGAGGAGTGCCCCCTCATTATGTGAAGCACCTGCTGGGCTTGGAACCAAATTCAGTGTAAGTTCAAGTGGCCCTGTGGAGAGGACTGCTAGTGTCTCCCCCTGTATTTGCTGCAGGAAAATAAAACAGTGAAAAATGTCTGGTTTTTTTGTTGTGGTGTGCTCATCTTCTTTCTAGAAATGTAGATTTTTCTGCAGGGGGAGGTGATTTGGATGCCAGCGGGATTTGGCCCACCTCCCAATTCATGTGAGATTCATAATTCACAGAAAAACAAAGCACACAAAGCTTTGCAGGCTAAGCAGAGACACAGACAGGCCACCAAAATGATGGGAGGCTCAAAAAAAAAAACACTGAAGTTTTTTAGCCACATTGCTTTAAGCAGACTACATTTACAGGCTCTCACACACACACTTACAAACACACACAGAAATACACAATGCCACACACACACAGAGACATCCAACATTTGCAACACTGCCACAGAAACACACAGGCCAGCAGCTCCTGAGGCTGCGTGGTTCTGCAGGTATCTCCACCTGGGCCAGAGCAACCTTGAGGAACACAGGCAGGCTGTACCTAGAAATCACAATGGGGCAAGTCTCAAAAAGACTCACCTCTACAATATCTAGGCATATCTGAGAAATGTTGCAGATGTTTTTGGATCATTAGAGATATTGTGGTTTAGTCCTGGGACCCTTCTTGACGTTACTACAGGCTGGCTTATGTATGCCCTCTCCTACTCTCATGGGACAATCCTGTGGATAACACAGAGAAGACAGGTGAGAGTTCATGACTGATGCACCTCCACAGAAGTCTCCTTCTTTGCCAAGATGCAGGAATTTTCACTAGGCAATGGTGAAATTCATTGTGGTGCTAGTTAGAGCTCACAATCAGGCTTGGTGTCCCAAGAGTAGTGCATGCTCTACAGCATGTGCTCTACAGCATGACAGCTCTAACAGCAAGCCCTGCTGTTAGAGCTGTCAGCCTGCCTAAGCAGAGGAAAATGATACATGCAGAGCCGAAAGGTATCCAGGAAAATGCTGCCTGTGATAACCCACTCTGGGACCCTAAAAGTCTCATCCTTAGGGCACCTAGGGCCATCTTTAATGGTCCCACAGGAGGAGGATGCATTTCTGGACTGAGTTGGTCATGAAAAACTGCTCTTCTGACTCCATTCCCAAAATGGGCTGTGTGCAAGAATTGGGTCCCATGGGGATTGGAATGTAGTCTGGTGGGTTGTTTAGGGGTCTTTGAATGATAGAATCATACCTGAGACCCCAGAGATGAGTGTCAATGAAAGACGACCAGGCCCTTAACCGCAGTGCCTCACTTCATCCTGGACCTCACAGGATCTCTCTCGGGTAAGCAGGAACCACACCTAGAACTGGCCTCTCACAGGTACAGATGAGGTTGAGACAGTGTCTCAGAGGCTGTCTGTGGCGATTGCAAACCTGAAAAGGGTGTCCGGTAGTGAGTGTCACTGTTGACCCCCCATGAAAGCAAGGAAAATCAAAGATCACATGAGAGAACCAGCTGCCTTTTGCTGGAGTTCAAGCAAAGTTCAAAGATTCCTGTCAGAGAACCCTAAAGCCTCCTGCAAAGTGCAAACATCCTCATCCCACATAATGAGAACAAGACCCAGAACCTGGGATGTGGCTAGCCTACCTGAAGTCCCTTGTGCTCCATGATATCCCTGTCAGCCAATAAATTTGTGATGAGAGGCAGCCCTATCCACCAACAGCACATTAAAGACCCCCTACACAATGAGAAAGGATGTGCACATAAAATGAAACACAGACCATATTACCAGGTGGAATCCAGACACAGCTGCCTGCTTCTCATCCTACAGGAATCATGCAGCCCTTCAATAAAACTTGGAGAACAGGAGTTTCCTTGTTGGCAGCAGTAACAGGAAGTTACTGTTTTAGAATTACCGCATCGCAGCTGCCCTGTCATTGAAACATGACAGGGCAGTAAGTGTTTAGAAGGAAACACTTACTCAATGGATTCCCCCCAAGGGTCACCTTCCATGAACTGGGAAACATTTAGTGTAGAAGACATTGAGCCATACCCAATCATCCTTAGGATTATGAGGCACATGTAAGTCAGGATAGGAGTTGGCCAGGGTGGCCCCAGTTTGCACTTCAAATATTCCCTGCACGTTGGAGTACTCCCAACTAAACACCAGGCCAAGTTGTGGACTGCTTCTGCAATTAAGGAAATGTGGGAATGCTGTTTGAAGCACCTTTTGTGTCACCTGTCTTTACATTTTTGCAGGTGAAGGTGCAGGTCCCCATCCACCCCTCATCAGGTTGTATCCTCACCCCTATCTGACCTTATTGCCATTCACACTCTATGACCCAGGATGAAATCCCAAGATGATGGAGGAGTGAACCCTGACGACAGGAAGTACCTGCTCACCTATGAACAAAATTTGAGGTAAATTCATGGGGCCCTGTGGACAGGACTGCTAGTGTTTCTCCCTGGGATAGCCACAGGACACTGACACACTGAAGGATTTCTGTTCTTGGGTATGGTGTGCTGCAGCTCTTCTTTCTAGAGAGTGGCTTTTTTTGTTTGTTTGTTTGGAAGTCATTTGTTATGTGGACCTCAGCGTGTCACAGCCAGCCTCGCAATTCACTGTGGATTCAGAAAAATAAAGAACAGGGAGGTCTACAGCCCCAGAAGAGCCATACAGACAGGGCATGAAAATGTTGGAAGTCTCAAATAAAAGAAGCTCTGCAGTGTGTGACCCACCTCCCTTTAAACAAACTCCGCTTACTGGCCCGCGTGCACACACACACACACTAAAACACACAAAGCCAAAAAGCCACACCACACCTAGACATCCAACACTTGCAACATGCCCTCAGAAACAGAGCCTGGCAGCATCTGAGGCTGTGTGTTTGTGCAGAAGGCCCCACCTGGGAGAGAGCAACCCCGGCAAACACAGAGCGCTCTACCTAGAAATCACAGTTGGGAAAGTTTCAGAAAGACTCAACCCTACAACTCCCAGGCAGGCCTGAGACATCCTGCAGATACTTTTGTAGCCTTAGGGACTTTGCAGTTTATTCCTTGGGCTCTGCTTGACATTTCTGCATGCTGGCTCATGTCTGCCCTCTCCTAGGAATATGGATGTATCCTGTGGATCCCTCAGAGAAGACAGGCAAGAGTCCACCACCAAGGCACCTCTATGGAGGTCTCCTTCTTGGCCACGCAGCCAGGACTGATCTCTATGTAATGGTGACATTCATTGTGATGCTAGCCAGAGCTCATAGTCAGGCCTGGTGCCCTGAGGCGTGCATGTGCATTTGAGGGCATGCTTGCTGGCCTGGCTTTCACAGATGTTAGCCTGTGGAAGCAGAAGAAAATGGTACACATAGAGCTGGCTCGGTATCCAGAAATAGGCTGCCTGCAATAATGCACTGCGGGACCCTACAATGCTCGAAGTTAGGGCGACTTCAAGCCGTCTCCCTGGTCAGCTCCTGCAGGAGTAGGAGGCATTCAGAGACTGAGGTGGTCGCTGAAATCTGTTCTTCTGATTCCCTTTTGGAAAGAGGCTGTGTGCAAGAATCCAGTCCCATGGGGATTGGAATGTAGTCTGGTGAGTTGAGGAGGGGTCTTTGGGTGATGGAATTATACCTGAGAAACTAGAATTGGGTGCCTATGAATGATGGTTGGGCCCTTAACCTCACTGTCTCCCATCATTCTGGACCTCGCAGGGTCTCTCTATGAAGCACAGGAACCACAACAAAGGCAGGTCCAATAGGGAGCAGTGTTCTCAAACCTCGAACTGGCCTCTCACCAGTGCAGATGAGGTTGAGATAGTGTCTCTGAGGCCATCTGTGGCCATGGCAAGACAGAAAAGGATGTCCAGTAGTGCTGTTGAGGGGCACTGTGGACTTCCCAGGAAAGCAAAGAAAAATCAAGGCTCGTGTGTGAGAAAAAGATGGCTTGTGCTAGAGTCTAAGCAACATTCAAAAATTCCTGTCAGAGAACTCAAAAAACTCCTGCAAAGTGCAAGCAACACATAACAAGACACTGATCCACAACCTGGAGTGCCACCAAACCTACCCAGAGTCTGTTTTGCTCCCTGAAATCCTTGGCAGCCCATAGATCTATTGTAAGAGGCAGCCCCATCCAGCAACAGCCCAATGAAAGACCACCTCCACAATGAGAAAGGATGTGCAGATGCAATGAAACAGAGCATAGATTACCAGGCAAAAGCCAAACACAGCTGCCTGCTTCTCATCCTACAGGACTCATGCAGCACTCCGATAAAAGTTGAAGAGCAAGAGTTTCCTTGTTGTTGGCTGTAACAGGAATTTATGGTTTCAAAATTATCACAGGGGCCAAGTCACTAAAACGTGACAGTGTTTAGAAGGAAACACTGGGAAAACTTTATCGTGGAATACATGAACCAGATCCAGGAAACCCTAGGCTGACAAGAAATACGGAAGACAGGAAAAGAAGAGGCAAGTGTGGAGGCCACATCCCACCTTGTGTCTATCATTCTCACTTTCAATGGGAGCCGAGTATGAAAGCCCTCAAATTTGCAGTTTGCCAGGATGGCCCCAGTTTGCACTTCAAATGTTCTCTGCATGTTGGAGTACTCCCACCTGAACACCAGGCCATAGTGTGAACTACTTGTGTAATTAAAGAAATGTGAGGATGCAGTTGGAATCACTTTCTGTGTCATCTGTCTTCACATTTTTTGCAATTGGAAGTGTGGGACCCCATCCACTTCTCACCAGATTGCATCCTTACCCCTTCTGACCTTATTGCTATTCATGTTCTCTTTCCCTAAATGAAATCCCAAGATGATCTAGGAGTTCCTTCTCAGGACGTGGAGCATCTGCTCAGCTAGGAAGCAAATTCAAGGTAAATTCAAGGGGCTGTGAGGACAGGAATGCTAGTGTTTCCTCCGGGGATGGCCATAGAACAAGGTAATACAGAGGGATGTCCTTTCTTGGATGTGGTGTGCTCCTCTTCTTTCTAGAAGAGTAGCTTTATTTGCAGGCAGAGGTGATGTGGACTTCGGTGTGTCACAGCCAGCCTCCCACTACACTTTGGATTCATGATCCAGAGCAAAATAAAAAACGTGGAGCCCTGCAGCCCAAGCAGAGCCACACAGACAGGTGAACTAAAGGTTGGGAGACAAAAAAAAAAAAGTTGCTGCAGTGCGTTAGCCACATTCCTTTAAGCAGACACAGTGCCAAAAAAGCCACACCCATAGGCAGACATCAAAGACTCAATACTTTCACAGAAACACACAGCTCGGCAGATTCTGAGGCTGCATGGTTCTGCAGAAAGCCTTACCTGGGAGATAACAACTCTGGGCAACACAGGCGGGTTGCACCTAAAAATCACAGTGGGTAAAGTTTCATAAAGACTCACCTCTGCACACCTAGGCAGGCCTGAGGCACCCTTCAGATCCTTTTGGAACCTTACGGATTTCGCGGTTTATTCCTGGGGTTTGCTTGACGTATCTTCCAGCTGGCTCTTGTCTGCTCTCCCCTAGGATCGTGGGACTATCCTGTGGATCCCACAGAGAAGAGAGAGGACAGTCCACCACTGATGCACCTCCACAGAGGTCTCCTTCTCCGCCAAACCTCACGGAATTGTGACATTCATGGTGAGGCTAGCCAGAGCTCACAGCTTAGGCCCGGTGCCCTGAGACTAACGCATGTGCATTTGTGGGTGGCTCAGCACCTGTGTGTCAGAGGAAAATGGTACAGGCAGGGCCGGCCTGGTACTGGGGAAAAAGCTGCTCCATGTGATAACCCACTGTGGAACCCTAAAAGTCTCAAACTTAGGGCCCCTTTCCGCCGTACCTGTGATCCGGTTCCACTAGAGGAGGAGGTGTTTAGACTGAGGGGGTTGTTGAGAACTTCCTGAAAGAGGCTGTGTGCAAGATCAGGTCTCATGGGGATTGGAAGGTTGTCTGGTGAGTTGTGGAAGGTTCTTTCAGTGATAGCATCATACGTGTGACCCTACAGGTGGGTGCCAGTGAAATATGACCAGGTTCTTAACCTCACTGCCCCCACCCATCCTGAGCCTCGCAGGGGCTCTTGTTGAAAGGCAGGAACCATGACAAAGGCAAGTCCAAGGTGGAACAGTATTCTCACAGCTCTAAGTGGCCTCTCACGGTTGCAGATGAGGTTGAGACAGTGTCTCAGAGGACATCTGTGATGATTGCAATCCTGAAAAGTTTGTCAGGTAGTGCTGTTAAAGGGCACTGTGGACCCCCCATATAAGCAAAGGAAAATCAAGGCTCACAGGAGAGAACGAGCTGTCGTGTGCTGTAGTCAAAGCAACATTTAGAGATTTCTGTCAGAAGACCCAAAAGCCTCTTGCAAATTGCAAATAATCTCAGCCCCCACAAGGAAACCATGACCCCAAACCTAAAGCACAGCCAGTCTACCCAAAGTCCCTTTTGCTCTCTGAAATCCCTGGCAGCCAATAAGTCTGTGGCAAGAGGTAGCACCATCCAGTAACAGCCCAATGAAAGAGCCCTCCACAATGAAAAAAGACCAGCAGATGAAATGAAACAGAGCCTAGCTTCCCAGGCAAAAGCCAGGTACAGCTGCCTGCTTCTCCTCCTACAGGTATCAAGCAGCTGTCTGATAAAAGCTGGATAAGAAGAGTTTCCTTCTTGGCTACTGTTACAGAAATTTATGGTTTTAAAACAATCAAAGTTGCCCAGTCATTAAAACCCAATAGTATTTAGAAGAAAACACTCATGAAATGGATTCCCTTGAGGGTCGTCTTCCATTAAGTGGTAAACATTTAATGTGGAATATGTACAGCCAGACCCAAGAAACCTTAGGCTGATGAGGTACATGGATGTCAGGAAAATAAGAGGTAAGTATGGTGTCCACATCAAACCTTACATCAAATGGCCTCACTCCCATTTGGCTCCTGGTATAAAGGCCCTCAAATAGGGAGTTTGCCAGGATGGCTCCAGTTTGCACTCCAAACATTCCCTGCATATTGGGGTGCTCCCAAATGTACACCAGGCCATGGTGTGGATGGCTTGTATATTTAAGGAAATGTGGGGATGCAGTTGGAAGCACCTTCTGTAACATCTGTCATCACATTTTTTTGCAGGCGAATGTGCGGGACCCCATCCATCCCTCACCAGCTTGTATCCTCAGCTTTATCTGAAGTTAAAAGTATCTTTCCCATAATGAAATCCAAAGATGATGGAAGAGTGCCCCCTCACGGTGTGGAGGTCCTGCTTGGCTAGCAACTGAATATGAAGTAAATTCAAGGGACCCTGTGGACCGGACTGCTAGTGTTTCTAAATGGGGTGTACACTGGACAATAAAACACTGAAAGATTTCTGTTCCTGAATTTCCTGTGCTCCTCTTCTTTCTAGAAGTGTGGCTTTGTTTGTTTGTTTGTTTTGTTTTTGTGGGGGGAGGTTATTTGGACCATGGCGGGTCTCATGCCATCTCTCAATTTATGGCAGATTCATGATCTGCAGAAAAATAAAGAACACAGAACCCAGCAGCCCAAGCAGAGCCACACAGATAGGCCACAAAAAGTTTGGGAGACTCAAAAACAAAGAAGAGCTACAGTGTGTTAACCACATTTTTTAAAGCAGATTCCACTTACAGACACACACACACACACAAACACAGACAACCAACACTGGCAACACTCCCACAGAAACACACTCCCAGCAGCTTCTGAAGCTGTGTGGTTCTGCAGGAAGTCCCACTTGGGAGAGAGCAATCCTGGGGAACACAGGCATGCTGTATGTAGAAACCACAGTGGGACAAGTTTCAAAAGACCCCCTGCAACGTCTAGGCAGGCCTGAGGCATCTGCAGACCCTTTAGCATAGTTAAGGAATTCACAGATTATTCCTGGGGCCCTGCTTGATGCTTCTTCATGCTGGCTCACATCTGCCCTCTCCTAGGATCATGGGACTATCCCAAGGATTCAACAAAGAAGAGAGGCGAGAGTCTACCGTGAAGCATCTTCATGGAGGTCTCCTTCTCTGCCAAGACACAGGGACTTTTCACTAGGAAAAGTGTTATTCATTGTGAGGCTAACTGGAGCTCACAGCTCAGGGGTGGTGCCCTGAGACTAGCACATGCACATTCACGAGGCAGGCTTAGGTGCTAGGCTGTCAGAGCTAAGCAAAGGAAAATGGTACAGGCAGATCCAGCCTCATATCGGGAGAAAGGCTGCCTGCGATAACCAACTGTGGGAACCTAAATATGTCAACCTTAGCACCCCTTCCATCCATCTCCTTGGTCGGGTCCCACTGGAGGAAGAGGTGTTTTCAGACTGTTAGGTTGTCATGGAAAACTGCTCTTCTGACTTCATTCCCGAAAGAGGCTATTTGTAAGAATCAGGTCCCATAGGGATGGGAATAGAGTCTGGTGAGTTGTTGAGGGGTCCTTTTATCATGGAATCATACGTGAGACTCCATAGGTGTTTGTCAGTGAAATATGGCCAAGCCCTTGTCCCCATTGCCTCTCTTCATTCTGGGCCCCCCAGGGGCTATCTGGGAAAGGCATGAACCACAACAAATGCAAGTCCAAGTTGGATCAGAGTTCTCAAACCTCAAAATGCCCTCTCACGGAGGCAGATGACGTTGAGACATTGTCTCAGAGGTCATCTGTGGCTATTGCAAGCCTGAAAATTGTGTCCTATAGTACTGTTGGGTGGCAATGGGGACACCCCATGAAAGCACAAAAAACTCACGGCTTGCCTGAGAGAAAGAGCTGACTTTTGTTGGAGTCCTAGCAACATTCAAAGACTCCTGTCGGCATACCCAAAAGCCTCCTGAGAAGTGCAAACAATGTCAGCCTCCACAACGAGACCATGATCCACAACTTGAAATGCAGCCAGCCTACCTGAAGGCCCTTTTGCTCCCTAAAATCGCTGGCAGCCAAAAGATCTGTGGTGAGTGGCAGTTACAACCAGCAACAGCTGAAAGACCCTCTCCACAATGAGAAAGGATCTGCAGTCGAAATGAAACAGACTATAGATCACCAGGCAAAAGTCAGACATGGCTGCATGCTTCTCATCCTACAGGAATCATGCAGCCATCTGATAGAAGAGGGAGAACAAGAATTTCCTTGTTGGTGTCAGTACTGGGAATTTATGGTTTTAAATACATTACAGATGTCCAGTCATTGAATTCTGACAGTGTAATCTGTCTTCACCATTTTTACAGGTGAATGTGCAGGAACCTATCTACCCCTCACAAGATCGTATCTTCACACCTGTCTGACCTTATTGCTGCTTGTACTCTCTGTCCAAGAACAAAATCCCAAGATAATGGAGGATTGTGACAAAAAGCACCTGTTCAGCTGGGAATCAAATTCCTGGTAGATTCAAGGGGCCCTGCGGACAGGACTGAAAGTGCCTGTCCCTGGGTTTGCTGCAGAACATGAAACACTGGGAGATGTCTGTTCTAGGGTGTGGTTTGCTATTCCTCTTTCTAGAAGAGTTTTTTGTTTTGTTTTGCTTTGTTTTTTGCAGTGGTACATAATTTAATTTTGGCATGTCTAGCCAATCTCCCAATTCACTGTGGATTCATGATCCACAAAAAAAGAAAGAAAGAAAGAAAGGACATGTAATGCCACAG
This sequence comes from Homo sapiens, assembly GCF_000001405.40. Taxonomy (NCBI): domain Eukaryota; kingdom Metazoa; phylum Chordata; class Mammalia; order Primates; family Hominidae; genus Homo; species Homo sapiens. The sequence goes on along the minus strand of NC_000024.10, from coordinate 9,704,571 downwards.
ACCAAGAAGGGCCACACAAACAGGCCACCAAAAGTTTGACAGACTCAAAAATAAGTAGTGCTGAAGTGTAATAGCCACATTCATTTAAGCAGATTCCACTTACAGGCACACACACACACACCCACACACACAAACACAGCCACACCAACATTCGCAACACTCCCACAGAAACACACAGCCAAGCAGCTTCTGAGGCTGCATGGTTCTGCAGGAAGCTCCACCTGAAAGAGACCATCCCTAGGGAACACAGGTGGGCTGAATCTAGAAATCACAGTGGGACAAGTTTCAAAAAGACTAACCAATACAGAGAAATGCAAATCAAAACCACAATGAGATACCATCTCACACCCGTTAGAATGGCAATCATTAAAAAGTCAGGAAACAACAGTTGCTGGAGAGGATGTGGAGAAATAGGAACACTTTTACACTGTTGGTGGGACTGTAAACTAGGTCAACCATTGTGGAAGTCAGTGTGGCGATTCCTCAGGGATCTAGAACTAGAAATACCATTTGACCCAGCCATCCCATTACTGGGTATATACCCAGAGGATTATAAATCATGCTGCTATCAAGACACATGCACCTGTATGTTTATTGCGGCATTATTCAGAATAGCAAAGACTTGGAACCAACCTAAATGTCCAACAATGATAGACTGGATTAAGAAAATGTGGCACATATACACCATGGAATACTATGCAGCCATAAAAAATGATGAGTTCATGTCCTTTGTAGGGACATGGATGAAATTGGAAATCATCATTCTCAGTAAACTATCGCAAGAACAAAAAACCAAACACCGCATATTCTCACTCATAGGTGGGAATTGAACAATGAGATCACATGGACACAGGAAGGGGAATATCACACTCTGGGGACTGTTGTGGGGTGGGGGGAGGGGTGAGGGATAGCATCGGGAGATATACCTAATGCTAGATGACGAGTTAGTGGGTGCAGCACACCAGCATGGCACATGTATACATATGTAACTAACCTGCATAATGTGCACATGTACCCTAAAACTTAAAGTATAAAAAAAAGTTCATATAATAATAGTTATGTAATGGACTCATGAGAATATAATAAAATTAACTGATAAATGTGCTTTATAATATCAAATATTAATTAAATATATAATATAAAAACTGAGAAAAAAAAAGACTAACCAATACAATGTCTAAGAAGGCTTGAGGTCTTTTGCAGATCTTTTTGGATCCTTAGGGATTTCACAGTTTATTCCTGGGGCTTTGCTTGATGTTTCTTCAGGCTGGTTTGCAGCCGGCATCAATCTATTCCACTTTCATTTGGCTATAGCAATGAAAGTCCTTAAATCAGGAGTTTTCCAGGATGGCCTCAATTTGCACTCCAAATCTTCCTTGCACATTGGAGTACTCCCCCTTGAACAGTGGGGCATTGGTGTGAACTGGTTGTGCAATTAAGGGAATGTGGGGATGGAGTTAGAAGCACCTTCTGTATCATCTTTCATTTTTTTTTGCTGGACCGCATCTGCCCCTCACCAGATTGTATCCTCACTCCTATCTGACTTTATTGATTGTCACACTCTATGTCCTACAATGAAATCCCAAGATGATGGAGGGTGCCTTCTCACGACGTGAAGCACCTAGCTGGCTGGGAACCGAATATGAGGTAAATTCAAAAGGCCTGTGGACAAGACTGCTAGTGTGCTCCCTGGGTTTCCTGCAGGACAATGAATCTCTGGGAGAGGTTTGTCTTTTTGGTGTGGTGTGCTCCTCTTACTTCTAGAAGGGTGCCTTTTTTTGCATGGGGAGGTGATTTGGAGGCCAGCCTGTCTCTCAATTCATTTTCAATTAATGAACCACAGAAAAATAAAGAACACTGAGCCCTGCAGCCCAAGCAGAACCACACAGACAGGCCAACAAAAGGTTAGGAGACTCAAAAAAAAAAAAAAAAAAGGAAGGACTGAAGTTCATTAGCCACATTCCTTTAAGCACACTCCACTTACAGGCACACACAGACATACACATACTCACACAAACCCACAATAACACACACACACACACACACACACACACGCAAACATCCAACACTCGCAACTTTGTCACAGAAACACATATCCCGGCAGTTCCTGAGGCTGCATGGTTCTGCAGGAAGCCCCACCTTGGAGAGAGCAACCCTGGGGAACACAGGTGGGATGCACCAAGAAGTCAGAGAGGGCCAAGTTTCAAAAAGAGTCACCCCTACAACATCTAGGCAGGCCTGAGGAAACCTGCAGATCCCTTTGGATCATTACAGATTTCACAGTTTATTCCTGGGCCGGTGCTTGATGTTTCTTCAGGCTGGCTCATGTCTACACCCTCCTAGGATCATGGGACTATCTCAGGGATCCCACAGAGAAGACAGGTGAGAGTCCACGGCCGACGCTCCCCCATGGAGGTTTCCTTCTCTGCCAAGCTGCAGGGACTTGATGCTAGGCAATGGTGAAGTTCACTGTGACACTAGCCATAGCTCACAATTAGGCCTGGTGCCCTGAGACTAGCACATGCGCTTTTGTGAGGCAGGCTTGGGCATCTGTGAGTCATAGCTGTCAGCCTGCCTAAGCAGAGGAAAATGGTACAGCCAGAGCTAGCCTGGTATCAGGAAAAAGGTAGCCTGTGAAAATCCACCGCAGGATCATAAAAGGCTCAACTTTAGGGCCCTTTCAGTGCATCTCCACTGTCAAGTTCTGCTGGAGAAGGAGATGTTTCCAGACTGTGAGGTGGTCACTGGAAACTGCTCTTCTGATTCTATTCTTGAAAGAGACAGTGTGCAAGAATTGGGTCCCACTGGGATTGGAATATTGTCTAGTTTGTTTTTGAGGATACCTTGTGTGACGGAATCATATCTGAGACCCCCGAGGTGGGTGTCAGCAAAAGATGTCCAGGATCTTGACCTCACTTCCTCCCTTTATTCTATGCCTTACAAGGGCTCTTTGGGAAAGGCAGGAACCAGAAAAGAGGCAAGTCCAAGGTGGAGCAGTGTTCTCACACCTCAGACAGGCCACTCAAGGGTGCAGATGAGGTTGAGACAGGGTCTCAGTGGCAGTCTGTGGTGATGGCAAGCCGAAAAAAGGTGTCCAGCGGTGCTGTTGAGGCACATTGTGGATTCCCTATGAAAACAAACAAACAAAAAATCAAGGCTCACCTGAGAGAACTGGCTGCCTTGTGCTGGAGTCCAAGCAATGTTCAATTCTTCCTGTCAGAGGACCCAACACCCTCAGGCAAAGTGCAAACCACCTCATCCCACACAACCAGAAAACAACCCACAACCTAAAGCACAGCCAGCCTACATGAAGTCCCTTTTGCTCTCTTAAATAGCTGGCAACTAAATAATCTGTGGTGAGAGGCAGTCCCATCCAACAAAAGCCCAGTGAAAGAGACCATCCACACTGAGGAGGCCATGCAGATAAAATAAAACAGAGGCAAGGCTGCCAGGCAAAAGCTAGACATGGCTGCCTGCTTCTCATCCTGCAGGAATCAAGCAGCCCCCTAACAGAAGTGGGAGAACAAGAGTTTCCTTGTTAGTGGCTGTAACGGGAATTCATGGTTTTAAATATGTCAAAGCTGCCAAGTCATTAAAATGTGACAGTGTTTAGAAGGAAATGCTAATGCAATGGATTCCATAAGCGCCTCTCTCCATGAACTGGGAAATGTTTAATGTGGAAGTCCTTGAGCCAGACACAGGAAACACTAGGCCGATGAGGTGGAGGCCCACATTCTATCCAGCATCAATCCATTCCACTCACATTTGGCTCTGAATATGAAAGCCCTCAAATCAGCAGTTTGTCAGGATATCCCGAATTTGCAGTCCAGATGTTTTGTGCACATTGGAGTCCTCCCACTTCAACACTGCACCTTGGTGGGGACTGCTTGTGCAATTAAGGGAATGAGGGGATGAAGTTTGAAACACCTTCTGTGTCATCTGTCTTCATTTTTATTGCAGGTGAAGTTGCAGGACCCATTCACTTCTCACCAGATTGGATCCTCCACCCTACCTGACCTTATTGCTGCTCACACTCTATGTTCCAGGATGAAGTCCCAAGACGATGGAGGAGTGCCCCCTCACAGCATGAAGCACCTCCTAGGCTGTCAACCGAATTCAAGGTAAATACAAGGGGCTCTGCGGACAGGACTGCTAGTGTCTCTACCTGGGTTGGCTACAGGACAATGAAACACTGGAAGATGTTTGTTTTTCAGTGTAGTGTGCTCCTCTTCTTTCTAGAAGAGTGGCTTTTTTTTTTTGCAGGGGGAGGTGATTTGGATGGCGGTGGGATTTGGCAAGCTTCTAATTCACTGCGGATTCATGATCCGCAGATCAATAAAGAAAACACAGCCCAAGCAGACCCAACAAACAGTCCACCAAAAGGTGTTGAGACTCAAGAAAAGTAGCGCTGAAGTGGATTAGCCACATTTCTTTAAGCAGACTCCACTTACAGGCACAAACACACACACACACACAGACAACACAAACACGCTGTGCCACACACACACGCAGACATCCAACATTTGCAACACTCCCACAGAAACACACAGTGAGGCAGCTCTAGAGGCTGTGTCATTCTGTAGGAAGCCCCACCTAAGAGAGAGCAACCCCAGGGAACACAGGTGGGCTGCACCTAGAAATCACAGCGGGGAAAGTTTCAAAAACACTCACCCCTACAATGTGTAGGCAGGCCTGAATAATCCTTCTGATATTTTTGGACGCTCAGGGATTTTGTGGTTTATTCCTGGGGCTGTGCTTGACATTTCTTCAGGCTGGCTCCCACTTGCCCTCTCCCAGGATTATGGAACTATCCCATGGATCCACAGAAAAGACAGGCAAGAGTCCCCTGTGGATGCACTTCCACAGAGGCCTCCTGCATTGCCAAGATGCAGGAACTTTTTGCTAGACAATGGTGACATTAATTGTGACGCTAGCCAGAGCTCACAATCAGGAATGGTGCCCTGAAACCAGCTTATATGCATTCATGAATCAGGCTCGGGCACCCAGCTGTCAGAGCTGTCAGCCTTCCTAAGCCAAGTAAAATACTACAGGCAGAGTTGTCCTGGTATCATGAAAAGGGAGGCCTGCAAAACCCACTATGAGAACCTAAAAGTCTTGACCTCAGCTCCCCTTCAGGCCATCTCTGTGGTCAGGTCCCACCAAAGGAGGAAGAATATCAATACTGTGAGGTGGTCTGTGGAAACTACTTTTCTGTCTCCCTTTTTGAAAGAGGCTGTGTGAAAGAATTATGTCCCGTGGACATTGGAATAAAGTCTAGTATGTTTTTGATGGTTCTTTGGATGATAGAATCATACCTGAAACCCCAGGGCCTGGTGTCAGTGAAAGATGGCCAGGACCTTGACCTCACTGCCTCCCTTCATCCTGAGCCTTGCAGAGCCTCTGTGGGAAAGCAGGAGCCACAGCAAAGGAAAGTCCAAGGTGGAGCCCTACTCTCAGGCCTTGGACTGGCCACTCACAGGTGAAGACAAGGTTGAGACCAGTGTCTCAGAGGCCATCTGTGATGATGGCATGCCTAAAAAGGGTGTCCAGTAGTGCTGCTAAGGGGCACTGTGGATTCCCCATGAAAGCAAAGAAAAATTAAGGCTCACCTGAGAGAATGAGCTGCCTTGCGCTGGAGTCCAAGCAATGTTCAGTGATTCCTGTCAGAGGACCCAAAAACCTCCTGCAAACTGCAAGCAAACTTAGCCCCCAAAATAAGACCATGAACCACAAACTTGAGTGCAACCAGTCTCTGCAAAGTCACTTTTGCTCTCTGAAATCCCTGTTAGCAAAATAATCTGTGGCAAGAGGCAGTCCCATCCAGCAAGAGCTCAATGAAAGAACCCCTCCGCAGTGAGAAGGCTATGCAGATGAAATGAAACAGAGGCTAGATTGCCAGGCAAAAACCCATACATGGCTGCCTGCTTCTCATCCTACAATAATCATGCAGCCCTCCAATAGAAGTGGGAGAACAAGTGTTTTCTTATTGGTGGCTGTAACAAGAATTTACTGTCTTAAAAGTATTAAAGCTTCCCAGTCATTAAAATATGACAATGTTTAGAAGGAAACAATCACACAGTGGATTCCCATGATGGTCGTTCTCCATGAACTGGGTAACGTTTAGTGTGGAAGTCATTGAGCCATACCCAGGAAACCCTAGCCTGATGAGGAACATGAAAATCAGGAAACTAAGAGGGAAGTCTGGAGGCCATATCATACCCAGCATCAATCCAGTCCACTCCCATTTGGCTCCGGGTATGAAAGCTTTCAAATCTGGAGTTTGCCAGGGTTGCCCCAATTTGCACCCCAAATGTTCCTTGCACTGTGAAGTACTCCCATCTGAACATACAGTGATGGAGTTTGAAGCACCTTCTGTTTCATTTGTCTTCATTTTTCTGCAGGTGAGGTTGTGGGACCCTATCCACCGCTCACCAGATTGTATCCTCACACCTATCTGACCTCATTGCGGCTCACACTCTATGTCCCAGGATGAAATCCCAAGAAAATAGAGGAGTAACCCCTCATGATGTGAAGCACCTGCTCAGCTGGGAATTGAATTTGAGGTAAATTCATGGAGACCTGAGGACAAGACTGCTAGTGTGTCTCCCTGATTTGGCCACAGGAAAATGAAACACCGGGAGATATCTGCTTTTTGGTGAAAGAATCTGATTTCCTGGGTATTGGAATGTAGTCTGGTGTGTTGATTAGTGTTCTTTGGGTGACAGAATCACACCTGAGACCCCAGAGATGGGTTCCAGTTGAAGATGGCTGGACTCTAGATCTCACTGCCTACCTTTATTTTGGGCCTCGCAAGGGCTCTCTGGGACAGACCGGAACCACAACAAAGTCAAGTGTATGATTGAGGAGTGTTCTTGCACCTCAGACTTTCCACTATTGGGTGCAGATGAGGTTGAGTCAGTATCTCAGAAACGATGTGTGGTGATGGCAAGCCTGAAAAGGGTGTCCAGTAGCACTGTTGAAGGGCACTGTGGATTCACCCAATAAACCAAAAAAAAAAAAAAAAATTGGCTCACATGAGAGAATGTGCTGCCTCATGCTGAAATTTAAGCAATGTTCAATAATTCCTGCCAGAGGACCCAAAAGCCTCCTGCAAAGTGCAAGCAACCTCAGCCCCCATGAAGAGACAATTATGCACAACCTGGAGCACAGCGATTTTTCCTAAAGTCCCTTTTGCTGTGTGAAATCCTTGGCAGCTAAATAATCTGTGTAAGGCAGTCCCATCCAGCATCATCCCAACAAAGAGTACCTCTACAATGAGAATGCCATGCAAAAGAAATGAAACTGAGGCTCTATTACCAGGCAAATCCAGACATGGCTGCCTGCTTCTCATCCTACAGAAATCATGTGGCTTTCTGATAGAAGTGGGACAAGACTTTCCTTCTTGGTGGCTGTAATGGGAATTTATGGTTCTAAAAGTATTAAAGCTGCACAGTTATTCAAACCTGAGAGTGTTTAGAAGGAAACACTCATGCAATGGATTCCCATGAGGATCATTTTCCATGAACAGAGAAACATTTAGTATGGAAGTCATTGAGCCATACCCAGGAACCCCTAGGCTGATAAGGAACATAAAATCAAAAAAGGAGAGGCAAGTGTGGAGGCCACATCTTACCCATTATCAATCCTTTCCACTCCCATTTAGCTCCGGGTATGAAAACCCTCAAAACAGGAGTTTGCCAGTGTGACCCCAGTTGGCACTCCAAATATTTCTTGCCCATTGAAAATACTCTTACCAGAGCACCAGGCAATGGTGTGGACTGCTTGTGCAATTAAGGGAATGCTGGAATATATTTGGAAGCACCTTCTCTGTCATCTGTCTTCATTTTGTATTTTTGCAGGTGAAGTTGAAGGACACCATCCACCCCTCAGCAGATTATATCCTTTCCCATCTGACCCTATTTCTACTCACACTCTGTGTCCCAAGATGAAATCACAAGATGATGGAGAACTGCCCTCTCACGATGTGAAGCATCTGCTCAGCAGAGAACCAATTTGAGGTAAATTCAAGGGGCCCTTTGGACAAGATTGCTAGTGTCTCTCCCTAGTTTGGCCACAGTACAATCAAACTCTAGGAGATGCCTGCTTTTTTGATTTCATGTGCCCCTCTTCTATCAAGAAGAGTGGCTTTTTTTGCATGGGTGGGGGTGATTCGGACACCACCGCATCCCAGCCCACCTCCCAATTCACTGAGGATTCATGATATATGGAAGAATAAAGAACACAGAGCCCCACAGCCAAAGAAGAGACATCCAGACAGGCCATCAAAAGTGGTGAGGCTCAAAAAAAAAAAAAATCACTGAAGTGCATTAGCCACATTCCTTTAAGCAGGCTCCACTCCACTTACAGGCACACACACACACACATGCAGAAATCAAGCACTCACAACATTCCCTCAGAAACACACAGCCCAGCAGCTCCTGCGGTTGTGTGGTTTTGCGGGAAGCCCCACCTGGGAGAGAGCAACCCCAGGGAACAAAGGCAGGCTATACCTAGAAATCACAGTGGGGCCAGTTTGAAAAAGACTCACCCCCTACAACATCTAGGCAGGCCTAAGGAATCCTGCAGATTATTTTGGATCCTCAGGGATTTGCAGTTTATTTCTGGGGCTCTGCTTGATATTATTTCAGGCTGGCTCATATCTGCCCTCTCCTTGGATCATGGGACTATCCTGTCGATTCCACAGGGAAGACATGGGACAGTCCACCGAAGACACACATCCACGGAGGTCCCTTTATCTGCCAAGCCACAGGGACTTGTTGCTAGGCAACGGTGGCATTCACTGTGAGGCTAGCCAGAGCTCACAATCAGGCCTGGTGCTTTTAGACTAGGGTATGCACATTGTCAGGCAGGCCCAGATGCCCGGCTTTCAGAGCTGTCAATGGGCTTAAGCAGAGGAAAATGGTACAGGCAGAGCCAGCCTGGTATTGAGAAAAAGGCTGCCTATGAAAACCCACTTTGGGATCATAAAAGTCTCAACCTCAAGGCCTCTTTGGGGCATCTCCGTGGTCAGGTCCCACTGGAGGAAGAGGTGTTTCAAGACTGTGAGGTCATCGCCAGAAACTTATCTTCTGCCTCCATTTCAGAAAGAGGCTGTGTGCAAGAATTGGGTCCCACGGGTCTGGAATATTGTCTGGTGTGTTGTTGAGGGTTTGTTGGGTGACAGAATCATGCCTGAGACCCCAGACATTGGTGTCAGTGAAAGATGGCCAGGCTCTTGACCTCCCCCTCTCCCTTCATCCTGGGCCTTGCAGGGGCTCTCGGGGAAAGGCAGGAGTTACAAAGGCAAGTCCAAGGTGATGCAGTGTCCTCACACCTCTGACTGGCCTCACATGGTTGCAGATGAGGTTGAGATAGTGTCTCAGAGGCCAACTGTGGTGATAGCAAGCCTGAAAAAGGTGTCCAGTACATTGTGCTGGAGTTGAAGCATTGTTCAATGATCCTTTTCAGAGGACCCAAAAGCCCCTTCTGAAGTGCATACAACCTCAGCTCCCGCAATGAGACAATTACCCACAACCTGGGGAGCAGACTCTAGACCTCACTGAGTCCCTTCATCCTGTGCCTCACAGGGGCTCTCTGAGACAGACAGAAACCACGGCAAAGGTAAGTCCAAGGGGAAGCAGCATTCTCACACCTGGGACTGGCCTCTCACGTGTGCAGATGAGGTTGAGACAGTGTCTCAGAGGCCATCTGTGGTGATGGCAAGACTGAAGAATGTGTCCAGTAGTGCTTTTGAGGGGCACTGTGGATTCCCCATGAAAACAGAAAAACTAAGGCTTGACTCAGAAAAATAGCTGCTTTGAGCTGGAGTCCAAGCAATGTTCAATGATTCCTGTTAGAGGACCCAGAAGCCTCCTGCAAAGTGCAAAAAAACCTCAGTCCCCATAACAAGACAATGACCCACAACCTGGAGCACATCCAGCCTACCCAAAGTCCCTTTTGCTTTCTGAAATTTCTGGCAGCAAAATAATCTGTTGTGAGAGGCCATCCCTTCCAGCAACAGCCCAGTGATAGAGCTCCTCCACAATGAGAAGGTCATGCAGTTGAAATGAAACTGAGGCTAGATTCCCAGGCAAAAGCCAGACTTGGGTGTCAGCTTCTCATCCTATGGGAATCATGCAGCCCTCCAATAGAAGTGAAAGATCAAGAGGTTTCTTGTTGGCAGCTGTAATGGGAATTTACAATTTTAAAAGTATCAAACTTGCCTAGTCATTAAAATGTGACAGTTTTTAGAAGAAAACACTCAGGCAATGCATTCCCATGAGGGTCACACTTTGGGAACTGAGAAACATTTAGTGTGGAAGTTGTTGAGCCAGACCAAGGAAGCCCTAGGCCAATGTGGAATATGGAAGTCAGAAAAAGAAGAGGCAAGTGTAGATGCCACATGCCACCCAGCATCAATCAATTCCACTCCGATTTGCCTCTGGGTATGAAAAACCTCAAATCAAGAGTTTGCCAGGAGGGCCCCAATTTTCATTCCAAATGTTGCTTACATAATGAAGTACTCCCACCTGAACACTGGGCCATGGTGTGGACTGCTTGTGCAATTAAGGGAATGCTGGGATGGAGTTGGAAGCACCTGCTATGTCATCTGTCTTCATTTACTAATTAATTAATTAATTTATTTATTTTTGCAGGCAAAGTTGCTGGACCCAGTTCACCCCTCACAAGATTGTATCCTCACTCCTCTCTGACCTTATTGTGGCTCATACTCTATGTCCCAGAATGAAATCCCAAGATGATGGAAAAATATCCCTTCATGATGTGAAGCACCTGCTCAGCAATGAAATGAATTTGAGGTAAATTCAAGGGGCAACCAGAAGTTTGGAAGACTCAAAAAAAGAAGCACTGAAGTGCATTATCCACAGTCCTTTAAGCAGACTCCAGTTAAAGGCAAACACACACACACTCACACACACACACACACACACCCCTAAGCACACAATGGCACACACACATGCAGACATCCAACACTCACAACATTTTCACAGAAACAAGCAGCCTGGTAGCTCCTGAGTTTGGTTGGTTCTTCAGGAAGACCCACCTAGGAGAGAGCAACACCAGAGAATACAGTCAGGGTGTACCTAGAAATCACAGTGGGGCAAGTTTCAAAACTACTCACCCCCACAACATCTAGGCAGACCTGAGGAGACTTGCAGATCTTTTTGATCATTAAGGATTTCACGGTTTATTCCTGGAGCAGAGCCAGCCTAGTACTGGGGAAAATGCTGCCTCAGAAAACTCACTATCAGACCATAAAAGTCTTCACCTCAGGCCCCCTTTGGGCTGTCTCCGTGGTTGGGTCTCGCTGGAGGAAGAGGCATTTTGAGACTGCGAGGTGATCATTGGAAACTGCTCTTCTGGCTCCATTCCAGAAAGAAACTGTGTGCAAGAGTCAGATCCCATGGGGATTGGAATATAGCCTGGTAGGTTGTTTAGAATTTTTGGGTGATAGATTTATACCTGAAACCTGAGACCACAGAGCCAGGTGTCAGTGAAAGATAGCCAAGCTCTTGACCTCACTGCTTCCCTTTATCTTGACCTCACTGGGGCTTTCTGGGAAAGGCAGAATCCAAGACAAAGTTAAGACTAAGGTATTACAGTATTCCCACACCTCAGACTGGCCTCTCACGGGTGCAGATAAGGTTGAGACAGTGTCTTAGAGGCCCTCTGTGGTGATGGCAAGCCTGAAAAGGGTGTCCAGTAGTGCTGATGAGGGGCACTGTGGATTCCCCAAGAAAGCAAAGAACAATCAAGGCTCACCTGAGAAAATGAGTGCCTTTTGCTGGAGTATAAGCAATGTTCAATGATTCTTGTCAGAGGACTCAAATCTTGCAAAGTGCAAACAACCTCAGCCCGCACAATGATGCAATCACCCACAACCTGGAGTGCAACCAGCCTACCCAAAGTCCCTTTTGCACTTTGAAATCCCTGACAGCTAAATAATTTGTGGAGAGAGGTAGTCACATCTGGCAATAGCCCAATGAAATTGTCTCTCCACAATGAGAAAGGATATGCAGATACAATGAAACACATCCTAGATTACCAAGCAAAAGCCAGACACACCGGCCTCCTTCTCATGCTCCAGGAATACACTGTCCTCTGATAAAAGTTGGAGAGCAACAGTTTCTTTTCCCACAACTGTAATGGGAATTTATGGTTTTACATATATCAAAGCAGCCCAGTCATTAAAATGTGACAGTGTTTGTAAGGAAACATTCGTGCAACGGATTCCCATGAGTGTCATCCTCTGTGAACTAGGAAACATTTAGTGTGCAAGACATTTAGCCAGACCCAGGAAACCCTAGGCAGATGGGGAACATGGAAGTCAGGAAAAGAAGAGGCAAGTGTGGAGGCCACATCCCACCCAGCATCAATCCATCCCACTCCCATTCGGCTATCATAATGAATCTGGGGTTTGCCCAGATGGCCCCAGTTTGCACTCCAAATGTTCCTTTCATGTTGGAGTACTCCCAGATGAACATGGGGCCATGGTGTGCGCTGCTGATGCAATTAAGGGAATGCAGCGATGGAGTTTGAAGCAACTTCTGTTTCATCTGTCTTCACCTTTTTTGCAGTTGAAGGTGCTGGACCCCATACACCCCTCACCAGACAGTGTCCTAACCCCTCTCTTACCTTATTGCTGCTCACACCCTCTTTGCCAGAATGAAATTCCAAGAAAATGGAGTGTCCCCTGTTGACTTTAAGCACCTGCTCGGCTGGGGATGGAATTCAATGTAAATTCAAGGGGTCCTGCAGAGAAGACTGCTAGTGTCTCTCCTTGGGTTAGCGTGAAACACTGAGAGATGTTGGTCTTGGGTATGACGTGCTGCTCTTCTTTCTGGAAAAGTAAATTTTTTTCAGGGGGAGGTGATTTGGACTCTGGCTCATCTTGGTCAGACTCCTAATTCACTACAGATTCATGATCCACAGAAAAATAAAGAACACGGAGCCTTGCATCCCAAGCAGAACCACACACACAGGCAAACAAATGTTAGGTTACTCAAAAAAAAAAAAAAAGGAAGAAGAAGTGCTGCAATGCATTGCCCACATTATTTTAAGCAGACTCCACTAACAGGCACACACTCCCACACACACACCCACAAATACACAAAGCCACACACACAAGCAGACATCCACTACTAGCAGCACTCCCACAGAAACAGCAAGCCAGCTTCTGAGGCTGCATGGTTCTGCAGGCAGACACATCTGGGAAACAGCTACCCTAGGGAACACAGGTGGGCTATATGTAGTAATCATTTTGAGACAAGTTTTAAAAAGAGTAACCCCTGAAACATGTAACCAGGCTGGAGGCAACCTGCATATCCTTTTGGATCCTTAGGGATTTCACGGTTCATTCCTGGAACTCTCCTTGATGTTCCTTCGGGCTGGCTCACATCTACCATCTACTAGAATCATGGCACTGTCCTGTGTATCCCACAGAAAAGACAGGCAAGAGTCCACCACTGACACACCTCCACAGAGGTCTCATTCTCCACAAAGGTGCAGGGACTTGTCGCTAGGCAATGGTTCCATTTATTGTGACACTAGCCAGAGCTCACTGCTCAGACCTGGTGCTTTAAGACTAGCTCATGCACATTCATGAGACAGGATCAGGTGCCTGCCTGTCAGAGCCATCAGCTGCCTAAGCAGAGGAAAATGGTACAGGCAGAGCCGTCCTGGTATTGAGAAAAAGGTTGCCTGCATGACCCTAAAAGTCTCAAACTTATTGCCCCATCGTGTCGTCTTGGTGGTGGAGTTCTGGTGGAAGAGGAGGTATTTAGAAGCTATGAGGTGGTCACTGGAAACTGTTGTTCTGACTCCATTCCTGAAAGAGACCATGTGCAAGAACCAGGTCCCATGGGGATTGGGACAGGGGCCAGTGAGTTGTTGAGGGTTCTTTATGTGATGGAATCACACCTGAGACCCCAGAGGCAGGTGTCTGCAAAAGATGGCTGGGCTCTTGACCTCACTGCCTCCCTTCATCCTGGGCCTTGCAGGGGCTCTCTGGGAAAGGCAAGAACCACTACAAAGGCAATTTCAAGGTGGAGCAGTGTTCTCTCACCTCGAACTGGCCTTGCCTATAGGCAGATGAAGTTGTGACAGTGTCTCAGAGGCCATCTGTGGCAATTGCAAACCTGAAAATGGTGTCCAGTAGTTCAGTTGATGGGCAATGTGGAATCCCTAGGAAAGCCAAGAAAAATCAATGCTTACCTGAGAGAACAAGCTGCAAAATGCTGGAGTCAAAGCAATGTTCAATGATTCTTGTCAGAGGACTCAAAATCCTCCTGCAAACTGCAAAAATCTTCACCCCCAACAATGCAACCATGACCCACAACCTGGAGCTCAGCCAGTCTCTCTGAAGTCTTCTTTGCTGTCTGAAATTCCTTGCAGTCAAAAGACCTGCAGTGAGAGGGAGTCCCATCCAGCAACAGCCCATTGAAAGAGACCCGTGACAATATGAAAAGACGTGCAGATGAAACGAAACAGAGCCAAGATTACCAGGCAAATATTAGACACAGTTGCCTGCTTCTCATTCCATATGAATCAAGCCACCCTCCGATAGAAGTGGGAAAACAAGAGTTTCCCTGTTGGCAGCTCTAAAGGAATTTACAGTTTTAAAAATATTAAAGCTGCCAAGTCATTAAAATGTGACAGTGTTTAGAAGAAAACAATCACACAATGGATTCCTATGAGGGTCATCCTTTGTGAACTGGGAGATGTTTAGTATGGAAGACAATGAGCCAGACCAAGGAAACCCTAATTCAATGAGGAAGATCGAAGTCAGAAAAAAAAAGAGCAACTGTGGAGGCCACATCCCACCCAGCATCAATCCATCCCACTCCCATTTGGCCCGGTGTTTGAAAGCCCTCTAAGTGCACAGCCCCAGTTTGTACTCTACATGTTCATGGCATGTTGGAGAACTCCCACTTGAACACCGGGCCCTGGTGTGCATGGCTTGTGCAATTAAGAGGATGTGGTAATGCAGTTGCAAGGAACTTCTGTGTCATCTGTCTTCACCTTTTTTGCAGGTGCACTTGCGGGACACAATCCACACCTCACCAGATTGTGTCCTCTTCTCTATCTGACCTTATAGCTGCTCACACTCTCTGTCCCAGAATGAAAGCCCAAGATGATGGAGTAGTGCTCCCTCATGACATAAAGCACCTGCTTGGCTGGTCTCATGTATTGATTAATCATACCTATAATTGTTAACATTCATTGTGAAACATAATGTTTCATTTTTCTTCCTTATTCTCCACCATTTGTTTTCTTCTCAGATTAGTTATAGTTTGTAAATTATTTTGTCAAACATATGCAATAAGGTAACACCGCAGTATTGCAGAATACACTGCATTGGAAACAGATTCATATTGGAATGGGAAAACATCCCTTATTACCTGCAGCTGGGAGATCAATAAGGATGGGATCTGGGGTTCTGACCCCAGGTACCATCTATGGGTGAATGCTTACACTTCTTGAATCCCTAGCGGGCATGTGTTACACGGTGCTAATTTAGTTTATCCATCTGTAGGCTACTAGTGTTAATTCAATTAGACACCCTGCCTTACTGCAAGGACAGAGGGCTTTCCACATCCTGAGCTTATCTGCTTTGCTGTACCTGAAAAATTGGCTCACACATGGGCTTGGAGAATAAGTGCAAGGTTTCATTGATTGGAAGTGCTCAGCATATGGATGGGGAGCCAGAATGGAGATGGAGTGGGAACGTGGTTTTCCCTTGGAATGGGACAGCTCAGAGCTGTCCTCCCACATCCCCATGAAACCTTGTGTTCTGTGGTGAGTGGCCTGCTGCCTCAGTCGTTGTGTTCTCCTTGCTCTGGTGTCCTCTCGAGGTCCAGTTGCTGTGTCTTCTTGTGCTAATGGTTCCTCTCGATGTCCAGCTGCTGTGTATCTGCCTGCTAGTGTCTCAGGGTTTCTTATAGCACAGGATGGGGGTATGGCAGGCCAGGGTGGTCTTGGAAAATGCAGCACTTGGGCAAAAAAACAGAAACACATGTCCTCACCAACTGGGGCAAGAAAATAGAAGTGTGTGTCCTCACCTAGGTCAGTGAGCACAGGCGTGATGGTGGATCCCTAGCCAAGAACCACACCCTCCTCTACCAGGCACTTCCCTGCCCTCCTTCCATATCATTATATTTTAAAATTTAAAACTCCAAAATAGCACCTTTAGAGAAGACAATTGGAGAAAATGGCATTAGAAGAGCCAGTCTAGGATTAGGCTCGCTGAATGCAAAATGGAAACACAGATAGCATGTCCGGCAGGCATGGAATCACTGCAGAAACATATCTCTTACTGAGAAGGAAAAGGAAACAAACTGGCTTCTCTCATCTTCTTGTTCTCTTATCTCTGCAGTGTCACCCCTTGACTGAACTGAAAGAGGAAGTAATTTTTATGGGAGCCTAGGATCCCTACCTCCCAGAGGCCAGGCCTCTCTATTACAGAACAGTGCCAGGGAGACGTGAGTGATGTAGCTGTGGGCATGCAAACCCAGGGCCTCACACAAAGGAGTATCAAAGACAAATACAGTATCAAGGGATGAAGAGAGAATTACTCTCAGGAATGATTCATGCTTGATATTTGTGAAAAGACCAAAAAGTAAAACAGCTTATGAGGTAGTAAACATAAAAAGAACATAAAGAAAAGCAGGCAAAAATGGTAAAGTCCAGGCTATTTACCTTTCCTTTATAGGATTTTGAAAATCCCTTCTGGAATCCTTTTCCCAATATCTTCCATTCATGGATTCTTTCAGGAAATATTTATTGAGCTAGAATGGTCTAAGCATTCGGCAGATGGCATCATATACACTGTTGTACTTCTATCATTGATAGAAAGAATGTTTCTTTTTTTCTACAATGCTTTTCTCCCAAACATTCTTCTTGAAAATTTGTGTCCTTACAGATGCTGTCAGTTGTTCCTGTTCTAAGAAGGTTCCCCACACCCCTGTAAACCCAGTTAAGAACTTTCTTCCTCTCCAACTAAGTTACTATATTGCATATATTGTAACACTGGTCAGAGTACATTCCAATTATTGCTCTTCTCTTCATTCTTAAATTAATATTTTGAAGGAAAATCTATGAACACAATGGCTTGACATTTCTCAATATTTATTGTATAAAAGGTTATTAGATATTTATATAAATATTTATCTTAATTTTTGGAAAACAAAATAAACAATGTTCACTACCCAATCCCCCATGAACTGCTCAACTTTAAACAATGTCTAGGATTTTAGAGCAATTATACAAACTTTCAAAAAACACCTGAAAGTGTTTCTATTTTAATTTATTTTGCTTTTTATATTGAATTATTTTGTAGAGACAAAGTCTTGCCTCAAGGCCCAGGCTGAAGTGCAGTGTGTGATCACTGCTAACTACAACTGTGAACTCCTGAGTAAATAGATTAGGCCATCATGCCCAATTTAACCAATTAAATAAGTAGTTACACTTTAGATATAGTTTTTGCTGTGTAGCCTGTGCTGATGTCAAACTCTGGGTTTGAAGCAATCCTCCCTTCTCCGCCTTCCAGAGAGTTGTGATTCCAGGTGTGAACCACCAGACTTCAAAGAGGAAATTTTAGAGTTTAGAATATTGCAATATATTAGACTTAATTTCTTCTTTCAACTTTACATTTGCAGTGGCACTTCATAATAATTATTACTTATGGTGAGAATGTGATTTCTTATATTTGGTCACCAAATTTTGAAATCTTTATTCTGTTTACTTAAACCCTAATAACTTGTAGTCAACTGAGCTGAAAGTCAAGTACATGGGTGTTTTTTTTTTTTTGCTGAGGCTGTGAAAACAAATGTAGAGATGCATTAAAAACCAAAGACTTTATATATATATATATAGTCTTTATATATATAGTTTTTATATATATATAAAGTCTTTATGCTTTATATATATATAGTCTTTATATATATATAAAGTCTTTATGTGTATATGCAGTCTTTATACATACATAAAGACTTTATAGATATACAGTCTTTAGCATATATATGTGTGTACATATACATGTGTGTGTGTACATATATGTGTGTGTGTACACATATATATATATGCTAAATGTGTGTATAGCATATATATATATATATATATATATATATATATATATATATATACACACATACATATATATATGCTAAAGCTTTATCCTGGCTGGTGAAGCATCATACATGGCATGGATAGTTTTATAAAATACCCTGAAATACATGCTTTAGTAAGCAATTTAGCACTTGCAATTTCCCAACTTTGCTTTCAGCAGAAGTTAATGATGTATGTCACTTCAAGTAAGTAAATGAATGTTTGAATTGCTGTGAGTTATTTTACTCGTTTCTCAGCTAACCACTTAACTTATCAAAGATCTTTACTTGTACAATATCATAAATGATAGATATTAAAAATTAATCAACAGGATTTATCTAACTAAAAGCTGCCATCTAATATGATATTTTTCAGTAAGATGATAGCAGTAATTATGCCAAAAAAATAGTAATTCCCCTAGTTTGAGCGATTGTAGCAATTTCCAACCAAAGATTTCACAGGCAGGGTCCAGATCTGGGCAACAGTTATTAACATAATGGTTATTGTTGAGAATAAATTTTGATACATCTATCTGTGCTTGAATGTCAGTGCTTTGAAGGGACAGGTTTGGCATATTAATAAGAAAGGGTGCATTGGACTGAATACTAAGAAATGAATTGTTTTTCTTATCTTCTATAACATGAAAGGTCAATTTGAGATATAGAAACGCTGGAACATTTCACAGCATGGCCTGACATTTCACTGCATTTTTATTTTTTTAACCATGTACAAAGTTCATTAATTACACAAAGGTAGGACTGCTATAGGATGAAAGTGGTGGAGTCAGAGGTCACAGTCCAAACCAAGGTGATAGTCTCTTGAGGATGACACCCTGAGTGCTGAATTAGGGTGAGAATCAACTTTCAGCTGTTAACAGGGGACAAGGAGAATAAAGTTATCAGCAGTTAATATTATTGGATTAACTGAAATAAATGTTGACAGAGATTTTGTTGGCTTTACATCAAATTGAGTATAGTACTTCAAACTGAGTATTTGATGAAGGTAAAGTCTTATCAAGTTTCCCACATGTAAAATTGAGAATTAATTGAAAGATTACACAACCCACACATTATGGGTGTCTCTTATAAATTTATGTGCACATGTGCAAACTTGCAGTGTGCAAATATTTGTCTATATATAAATATATCCAAATCCATTGATGAACAGTTAGAAATTTAGAAATTATTCTCCTGTTTTATCATTCCCTTTCCTAGAATTTTGTCACAGATATAATTTTTCCATCTGTTTGGAGCCTACTCTCTGGAGGTATGTAATGTGTGGAGACAGTAACGCCCTGAGATGTCACAGGGTTTGTATCAGAGAAAATAACAACACTGGTGCTACAAAAGATCCATTGTGAGGAGAAAGATATATTTAACATGATTACAAATACAGAAGTATTATTTCATCAAAAGCTGATATCAGTGAATACAATTTGTTTTTAATGTTTTATTTAAAATATTTAATATCAGAAGAATGTCTTGAGTAGAATAATGATATTGGTAAGAAATAATGATTCAGAATTTCCTTTAATTTGTTGATTATTTAAAATGTAAGTGAAATACTAAAAAGTAATGTATAATGTAGTTTCATGAAGCATTCTCTACAGTTTTATAAAATTGATAGTCTCAATGGAATTTTTTGACACATAAATTTCCTTATATAATTTTATTATTTATTATTGTACTTTCACTTTATTACTTGTTTGCATGTCATAACTAATAGAAATAAAAATATTTTCATTTACACATATACAAAACATCGATTTTTGTTTATGTTTTCTAGTGAGTTAAAGTCACCAATAATTTTATCTATGTAGGAAAATTTTGACAAGCCCAAAGTTCTTAACATTCTTTTCTTTTGAAGTTTCATATTTCAGTCTAGGTATGAGATCAAATTGACTGTGATTATTTTTTGATTTCACTATGACTACTGAGTTTCTGTTATAGTGTTTTTTAATATATATATAGTATTATATATATAGTGTTATATATATATAGTGTTTTAGATAGATAGATAGGTAGATAGATAGATAGATAGATAGATAGATAGATAGATAGATAGATAGATATAGTGACACTCTCCTTAACCCAGATGGACTCCTTGTCCTCACTACATGGCCATGGCCCGAAGTATTACTCCTGGTGCCCCAGCCACTATTTCCAGGTGCAGAGATTGACCAGCAAATTCCTGAGTCCTTGTCTTCCAGTCCAAGTAATATCCGTAGAAATAATAAAAGGGTGGCATATTAGACTTCATGACATTTTTAAGGCTGACCTCTTTATAAGCATTTCATGCAGATATTTATGACTTTACCTCATTTATTTAATTTATTTATAGTGCTAATTTCAAAATCAATTTTTGCTTGAGAGTTATTTCAACATACAACCAAATGTTCAGAGCTATGACACAGGTTTCAAGCTTAAAAGTCTGTATCTGATATTACGTTGGGTAAAACCCATCCAGCACTTATAAAAATAAGTAATTATTAGGCATGGCCACCGTAATGGTCTAAAACACACTTTGAAATTCTTTGCAAACCAATTTGAAAATATTCCTACTGTGACAGAACACAGTAATTGCTTCTAATTAATAGAAAACAGTGAAAGCATTTTCTGGATATTGGGCCACCTCTGGCCTAGGCTAGAAAAGGTGACACAGCTCTGCCTAAGTCTCCTGCTGTCATGGGGACAAACCCCTCAGAAGCCTCAGACCAGTACATCATGAAGTCTAACACCCTGATAACACTATGCAGAATGGACATCCCATGGAGAGACTCATAGAAATAAAAGGAGATGCCTGAGGATCTCAGCAGCCCAACCTCCACTATTTGAGTTATGCTAGCCATGGCACCAGGGAAATAAGAAGACACCTGACAATGTCCCCATCCTGAGCCATCACTAGATTGTATCCTCCTGAGTGCCCCTGAACCACAATCACTGGGCTAAGAGACTGTGGAAGATTTTAGAGACTGACAGTTAGTAAATTATAATTATTGTTTGAAGCCACTAACTTTTTGATAATTTTGAAAAGCACTTTAGACTCCTGGAAAAACTGAGTTGTCTACTGATTTGAGTAATTTTGGAGAGCTTTAAAGGCCAACTTCATGAATGCTAATACCTTGGAAAAGTCAAACAATCAAGACTATTCTAAACAAAACAGATATTTAATTTCCCTTTGCTATGGCTGGAGAATAATCTAACATGTATCTGATGGAGTACTTTGAAAGACTGTTCACATCTCTTTTCTGGGTATCTGCCAACTCTGGTCTGCTTTAATTTTAGTCAACTGCAGCAACTCATATATCATTTTAGGTCCTGGCCTACACTGATCTTTAATCACTGACTGTGTCTGTGTCTGTGTCTGTATGTTTTGTGTGTTATCATATTTTATCTGAAGGGGCTAAATAATGGTGCTATAGTGGTTTCATATACATAAAGCATTCCAGGAACACAATATTGCTTATCAACTGAGCTTTAAAACAGATATGAGGCAGGACATGGTGGCTCACACCTGCACTCCCAGCAATTTGGCAAGCCAAGGTGGGTGGATCTCTTGATGTCAGGAGTTTGTGATAAGCCTGGCCAACATGGCAAGATCCCATGTCTAATATCATAGCAAAGCTAGCCGGGCTTGGTGTCCCATGGATATAATCTCAGCTATGTGGGAGACTGATGCAGGAGAATCCACTGAAACCCTGAGACAGAGTTTGCAGTGAAGTAAGATGACACCACTGCACTCTATCCTGGACACCAGAGCCAAGACACTGTCTCAGAAATAAAAACAAAATAAAATAATAAAATAGACAGGAGAGATCACTGAGAAGAGAAATGCATAACACTGGGTGGACATTGTGGCTTATGACTGAAATCCCAGCATTTTGAGAGGCTAAGGTGGGTGGATGACTTGAGGAAAGGAGCTTGAGACCAGCCTGAGCAAATATTGTGAAACCTGGTCTTTACTAAAAGTACAGAAAAAAAAAAGCTAAGATTGTTGTCACTTGCCTGCAGTCATAGCTACTCAGGAGGGTGTGACTGGAGAACTGATGGAACCCAGGATGGGAAGGTTGCAGTGAGCTGAGATCATGCCACTGCACTCCAGCCTAGGTAACAGAGCAGGATTCCATCTAAAAATATTAAACAGAGATACAGAGTTAGAGGAAAGAAAGAAAGAAAAAGAAAGAAAGAAAGAAAGAAAGAAAGAAAGAAAGAAAGAAAGAAAGAAAGAAAGAAAGAAAGAAAGAAAAAGAAAAAGAAAGAGAACGAAAGAAAGACAGACAGGGAGAAGGGAAGGAGGGAAGAAAGAAAGACAGGGAGAAGGGAGGGAGAGAAGGAAGAAGGGAGGGAGGGAAGAAGGGAAGGAAGGAGAAAGAGAATGAAAGGCATAAAACCAAAAGGAAATGAATAAAAATAAAAACTTATGATTTTGCTCATTATCCACATGAATTTCAAACTATGTTTAAAGTAATATTTTATGTTTACAATAATATTAGTAATATTTAGGTCTCTGGTGGACTAACAGAAATTTTAAAATAAGCACCTATATATTTTCAAAATTACTCATTTAACTATGAGTATTGTCAAAATTACTCAAGTAACTAAGCTTCTTGGAGGAGCTGAAACCTAGTTTTCAACAAATTTAATTGACGTATGTCATCCAATTGCATACTATTGGGGCAAGGTAGTCTATATTATGCTGCCTAATCTATGCTAAATTAAAAATGAAATCAAATCTGCAAAAGATTTTCCATTTACTATTACTAGTAAAGGCTGTTTTGTTTCCTGACTTGTGGAGGGTTTTATTTCCACAGTTTTGATGGCTCTGGCAGAAACCTTCCTGGTCCAAACTCACGTCCTATCATCACAGTATATACATGTTCAGGCATTAAGAAGAAAGAGCATCCCATCTTACTGCTTTCCTGCACTGGTTCCCATGCACAAGCCAATGTGCTATGTTAGTGACTATCAAATATTCATATATTTGATCAAGGAGATTTGTGTTTCCGAACAGTGAAACAAAAATACTATGATCAGTTGTATTTTTATTATTTATTTACTTAGAGGCGGGGTCTTGCTCTGTCAACAGGCTGAATTATACATCACTCTGGTCTCAGACTTTTGGGCTCAGAGGATTCTCCAACATCGGCCTTCCAAAGTTCTGAAATTACATACTTTAGCAATTGTATCCAGCCTCAAGTTTAGAGATAAAGGCTAACAAAGATATTGTAAACCATATAAATAAACCTAATTGCAGGTTATCTGGAGAGCTGTAAGAAACCACTGAAAAACTGCCATTGTGGACAAGGCTGCTGACAACAATGTCATGCAAGCAGAGGAATGGGTCTTTCCCCACTAAGCCCTCAGATAATACCAGAGGCCAGCATGGCATTTCCATTGCTGCTTTTAGAGAAAATATGAAACAGTGGTGTGCATTTTGTGTGTGTGTGTGTGTGTGTGTGTGTGTAAGCATACATACAAAACCAGTTGAACAAAATAGGATCGCCCACATAATGGAATATGATACAACTGTTTGTAGATATGGTAGAATGCATCCTGAATCTATCAGTTTCTCAGCTTTTTTTTTTTTTGGCTGGTAGGTTATTTATTAGTAATGATCCAATTTTGGAAATTGAGATTGGACAGGCTGGAGCTAAGACTGGGTCCACTTTGATTCTGTTGTGGAACAGAAAATTGCATGGCTGTAATTTTGGCTGTGATTATTACTGGAATGTTTCTGTACAGATGGGCTAGTTTTCTGCCTGCAGCAGGAGGCCCTGGGGCTGAAAATCAGCTCCCTTGACCAAATCTGCTGTTGAACAGACCACTTAGGGCCTGCTCTCAGCTAAGAAAGTCGCATATTGCCCAGAAAGTTTCCCAAAGATTATATAGTTCTCTGACTTAGGGAAGGCCCAAAGCTGAAAGTGGGTCCTCCCCATAGGGGAAAAAAACTGGAGAGTCTAGATCCATTTCCTGCTGGATAGAGCCTGCATAGGCTACATTCATTGGCTCAGACAGGCAAGTTCCCCAGCAGGGTAGCTGCTTCCCAGCAGCAGAGGGAGGGGCTGAAGCTGAGACTGGGATTCTTTTTCTCAATAAAGTCATGTCTTCTACAGATTCTAATGCCCCAGTGATTTCCATTAGATATATCAGAAGTGAGCTTCCTTCCAGGGGTACCAAGGCTTATTATATAAGCTACTTGGCCACTGGGTCCAGGTAGAGCCAGAAACTTTATCTTTAACCACTAAGTTGTCTCTGATTTTCAGCCTGGGGATTGATGGAACACACAGGGCTAGGATGGTCAAAAGTATATGGCAGCTGGGATTGGGTGGGGTCACATGCCCCTTCTGTGGATAATCACCTAGTTGCCTCTTTGTCACAGCTTGGGAAGTTTTGCAGAGAAAGCCAGGTTGGGATATGGCAGTTGGCTAATGATTTGAGCATGGCAGATGCATCAACCATGGTTGGTTGCTGCAGAGTGATGCTGTTGCCTAGTTTCCCTGATGGTGCACCTCTGCTGGCTGGAATGCAAGTGTAAGATTACTTTTATGGTCAATGTGAGCCCCATCCATGTAGTTTGTTTCTAACTGACCCCGGTTGTCTGATACCCTCAATATTTCCCACTGGGTAAGACTAGAGAGAACATCATGTGAAGAATTGCAAAATGGAAAAGAAAAGCCTGAGTGTACATTTTCAACTCTCTCCATTCTGAAGAAACTGTGAGTCTGGGAAAAATTTTGTGTGCAACACCATGCTGGCTTGGGGAGGAAAAAATTTAAAACATCAAATTAAAATTATTCTTTTATCCTATGTGTGTGGCTATTCTCAGTTCTAGTCAAAAAAGGTGTCATATATTCAACCTCAAGTTATAGAATCATTCACTAAGGTGTCCTTATCTAAGGATAGTTGTGAGCTGAGTTTTTTTCTGGAGCGGTAGGAATTAGCAGAATCATAGAATGCCTGTTCTGTCACACCAGACCCTAGAAACAGCCAAGTTAAAACACTGGTCCATGCTGAGCACAGTGGCTCATGTCTGTAACCCCAGAACTTTGGTAGGATGAGGAAGGCATATCATGAGGTCAGGAGGTCAAGACCATCCTGGATAACACGGTGAAATCTCCTCTCTGCTAGACATACAAAAAAAAAATTAGCTGAGCCTGTTGGCATTTACCTGTAGTCCTAGCTACTTGGAAGGTTGAGGAAGGAATATCTCTTGAACCCAGCAGAAGGAGGTCAAAGTGAGCTGAGATCATGGCACTGCACTCCAACCTGGGTGACAGAGTGAGACTGGATCTCAAAAAAAAAAAAAAGAAAAAAAAAAAACTCATCCAAAGGGAGGAGTGTAAAACTTTGGGGTGCTTCATGGAGAACTTGAAAGTTAGAGAAAGCCAAGGTTTGGATTTAAGGAATATCTCATTGGACCATCAAAAACCACTTCTTTGTCCCCTATGGAACGCAAGAAATAGTGAATGCTGAGGTACACTGTTTACCGATAAAGGCACATTATCAGCCAGAGATACATGCTTAAGTCTCTTGTGTTCCTATGAAAGGATGAGACTGGAAAGTTTATAAAGAAAATAGCTTTCAATGATTCCTAGTTCTGCAGACTGTAAAAGATGTGTGTGGTGTCAGCATCTGCATCTGGTGAGAGCTTCACGAGGCTTCCACTCAGCACAGAAGATAAAATGAAAACAGGCATGTCATATGTGGAAAGAGCAAGAGAGAGAAGGGGAGATGGTATCAGGCTCTTTTCAACAACCTATTTCTATATAAGCTTCATTGTGGGAATTAATACAGTAGAAAACTCACTTATTAACAATGGCCAGGGTGCCACGCCATTTATGAGGGATCCAGCACCATGACACAAACCAACACCTCACCTTCATGCCATTTACAGTGTGGAGGACCACATTTCAGCCTGAGGCTTGGAGGGACAAATGTCAAAACTATAACAATAGGCAAGTTTAAAAATCATGCAGAGTTATGGTAAAACGATAATTTTTTCTCTTTAGTATCCTGGGACTACAAAAAAGCTGGAATTCATTAGTTTCCAGAGATTAGAAAGTTAGTATTGAAACTCTTAGGCAGCAACCTAGATGTCAGGGCCATAGTTGGGTAGTTTGACTTCTTGGAAGGAAAATTTGGAAGCTCAGTATATTGCTAGAGTGAGTGATGATGAAGGCCGATGAGAAATGCCTATGTGCCTGCTCTCAGAGGACCTTGACAGATCCAAAAGTCAGGAGGATTAGGAGCAAGATACCTGGGCAGAAGTTATAAAAGTCAAGACATGGCCAGGTGTGGTGGCTCAAGCCTGTAATCCCAGCACTTTGGGAGGCTGAGGTTGGGGATTACCTGAGGTCAGGAATTTGAGACCAGCCTGACAAACATGGTGAAACCTTGTCTCTACTAAGAAATACAAAAATTATCCTAGCATGGTTGTGGTCACCTGTATTCCCAGCTACACAGTAGGCTGAGGCAGGGGAATCACTTGAGCCCAGGAGGCGGGGGTTGCAGTGAGCCAAGATCATGCCATTGCACTCCAGCCCAGGTGACAGAGCAAGACTCCATCACAAGAAAAATAAGAAAAAAAAAAGTCAAGGTGTTAGATGTACAATCTAAGTTCTTCAAGGTACAAAGTGGGAGCTGAGCTTTCTTGACTGCTTGAGATCCAGTAAGCCAGGGAAAAACAGTTTCAGAAGTGCTTGAATGTCTATTTAAATCCCTATTTTTTTCTTGGAGGTCCTAGGGAGAGGTGAAGCCACCTGGACTTCCTGGATCAAGTGGGGACTTGGAAAAATTTTCTGTCTGCTAAGGGATTGTAAATGCACCAATCAGCACTCTATAAAAATGCACCAATCAGCACTCTGTATCTAGCTAAAGGATTGTAAATGCACCAATCAGCAGGACGTGGGTGGATCCAAATAAGAGAATAAAAGCTGGCCACCTCACCCAGCAGCGGCAACCTGCTTGGGTCACCTTCCATACTGTGGAAGATTTTTCTTTCACTCTTCACAATAAATGTTGCTGCTGCTCACTCTTTGGGTCCACACCATCTTTACAAGCTGTAACACTCACCACGAAGGTCTGCGGCTTCATTCTTGAAGTCAGCGAGACCAAGAACCCATAAGAAGGAATAAATTCCAGACAGGTTATGGTGACCACAAAGGGACTATCGCCTATCACAAAGCAGTGAGTACCATCGGACCCCTTTCACTTGTTATTCTGTCCTATTTTTCCTTAGAATTTGAGTGTTACATACCAGGCACCTGTCAGCCAGTTAGAAGTGACTAGTGTGGCTGCTGGACTAAAGACATGGGTGACAGACTTTCTGGGAAAGTGCTCTGTAACAACCCCCAACTCTTCACAGTTGAGAGAATTGGTTTGCCTGGAAAGAGCTTCTGATTCCCTGTACTTCTGGGCTGAGGTGAGGGTCAACAGAGAGGAAAACCATTCTGCTCCAGGGTCCCAAGAGCAAATTGGTTGACCCTGTGGCCATGAGCAGAACTCTCAAAGTCACGTTGCACAAGCGAGACTCACCCATCTATCCTATCTATCCTGACCTCTGACCTTTGCACTCTGGATCCTAATGCCTGTCAGACAAACTTCCTCTTGCCTCTTCTCCAAGGCTATTCCTGATTCTAAAAACCACTCCCTGTCTCTCGTGGTTTTCTAGCACCAGACAGAAAAACCACTCCCTCTCTCTGGTGCTTATCTAGAACCTATAAGAATGATTTCTACTATAAACTCCAGGACTCTATTCCCTTCTTTAGGCACCCAGGCTCACCAATCAGAAAGACATAATTTTTGCCCAAAGCCCTGTCAGTGGTCTTGGGGGACTATCTTATCTAGAATTTTCGGATCACTCCTCAGAATAGCAGGCCTAACAAAGCTACCCCTGAAGCTAGGATATGGGGAGCTTCAGAAATCGTATCCTTCCTATTCAAGTGAGGACAAAAGTCATCACTCTTCCAACCCTGGAGATCCCTTCCCTCCCTCAGGGTATGGCCCTCCACTGCATTTTTGAGGCATAGCATCTTTATAGGACAGGAGTGAAGTCCCAATACTAATGAGAGAATGCTTAGGACTCTAACAGTTTTTCAAGAATGCATCAGTAAGGGCCACTAAATCTGATTTTTCTCATTCCTCTTTGTGGTCTAGGAGGACAGGAAATAGTGCAGGTTTTTGAGAGTGTGTCAGTAAGGGACAATAAATCCAACCTTCCTCGGTCCTCCTTGTGGTCTAGGAAGGAAACTAGTGTTTCTGCTGCTGCGTCTGTGAGTGCAACTATTCCAATCAGCAGGGTCCAGGGACCATTGCAGGTTCTTGGGCAAGAGGTGTTTCTGCTGCTGCATCAGTGAGCACAACTATTCTGATCAGCAGGGTCCAGGGACCATTGCAGTTTCTTGGGCAGGGAGAGAAACAAACAAACCAAAACTGTGGGCAGTTTTGTCTTTCAGATGGGAAACATTCAGGCGTCAACAGGCTCACCATTGAAATGCATCCTAAGCCATTGGGACCAATTTGATCCACAAACCCTGAAAAAGAGGTGGCTCATTTTTTTCTGCACTATGGCCTGGCCCCAATATTCTCTCTCTGGTGGGGAAAAATGGCCACCTGAGGGCAGCATAAATTACAATACTATCCTGCAGCTTGACCTTTTCTGTAAGAGACAAGGCAAGTGGAGTGAACTACCTTATGTCCAAGCTTTGTTTTCATTGAAGGAGAATCCACAACTATGGAAAGCTTGACATTTACATCCCACAGGAGGACCTTTCAGCTTACCCCCATATCCTAGCCTCCATATAGCTCCCCTTCCTATTAGTAAGCCTCCTCTAATCTCCTCCTCCCAGAAGGAAACAAGCAAAGAAATCTGCAAAGGACCACAAAAAACCCTGGGCTATCGATTCTGTCCCCTTCAGGCTGTAGGGGGAGGAGAATTTGGCCCAACCTGGGTACAAGTCCCCTTCTCCCTCCCTGATTTAAAGCCAATCAAGGCAGAGCTGGGGAAGTTTTCAGATGATCCTGATAGGTACATAGATGTCCTGCAGGGTCCAGGGCAAAACTTTGACCTCACTTGGACAGATGCCATGCTATTGTTAGATCAAATCCTGGCCTTTAATGAAAAGAATGTGGCTTTAGCTGCTGCCCAGGAGTTTGGAGATACCTGGTATCTTAGTCAAGTAAATGACAGAATGACAGCTGAAGAAAGGGACAAATTCCCTACCCATAAGCAAGTCATCCCCAGTATGGAACCCCACTGGGGTCTCAACTCAGATTATTGGGACTGATTTCACAAACATCTGTTGACCTGTGTTCTAGAAGGACAAAGGAGAATTAGGAAAAAGCTCATGAATGATGCAATGATGTCCATCATGACTCCGGCATAGGAAAAAAATCATTCTGCCTTCCTCGAGCAGCTACAGGAAGGAAATAGCTGTATTTCCTTAAGGAAATATTCTTACCTGTCACCTGACTCCCTCAAGAGTCAATTGATCCTGAAAGATAAGTTTATTACCCAATCAGCTGCAGATATCAGGAGAATGCTCCAAAAATCAGAGCTGGGCCCTGAACAAAATCTGGAGGCTTTAATAAACCTGGCAACCTTGGTGTTCTATTATAGGGACCAAGAGGAACTGGCCAAAAAGGAAAAGTGAGATCAGAGAAAGGCTGCAGCCTTAGTCATGGCCCTCAGATAAACAAACCTTGGTGGTTCAGAGAGGACAGAAAATGGAGCAGGCCAATTGCATGGTAGGGTTTCTTACCAGTGTGGTTTGCAAGGGCACCTTAAAACAGATTGTCCCACAAGAAACAAGCTGCCTTCTTGCACATGTCCACTATGCCAAAACAATCACTGGAAGGCTCACTGCCCCAGAGGACAAAGGTTCTCTAGGCCAGAGGCCCCCAACCAGATGCTCCAACAACAGGCGGGAGGGTGCCTGGGACAAGCACCAGCTCATGTCATCAGCCTCACTGAGCCCCAGGTACATTTAACTGTGGAGGACCAGGAAATTGACTTCCTCCTGGACACTGGTGCAGCCTTCTCAGTGTTAATCTCCTGTCCTGGACAGCTTTCCTCAAGGTCCGTTACCATCCAACGAATCCTGGGATGGCCTGTAACCAGGTGTTTCTCCCACTTATTCAGTTGTAATTGGGAGACTTTTCTCTTTTCACATGCTTTTCTTGTTATGCCTGAACGACCCATACTTTATTAGGGAGGGACATACTGGCCAAAGCTGGCACTATTGTCTACATGAATATGGGGAAAAAGTTACCCATTTCTTGTCCCCTGCTTGAGGAGGTAGTCAACCCTGAAGTCTGGGGATTAGAAGAAACAAACTCAAGCTCCAGCCTTAAGCCTTCCCACAGGACAAAACTTCTCTTTATATGTCACAGAAAGAGTAAGAATAGCTCTTAGAGTCCTTACTCAAACTCTTGGGACAACCACACAACCAGTGGCATACATAAGTAAGGAAATTGATGTAGTAGCAAAAGGCCATCCTCACTGTTTACTGGTAGTAGTGGTGGTGGCCATCTTAGTGTCAGAGGCTATCAAAATAATTCAAGGAAAGGATCTCACTGCCTGGACTACTGATGATGTAAATGGCACACTAGGTGACAAAGGAAGTTTATGGCTATCAGACGACAGCTTGCTTAGATAGCAGGTACTACTCCTTGAGGGACATATGCTTCAAATATGCATATGTGCAGGCCTCAACCATGCCATTTTTCTCCTAGAGGATGGGAAACACTAATCGAGCATGACTGCCAACAAATTATAGTCCAAAATTATGCCTCCCAAGAAGATCTCTTAGAAGTCCCCTTAGTTAATCCTGACCTTAACCTATATACCAATGAAAGTTCATTTGTGGAGAATGGGATACGAAGGGCAGGTTATGCCATAATTAGGGGTGTAACAGTACTTGAAAGCAAGCCTCTTCACCAAAGACCAGCCCCCAGTTAACAGAACTAGTGGCACTTACCCAAGCATTTGAACCGGGAAAGGGAAGAATAAATGTGTATATGGATAGTAAATATGCTTATCTAATCCTACATGCCCATCCTGCAATATGGAAAGAAAATGAATTCCTAACCTCTGGAGAAACCTCCATTAAATATCATGAGGAAACCATGAAGTTATTGAATGCTGTGCAAAAGTCCAAGGAGGTGGCAGTCTTACACTGCCAAAGCCAACATAAGTGGAAGGAGAGGGGAGAACAGCAGCACAAGTGGCTGGCAGCATCAGAGAACGACCAACAGACAGGAAAGAAACAGAGAGACAGAGGAAGAGACAGAAAGTCAGGAGAGAGAGAGAGAGAGAGAGAGAGAGAGGAAGGGACACACCAAGAGGGATTCAGAGAGAAAGAAAGAGAAAGAGAGAGACAAAGTCAAAGACAGAAGGAAAGAGAGGAAGAGACAGACAAAGAAAGAGTCAAAGAGAGAGAAAGAGACACACAGTTAGAAAGAGACAAAGAGAGGAAGAGATAGGCAAAGAGGGAGTCAGAGAGAAAGAAAAAGAGACAGACAAAGTCAAATACAGAAGGGAAGAGAGAGACAAAGTCAAATACATAAGGGAAGAGAGAGAGGAAGAGACAAACAAAGAAGGAGCCAAAGAGAGAGAAAGAGATAGAAGTGGTAAAGAAAAAACAGTGTACCCTATTCCTTTAAAAGCCAGGGTAAATTTAAAACCTATAATTGATAATTGAAGGTCTTCTCAATGACCCTGTAACACACCAATACCACCTTGTTGTCAGTGTAAACAAGGGCATAGCCTGAAATCACTAAGGCTACTGACAACCCCTAGCCCTCCTATTAAAAATGTTAAACACGGCAGGTTTCCTAACAGGGGATCTAAGTCTTAACTAATTACCATACAAAAGTCCAACCAGACCTATGAGGATCTCCCTTCAGGACAGGATGATAGATGGTTCTTTCCAGGCAATTAAGGGGAAAAGACAGAATGGGTATTCAGTAAGTGATAAGGGAACACTTGTAGAAGCAATTAGGAAAATTACCTAATAATTTGTCTGCTCAAACATGAGAGCTGTTTTCACTCAGTCAAACCTTAATGTACTTACAGAATCAGGAAGGAGCCATCTATACAATTTCTAAGTTAATAGGGACTGAATGAGGTCTTATTAATAGCAAAGAATAATTGAAATCTCAAAATTAGAAGGTTTTCAATGAAGGTAAAATTTGCTAAAAGTTAGCAGTGTAATATGTTTTATCCTACTACCTCACACTCTCAAAGGATTTCTCAGACAGTTTGTGAAAAATAACAAAATCTATCCTTTCTCTGCAATCCAAAATAGACTCTTTGGCAGCAGTGACTCTCCAAAACTGCCGAGGCCTAGACTTCCTCACTGCTGAGAAAGGAAAGCTCTACAACCAGTCAGGGATAGTATAAGATGCCGCCCGGCATTTAAAGGAAAAGGCTTCTGAAATCAGACAATTCCTTTCAAACTCTTATACCAAATTCTGGTGTTGGGCAATATGGCTTCTTCCCTTTCCAGGTCCCAGGACAGCCATCTTGCTATTACTCGCCTTCAGGCCCTGTATTTTTAACCACCTTGTCATATTTATTTCCTATAGGATCGAGGTTACAGGTGGTCTTACAAATGGAACCCCAAATGAGCTCAACTAACAACTTCTACCAAAGACCTTGGATCATCCCTCTGGCCCTTTGGCTGGCCTAGAGAGTTCCCCTGTAGAGGACACTAACACTGGAGGGCCCCTTCTTCACCTCTAACCAGCAGGAAGTAGCTAGAGTGGTCATTGCCCAATTCCCAACAGCAGTTGTGGCATTGAGAGGTGAAGACAGCTGGACTTCATGGGTCGAGTGGGGACTTGGAGAACTTTTCTGTTTAGCTAAAGGATTGTAAATACACCAATCACCACTCTGTAAAATCTCACAAATAAGTGCTCTGTGTCTAACTAAATGATTGTAAATGCACCAATCAGCACTCTGTAAAACGGACCAATCAGCACTCTGAAAAATGGACCAATCAGCAGGATGTAAAACGGACCAATCAGCACTCTGCAAAATGGACCAATCAGCAGGATGTGGGTGGGGCCAAATAAAGAAATAAAAGCCGGCCACCCCACCCCAGAGTGGCAACCCACGCAGGTCCCCTTCCATGCTGTGGAAGCTTTGTTCTTTCACTCTTCACAATAAGTCTTGCTGCTGCTCACTCTTTGGGTCCACACCAACTTTAAAAGCTGCAATAGGCCGGGCGCGGTGGCTCACGCCTGTAATCCCAGCACTTTGGGAGGCCGAGGCGGGTGGATCACGAGGTCAGGAGATCGAGACCATCCTGGCTAACACGGTGAAACCCCGTCTCTACTAAAAATACAAAAAATTAGCCGGGCGTGGTAGCGGGCGCCTGTAGTCCCAGCTACTCGGGAGGCTGAGGCAGGAGAATGGCGTGAACCCGGGAGGCGGAGCTTGCAGTGAGCCGAGATCGCGCCACTGCACTCCAGCCTGGGCGACAGAGCGAGACTCCGTCTCAAAAAAAAAAAAAAAAAAAAAAAAAGCTGCAATACTGGCCAAGAATGTCTATGGCTTCATTCTTGAAGTCAGCAAGACCAGGAACTCACCAGAAGGAAGAAACCCTGGATGCATCTGAACATCTGAAGGAATAAACCCCAGACACACCATCTTTAAGAGTTGTAACACTCAACTTGAAGGTCCAAGGTTTCACTCTTGAAGTCAGAAAGACCAAGAATGCACCAGAAGGAAGCAACTCTGGAAACAATATGCCCAACTCAGTGTTTCAAGGCTATAATCACAACACGTTCAGAGGCCAAGGAAGGAGGACACTTAAACCTCAGAGTCTGAGACCAACCTGAACAATATATCCAAAGCATTGTCCTTACCACACACACACAAACACAAAAGTGGGGCACAGTGGTGTGTGTCTATAATTCTATCTACTTGGGAGGCTGAAATGGAAGTCTCACTTATTTGAACCCAGGAGTTCAAGGCTGCAGTGAGGTACGATGGTGCCAGTGCAGTCCAGGCTGGACAACAGAGTGAGACCCTGTGTCTAAAAAAAAAAAAAAAAAAAAAAAAAAAAAAAAAAGTGCTTGAAATGAAGGATAAGCTATGTATTATTTATATATTTGTTGATTTTGATTTGGAGTCTTGCTCTGTCACTCAGGCTACAGTGCAAGGTGCAATATCAGCTCACTTCAGCCTTAGGCCCACAGGGTCAAAAAATTGTCCTGCCTGAGCCTCCCAATTAACTATAACATACTACAAGCATGGGCCGTCAAGCCCAGATAATTTTTTTTATTTCAGGTAGAAATAGGGTTTCATAGTGTTGGCCAGGTTTGTCTCAAACCCCTGACCTAAAGTGATCTGCAAGTCTCAGCCTCCCAAAGTGCTGGAATTAAAAGACTGAGCCATCACACCTGGACAGTAACATACACAAGACTAGGGAGTTTTATCTTTTCACTTCGTCCTCACAATGCTACATTATAGGTGAATGAAAACACAACTTCATAACATGAAGAACTCACTTGAAATTCAAAGTTGGTAACTTCTGTCTTTAAAATTATTTCCACACTTACCCTCTAAAAATTGATGATCTTGTCAAAATTTTACCAAGAAAGTGCTTCCTCCTTGCAGATTAGTATGTTAATTGTAAGAATTATGGACTGTAAAACTTCTGGAACTTCATGTATTTCATTTCTTTAGGGTGTATAATCAGGAAAGCAGAGAAACCCGGTCTCTACTAAAAATAAAAAATTAGCCAGGCATAGTGGTGCATGCCTGTAATCCCAGCTACTTGGGAGGCTGAGGCAGGAGAATTGCTTGAACCCAGGAGGTGGAGGTTGCGATGAGCTGAGAAGGTGCCATTGCACTCCAGCCTGAGAAACAAGAGTGAGACTCCATCTCAAAAAAAAAAAGGAAAAGAAAATAATATTTTAATTGCTTATGTTTTCAAAGATAGATGATATCAAAGGCTGAAGAAAAGGCTGAGCACAGTGGCTCACTCCTGTACTCCCGGCACTTTGGGAGGATGAGGTGGGTGGATCACCAGAGGTCAGTAGTTCAAGACCAGCCTGGCCAACACCTTGAGATCAAAGAGGGGAAGGGGGTGGGTTAAATTGTGGTTGCTTAGAAGGAATACAATCTAGTGTTCAGTAGCCCAGGATGATTACACTTAATAATGATTTATTGTATATCTGAGAAGAATTAAAACAGCGAAGGTGGAATGTCACTCATACTAATAAGTGATATGCCAGACTCAGTGGCTCACAGCTATAATCACAACACATTGGGAGGCCAAGGAAGGAGGATCACTTAAGCCTGGAAGACCAGTCTGAACAATATATGGAAGCATTGTCCCTACCACACACACACACAAACACAAGAGCTGAGCATGGTGGTGTGTGTCTGTAATTCCAGCTAAGTGGGATTTTTCTTTTACCTATCCTTAATTCCATAACCACCATCTCTTGACAACATATGGTCATTTCTCCATGAAGTGATTGGCTTCTCGAGTGGAGGACCTCCATAATTCTCTCTTCCATTAAATTTAATGCTAAAATGAAGGAACATAATGTAAGAACACCAAATCTGAAACATTATTTTCTCTTCTCTCAAACAACTTTTTAAAATTATTTCTTCTATGTCTCCACTCTTTTTTCCCTAAATTACTAGAAAATCATGACACTGTGAATGTTTCTTATGGCTTTGGATAATCCCATGGCTCCTGCAAGGCTAGTTCTAACAAAGCTGATGGCAGACATAAATTCTTTGGTAAAGGTTCATTTGTAATAGTTAATTACAACTTAGTTATGATTTTCCTTTTTATATGAATTACTGATGACTACTAATGACACATGGAAAAATGTAAAACCATCAAACTCTTCACTGATTTTCAAATTTACATACATTGTCCTTTCTCAGCTGAAGAAGGTAAATTTTCCCATGCTGTTCAGTCCATCTCACACACACAAATACTGCTACCTTTGAATGACTGCATGCTAAACTTTTACATAAAATTTCTCCTTTATCTCTAAGTGGTTGGCTTTATCATAAATGTTGACAAATTAAAGTATACTAGTGAATATTTTCTAACGATGACCAAGATTTACTTATACTGCAATAAGCAATACTGTTAAAGGGATCATGACAACATTGTTGTTATTTCAAAATAGAAAAGACTCTCCTTTAATATACTCTTCACGTGCTATTACTTAGAGGTCCACCTTTCACTTATGATATGTTCACCAGCTAATTTTCCTATGGAAATGTGTTGGCTTGTGTATCCTGAATTCAATAAATACCTAACTTCACTGATACTCTACACATGAAATGTAAAATTTAAAATGGCAGTTTTCAATTTCCTCCATATTAGGATGGAGGAATAAGTAACAATTTTATTTTGTTCTGCTAAAAGTCATCGCTAAGAACTTTGATTTATTGTCTTGCTTTCTTCTGTTCAGTCTGCAATCTTACAATTCTCCTTCTCAAAAATATTATTTCTATTCAATCCTACTGCTCAACTCATGTTGCTTAGTTCTAAATTCTCTCCTCAAATAATTTTAAATCTTACACTAAGGTCTTGTGTTAATGTTTAAACATCCAGGTACAATCTTAATTATTGATTTACATTCCATTGTATTTCACAACTCTGCATTTCTGTGATATCCACTTAATTTAAGAATATTAGACTCCTTCATGTTTACCTTTGAAGCCTTAAATTTATTTTTAAATAATATTTAAGCCCAGTGCCTCTTTTTCTGCCAAATGCTCTTGTAGTTCTTTTGAACCTTTATATAAGCATTAAAAATGCCTTGTGCATAAGAAATATTGAGGTCTCGGAACCGAGATGGCCAGGCTCACTGGCCCACACTGTGGGCCATTGTAGAACTCTGAGGCACCTGGATTGCTTGAGCCTAAGACTTTAATGTCAGTTTTGATAATGTGGTGAGATCCTCTCTCTACAAAAATATAGGGAAAAAATTTAGCTAGACGTGGTGGTGCATGCCTGTAGTTGCAGCAACTGAGGAAGCTGAAACAGGACAATTGCTTGAGCACAGGAATTTGAGGCTGTGGTAAGCCATCATCTCACCTATGCACTCTGACCTGGGAAGAGTAAGCCTCCATCCTAACGGACTAAGTTTTAATTGTTTATAAAGATTTTCTACATATTATAATCTTGCAAATTCACATTTGTCTAAAGTAATAAAATTAACATTTCTATATGAAAGAAGTACAATTCAAGCAATAAAAGTATGTTTAGAAAATCTAGTAAGAAACTCAAGAGTCATAATATGTTGGTGAGAGATAGAGATGTGGGAAGAATGGAGAGTGAACTGGGAGCAGAAATCTATCAGTAAAATATCTAAGTATAATATACATAAAATATTAAAAGAAAAATGATAAATGACTGTTTTTATCATTCTGTTATGAGGAAAAATTTCCAAAGCAAATCATAAAGATAAACTAAATTCCATGCAAAGAAACTAAGATATTTACAAAATCAAAAGGTGACACATCAGGAAAATACATCATCCCTAAAATTTGTTAACATAACATTGAATTCTTACAATTCCCTTATGAAATGCTAATTTTCAGATTAGACTATGCTAAATATTAATAATCTTTAAGAATTGCATATTAAATAATATAAAAATATTTTTATATATCTATAAAAATGTAGATATATGCCAATTGCCAGGCGCTGTTACAAGTTAGAAGATGCACATTCTTATACAAGGCAGAGTGTAATTGAACCCCACCCTCCAGATCAATGGAGACAAAATAATCATGAAGCTGTGTATCTTAA
The DNA here is from genome assembly GCF_000001405.40 of Homo sapiens. Classification (NCBI taxonomy): domain Eukaryota; kingdom Metazoa; phylum Chordata; class Mammalia; order Primates; family Hominidae; genus Homo; species Homo sapiens. The sequence continues at coordinate 9,666,653 of NC_000024.10, read as the reverse complement.
AATGGAGGAAACACTGTAATTTCAACTTTAAAAAACATCTCCAATTAATAAAAAATCTGGTTATTAAAACTCAAAATTAAATAGTATATTTTTGAAGGTTGGTTAATAGATAATACAAGTTAACCAATGGGTTTATTTATTTGTTTATTTATTGAGATGGACTATTGCCCTATCCCCCAGGCTAGAGTGCAATGGCATTATCTTGGCTCACTGCAGCTTCCAACTCTGTATTTCCAGTGGTTCTCCTGCCTCAGCCTCCTGAGTACCTGGGAGTAGAGCTGCAAGGCACCATGCCAGGCTAATTTTTTGTATCTTTAGGAGAGACAGGTTTTCATCATGTTGGCCAGGCTTGTGTGGAACTCTTGACCTCTTGGTCCATCTGTCCCATATTTCCCAAGTGCTGAGATGACAGGCATGAGCCACCTCACCCAGCCCATGATATAGATAGATAGATAGATAGATAGATAGATAGATAGATAGATAGATAGATATAGAGATATATAGATATATCTATGTATCTATATATATTTTATATATATGTAAAATACATGATTTGATTTTCTTTTTTATGTAAAAATTGACCCCTTATTTCTATAGCATAAATCACTCATAAATATCATTTTCAGTGACTCATCCTCCAGCAAAGAAAGATACTTACCTACCTGTGAAGCAGTGGTTCTTAGACACTTCCAGGGTCACAAACTCTTTTCAGAAATTAAAGTTCTACATTTCTTAAACTGAAAATGCTTTATGGCAGTGTGATGTACAAACTCTCTATATCAAAATTACTAAGCAATTGACTTGCACAGATGTTTGCACACGAATACACAAAAAAACAAATATTGCAAAATCAATCTTAAGTACTGAGTTACTTTTTCCTATTTGAAAGTTTTAAATATTCCATCGTATTTTGATGATAAAACCGATATGAAGTTCTGGGCCCCAGAGTAGAAAACGCTAAAGTATAATGAATATAAATGAGTTCTTCAGAAAACCGGTTTACAGGCAATCAGCATTCATAAAATCAATTCTGTTTGAAATTTGCCTTATTTCAATGCAAAGTTATTACAATTTTAAAATGAATTTTAGATATTAATTCAATCATTCTTATAATAAATCTTTGCTAGTTAGAAATAAATGAATAATAAATGTTCTGTTCATAAAGATAATAAATAAAATTGAGAAATTTTGATATCTTCAAACTTATTTTCTTTCAGTCCTATGGTTCCACCTTTATATTTTAAAACATTACCCAAGTGCCCTTCATGTGAGGGCAGACACCCTCCTGTTCCTCCACTACTTCCTCTTGCAGATCTCAGACTTCCTGAAGGGCTTCTGTTTCTTGAAGAAGGTGGTGGTATCTGCTAACCACCACTTTGAAAATGGTTTCTTGGCTTATTCTACTTTTATTGCTTTTCCATCCAAACATTAAAAGTACTAAGGGTACTATCAATAACACTGGCACATTTAACCTAAGCACATTTTACAAACATTTTTACATCAACTAGAGTTCATAGTTAATTAGGTGATAGGGAGATATTGGAAGAAGTATTTTTGAAGTCACATGTCTTTATTTTTTTTACTTATACTTTAAGTTTTAGGGTACAAGTACACAGCGTGAAACTTTGTTACATATGTATACATGTGCCATATTGGTGTGCTGCACCCATTAACTCTTCATTTAGCATTAGGTATATCTCCTAATGCCATCCCTCCCCCCTCCCCCCCTCCCCCCTCCCCCCACTCCACAACAAGCCCCGGTGTGTGATGTTCCCCACCCTCTGTCCACGTGTTCTCATTGTTCAATTCCCACCTATGAGTGAGAAAATGTGGCGTTTGGTTTTTTGTCCTTGTGATAGTTGTTGAGAATGATGGTTTCCAGCTTCATCCATGTCCCTACAAAGGACATGAACTCATCATTTTTTATGGCTGCATAGTATTCCGTGGTGTAAATGTGCCACATTTTCTTAATCCAGTCTATCATTGTTGGATATTTGGTTTGGTTCCAAGTCTTTGGTATTGTGAATAGTGCCGCAGTAAACAAATGTGTGCATGTGTCTTTATAGCAGCATGATTTACAATCCTTTGGGTATATACACAGTAATGGGATGGCTGGGTCAAATGGTATTTCTAGTTCTAGATCCCTGAGGAATCGCCACACTGTCTTCCACAATGGTTAAACTAGTTTACAGTCCCACCAACAGTGTAAAAGTGCTCCTATTTCTCCACATCCTCTCCAGCACCTGTTGTTTCCTGACTTTTTAATAATCACCATTCTAACTGGTGTGAGATGGTATCTCATTGTGGTTTTGATTCGCATTTCTCTGATGGCCAGTGATGATGAACATTTTTTCTTGTGTCTGTTGGCTGAATAAATGTCTTCTTTTGAGAAGTATCTGTTCATATCCTTCACCCACTTTTTGATGGTTTTGTTTGTTTTTTTCTTGTAAATTCGTTTGAGTTCATTGTAGATTATCGATATTAGTCTTTGTCAGATGAGTAGATTGCAAAAATTTTCTCCCATTCTGTAGGTTGCCTGTTCACTCTAATGGTAGTTTATTTTGCTGTGCAGAAGCTCTTTAATTTAATTAGATCCCATTTGTCAATTTTGGCTTTTGTTGCCATTGCTTTTGGTGTTTTTGACATGAAGTCCTTGCCCACGCCTATGTCCTGAATGGTATTGCCTAGGTTTTCTTCTACAGTTTTTATGGTTTTAGGTCTAATATTTAAGTCTTTAATCCATCTTGAATTAATTTTTGTAGAAGGTGTAAAGAAGGGATCTAGTTTCAGCTTTCTACATATGGCTAGCCAGCTTTCCCAGCACCATTTATTAAATAGGGAATCCTTTCCCCATTGCTTGTTGTTGTCAGGTTTTTCAAAGATCAGATAGTTGTAGATATGCAGCATTGTTTCTGATGGCTCTGTTCTGTTCCATTGGTCTATATCTCTTTTTTGGTACCAGTAACATGCAATTTTGGTTACTGTAGCCTTGTAGTATAGTTTGAAGTCAGGTAGTATGATGCCTCCTGCTTTGTTCTTTTGGCTTAGCATACAAAATCAATGTGCAAAAATCAAAGCATTCTTATACAACAATAACAGACAGAGAGCCAAATCATGAGTGAACTCCCATTCACAATTGCTTCAAAGAGAATAAAATACCTAGGAATCCAACTTACAAGGGACTTGAAGGACCTCCTCAAGGAGAACTACAAACCACTGCTCAATGAAATTAAAGAGGATACAAACAAATGGAAGGACATTCCATGCTCATGGGTAGGAATAATCAATATCATGAAAATGGCCATACTGCCCAAGGTAATTTATAGATTCAATGGCATCCCCATCAAGCTACCAATGACTTTCTTCACAGAACTGGAAAAAACTACTTTAAAGTTCATATGAAACCAAAAAAGCCTGCATTGCCAAGTCAATCCTAAGCCAGAAGTCAAGTGTCTCTAAAAATGCTTTAACTGAGCAAAGACTAAACCTTTGGGGAAGTAATCTAGGAACATATTTGGAGGAATAGAATTCCAGGCAGAGAACATAATCATTGAAATAATTCCGACACTAGAATTAAGCAAATAGTCATACTGTCATCATGTAGCAAGATGAACAAAGGAAAACGCTTAAGTGAGATCAAAGACAAATCCTTTTGGTTTTATTCCGAGTATAATTCTGGCTACCAGGAGAACAAACTAAGCTACAAGTGAGTATCAGAATCAAGCAGAGAGACCAAACGAATGATGATGCTTCAACAAACGTAATGGCAGAGGAGGTGATACAAGCAGTCATTTTATGTGACTGTATAAGTTGTGCTTTGCCGAAAGTTACTTGGCTGATGGTGTAAATAATATTCAGATAGCGATGCTGAGTATGTAGGTGATTTTTTATTGTTACATCTTTCCTCTGAATTCCCTCTAGTATTTGACTTCACTCTTTTAACCAGAGTTAAAATTATTTATGCCTAAGTATTATATGGTAATCATTAGGTATGTACCATGTAAAATTTCTTACTGTCCATCAAGTAATATAAAATTTACATATGATAGAAAAGTATAGTTTATACTTTTAAGTCAATATCTTATAATTTAATGTATGTATAAAACCTATAAGTTATATAACTAATTTATAAATATGTGTTCCTAAACATGTTCAATATATGTATCTGTATATTTTATAATATATATGTATTGCATATAGATTAAATTTATACATTATATATATTTTAATTCATGTATAGTATATGTCTATATGTATTTTTTATATACTTTAAGTTCTGGGGTACATGTACAGAAAGTGCAGTTTTGTTACATGGGTATTCATCCACCATGGTGGTTTGCTGAGCCCATCAAATCATCATATACATTATATATTTCTCCTAAAGCTATCCCTCCACTAGCCCCCCACCCCCAACAGGCACTGGTGTGTGATGTCCCCTCCCTATGTCCATATGTTCTCATTGTTCAACTACAAATTATGAGTGAGAACATAAACTCATCCTATTTTATGGCTGCTTAGTATTCCATGGTGTATATGTGCCACATTTTCTTTATCCAGTCTATCATTGATGGACATCTGGGTTGGTTCCAAGTCTTTGCTATTGTGAACAATGCCTCAATAAACAGAAGGGTGCATGTGTCTTTATAGTAGAATTATTTATAATCCTTTGGGTATATAACCCAAAATGACATTGCTTGGTCAAATGCTATTTCTGGTTTTAGATCCTTAAGGAATCATCAGACTGTATTCCACAATGGTTGAAGTAATTTACACTCCCACCAACAGTGTAAAAGCATTCCTATTTATCCACATCCTCTCCAGCATCTGTTGTTTCCTGACTTTTTAATGATCACCTTTCTAATTGGCATGAGATGGTATCTCATTGTGGTTTTGATTTGCATTTCTCTAGTGACCAGTGATGATGAGTTTTTTTCATATATTTGTTGGCTGCATACCTGTCTTCTTTTGAGAAGCATCTGTTCATATCCTTCACTCAGTTTTTGATGGGTTGGTTTAGTTTTTTTCTCATAAATTTGTTTAAGTTCTTTGTAGATTGTGGATATTGGTCTGTTGTCAGATGGTTAGATTGTCCATTGTTAGATGGTAGGTTTATGGGGATAGCATTGAATCTATAAATTGCTTTGCACAGTAGGGCCATTTTCAAAATATTGATTCTTCCTATAATGAGCATGGAATGTTTTTCCATGTATTTGTGTCCTCTCTTATTTCCTTGAGCTGTGGTTTGTAGTTTTTGAAAAGGTCCCTCACATCCTTTGTATATTTTATACCTAGGTATTTTATTCTCTTAGTAGCAACTGTGTATGTGAGATCACTCATGATTTGACTCTCTACTTGTCTGATATTGGTGTACAGGAAAGCTTGTGATTTTTGCGAGCTGAGATAGTGGGGTTTTCTAAATATACAATCTTGAGATCTGCAAACAGAGACAATTTGACTTCCTCTTATTCCATTTGAATACACTTCATTCTTTCTCTTGCCTGATGGCCCTTGTCAAAACTTCCAAAACTGTGGTGAATAGGAGTGGTGAGAAAGGGGGTATCCTTGTCTTGTGCAGGTTTTTAAAATGAAAGTTTCCAGGTGCTTCCAGGCTGTGGTTTTGTCATAAGTACCTGTGATTATTTTGAAATATGTTCCATCAATACCTATTTTATTGAGAGTTTTTGTCATGAAGTTGTGTTGAATGTTGTCGAAGGGCTTTTCAGGATTTATTAAGATAATCATGTGGTTTTTGCCATTGATTCTGTTTATGTGATGGATTATGTTTATTAATTTGTGTATGTTGATTCTGCCTTACATCCCAAGTATGAACCTGACTTCTTCATGGTGGATACACTTGTTGATGTGCTTCTGGATTTGGTTTGCCAGTGTTTCATTGAGGATTTTTGCGTCAATGTTCATCAGAGATATTGGCCTGAAATTTTCTTATTTTGCTGTGTTTCTGCCAGATGTTGATATCGGGATGATTCTGGCCTCATAAAGTGACTTAGGGTGGATTGCCTCTTTTTCTATTGTTTGGAATAGCTTCAGAAGGAATGGTACCAGCTCCTCTTTGTGCCTCTGGTAGAATTCTTCTGTGAACCGTCTACTCCTGGATTTTGTTGTTGTTGTTGTTCATAGGCTGCTAATTACTGCCTCAATTTCAGAACTTGTTATTGGTCTATTCAGAGATTCAATTTCTTCCTGGTTTAGGCTTTGGAGGGTGTGTGCATCCAGGAATTTATCCATTTTTTCAGATTTACTAGTTTATTTGCATGGAGATGTTTATAGCATTCCCTGATGGTAGTTTGTTTTTCTGTGGGATCAGTGGTGATATCCCCATTGTCATTTTTTATTGAGTCTATTTGATTCTTCCTTATTTTTTTCTTCATTAGTCTGGATAGTGGCCTATCTATTTTGTTGATCTTTTCAAAAAGCAGCTCCTGGCTTCATTGATTTTTTTGAAGGGTTTTCATGTCTCTGTCTCCTTCAGTTCTGCTCTGATCTTAGTTATTTTTGTCTTCTCCTAGCTTTTGAATTTGTTTGCTTTTGCTTTTCTTGTTCTCCATTCTTTTAATGTTGATGTTAGTGTGCCAATTTTAGATGTTTCCTACTTTCTTTTGTGGACATTAAGTGCTACATATTTCCCTCAAAACACTGCTTTAAATGTTTCCCAGAGATTCTGGTATGCTGTGTCTTTGTTCTCATTGGTTACAAAGAACATCTTTATTTCTGCCTTCATTTCATTATGTACCCAGTAGTCATTCAGGAGCAGGTTGTTCAGTTTCCACATAGTTGTGCACTTTTGAGTGAATTTTTAAATACTGAGTTCTAGTTTGATTGCACTGTGACCTGGGAGACTGTTTGTTATGATTTCTGTTATTTTGCATTTGCCGAGGAGTGTTTTACTTCCAATTATGTAGTCAATTTTAGAATAAGTGCTTTTACTCTGAGTGTAATTCTGGCTATTGGGAGAACAAACTGTAAGCTGCAAGTGGGTATCAGAATCAAGCAGGGAGACCAAACAAATGATGGCTTCAACAAATGTAATGAGTATGTAGGTGATTTTTTATTGTTTGGAACCTTCCTCTAATTTCTTTCTAGTATTTGATTTTACTGTTTTAACCAGAGTTAGAATTATTTAAGCCTAAGTGTTATATGGAACTCTTGAAGTATGTACCATGTAATATTTATTACTGCCCATCAAGTAATATAAAATTTACATGTGATAGAAAAGTATAACTTATAATTTATTATATTTTAATTTAATATTTGTATAAACCATATAAGCTATATAACCAATTTATAGATATAAGTATTCATAAACATATACAAGATATGTATCTGTGTATTTTATAATTTGTATATGTATTGCATACATAAGTAATTTATGCATTATACATTGTAATCCATGTATATTACATGTCTATAAGTATTTCTAATATATATGGTTAACTTTGTTTCCAACCATTCACGTAGAGCAAAGTCGTCCTGTTCTTTGCCTCTTTGGCAGTCACTGGGAACTGGTAGGCCTGGTCAGTTTTACCTCAGAAGCCTGTTATGACCCTGTACTTTTCATCAGGACAGCCCAATACATATCTTGAATGAGATGGCTTATCAAGGCATCCCAGAAACCACTGGGTCCCATTTTTTTCTCTACCTTGCAATTTTATCCTGGAGTAGAAGATAGTCCACAAAACACACTTAGCTCTAACACAGGCTCTGTCACTTTGCTCTTTCATGGATTCTGAGAACAAACATGTAGGAGAAGATTAAGCACTTCCTCAGTGAACAGAAGGCACTGGAACCTTCATTCAATGTTTTTTTGGTTCAAATAATAGAGACTATTTTATGCCAATAGACCATTACACTTTCAAAGTGGTCACCTCTCTTCAGCTAGCAAATTCCCAATGGTATGATCCTGGATTTCTCCTGTTGCCAAACTGTGGGATCATCCTGATACAGCTGAATGCTGGGGCACCCCAGAAATGGACAAATCTCAATATTTCTTTTTTTCTGGACCCCAGAACTCCCAAACAGCTATTAAACCTATACCCTGGAATTTTCCTGAGAAAAATACAATAAATTATAAATATTAAGCTGTAACTGATTCAGCAAGATTCTAGATTAATACATTAGCTAGTATAATTAGGCTTCATACTCTGCAGTTAGTTAATGCTGGTAGATCGTGGTTTCTCTTTTCAAGTGGGATAGGTGGATCTCAAGTTCCTGTTAAGAGGGATACTCATCTGTCTCAAGTTCAATCTATTAATGTTCCATCTCATGGGCAACTTGTAGTTAGACCTCGGCTAGAAATTACCCTTGAAGTTGAAGCTTGGAAACAATTTTTATCTTATAAAACAGGAACAGTGATGTAGATTCAATCCAGGGAAGAGAGCAATAGAAAAAAAAAATGTATCATGTAGTGCATAGAGCTAACCCTGGCGCTAAACCGGTAACTTACAACTAGATTCCACCAGTACCTTTCATAGATAATAAAACTGAACTATGGGCTCATTCATCCCTCGATGAAGATTGATCTCAGCATACTACAGTAACCCATACCATTGAAACATGGTGTCAGCTAGTTTTAAATGTATTTGGATCCTCAAGAAACTATAGAAAGCTCAGATGGATACTGGATTCTCACTGAACCTGAGTCCACTCAGTTCTGGATTTCTTCTATACTGCATACTCTTCATGTGCTAAGTCAAAAGGTGACAATATTAAGGCTTGGGTGCAACAGAAAACCAGTATGATCAGGCCCTCAAATCAAATCAATAGATGTAGTCCATTTAGTAAACATGAGGCTATTATACTCAAACCCCTGATGCAGATATGGATCTTAATACATCCTATTATGAATATAATTGAGCCCTTCCTTCACTCCAAAGTTGACATGATCAGACCCTGAAGTCAGCCTAAAACAGCCATAGTCCTTACCTGGATCTAGCCAGAATCTCAATCAGGAAGACTCTTGATTCACTTGAGAGCTGATATGATTAAACCATTGTTACAAACTGAAACTGAAAGAATGAGACTCGGCATTCAGCATAAATTTAAAATATTGAGGCCCAGAGCCCAGACTCAAGAATGGAAAGAAAAACACTGGACCCAACCAGAAGCAGATCCAGTTAGGTACTGGTCCCAAACTGGGATGGAAACAGTGGTACCCAGGCCCCAAACTGGAGGTGATAGATCCAGACCCTGAAATCACACTGAAGCTGATATCATCAAACTTTTATTTCAGTCTCAATCCGAGACAGTCACACAGTGGAGAGAACCAGTAACTCTGACAGATCACCATTGGATACAGTCTGAAACTGAAATAGTGATGTTTTGGAACCAACCTGTGGCTGATAAGTTAAAAGACTGGATACAACATGAAGCTTATGCATTTAGACTCTGGGGCAAGTTTGAAAGTGTTAAAGTCAAATTGTTGACCCAAGCTGAAGATGATACTTTGAGACCCTGGAATCAGAAAGACATTGGTGTAATTGACCCCTGGGTACAAGGTAAAGCTACTGTATTAACACAATGGATGCAGGGAGTGTCTCAAGAATTACATCCTTGGACACAATCTGAAACTCACACAGTCCCACTGTGGACCCAGAATGAAACTCCAATAATTTCTTATCTTGGACCAAGATGTTAGCAGATACACTCACAACATGGACAAAGGCTGAATTACAAGGGTAAACATCCTGAAGACAGTCTGAAACTGATCGAATCATACTGTGAACTATTGCCAAATCTCCAACAGTAAATCTCTGGACACACTCTGTATCGAATGAAGTCACATGTTGGAACCAAGAAGAATTTCCAGCCTTATTTCCCTTGACAGAGTCTTATGGCTAAGACAGTCACACCATGGATCCAGGATAGATTTCCAACAATGAATCCCTGGGAAAAACTACAGCTGAAACCGTCATACAATTGATCCTTGATGAAATGTCACCAATAAATCCAAGGACAAAATTGCAGCCTGAATATCTAGAAGGAAATACCTGACTCCCATCTGAATTTAATCCAGTCTCATTGTGGACCATGGCTTATTTGCCAGCAGTAAATTACTGGATACAGTTTGATACTGAAGCAATAACACTATGAATCCAGGTTGAGTCTTCAGCAAAACATTCCTGGAAACAGTTGGAAATGGATATAATCCCACTAGGGACACATGCTGAATCACTAGCGATGAATTCATGGATAAACTCTATCTGATATGATCATGTGTATCCAGGCTGAATCACTATTATTAAATCATTGGACACAGTCTGAAACTGATATAGTCACAACATGGATTCTGGTTGAAACTCTAGAAGTAAGTCCCTGGTTACCTGATATATTCCTACCATGTATCCATGCTGAACATCCACAAATGTCTTGGACTCAACCATGGATTATCACTGAAACTCCAGCAATGAATCCCTAGAGAAAGGCTACAGCTGATATGGTCCTATCAGGGGAATTTCAGCCAGATATCAGGTGAAATTCACCCCCAATATTTCACATACCTTCTTTTCTATTTTCCCTAAGTGTCGGCCACTCTGAGAAATAAAGAGACAGAGTACAAAAGAGAAATTTTAAAGCTGGGTGTCTGGGGGAGACATCACATTGGCAGGCTCCGTGGTGCCCCCAGAGCCATAAAACCAGCAAGTTTTTATTAGTAATATTCAAATGGGTAGGGAGTGTGCGAATAGCATGTGGGTCACAGAGATCCTGTGCTTCGCAAGGTATATAGAATATCACAAGGCAAATGGAGGCAGGGCAAGATCACAGGACCAGAGGACCAGGACAAAATTAAAATTGCTAATGAAGTTTCAGGCACACATTGTCATTGATAACATCTTATCAGGAGACAGGGTTTGAGAGCAGACAACCGGTCTGACCAAAATTTATTAGGCAGGAATTTCCTCTTCCTAATAAGCCTGGGAGCACTACAGGAGACTGGGGCTTATTTCATCCCTACAGCTTTGACCATAAAAGACGGCCACCCCCTGAAATGGCCATTTTAGAGGCCTACCCTCAGGGACACATTCTCTTTCTCAGGTATGTTCCTTGCTGAGAAAAAGAATTCAGCGATATTTCTCCCATTTGCTTTTGAAAGAAGAGAAATATGGCACTGTTCTGCCCAGCTGACCGGCAGTCAGAGTTTATCTCTCTTGTTCCCTGAACATTGCTGTTATCCTGTTCTTTTTTCAAGGTACCCAGATTTCATATTGTTCAAACACACATGCTCTACAAATAATTTGTGCAGTTAACACAAACATCACAGGGTTCTGAGGTGACATACATACTCCGCAGCTTACAAAGATGACAGGATTAAGAGATTAAAGTAAAGACAGGCATAGGAAATCACAAGGGTATTGATTGGGGAAGTGATAAGTGTCCATGAAATCTTCACAATTTATGTTCAGAGATTGCAGTAAAGACAGGCATACATCAGAGAAATGCAAATCAAAACCACAATGAGATACCATCTCACACCAGTTAGAATGGCAATCATTAAAAAGTCAGGAAACAGCAGGTGCTGGAGAGGATGTGGAGAAATAGGAACAATTTTACACTGTTGGTGGGACTGTAAACTAGTTCAACCATTGTGGAAGTCAGTGTGGCGACTCCTCAGGGATCTAGAACTGGAAATACCATTTGACCCAGCCATCCCATTACTGGGTATATACCCAAAGGACTATAAATCATGCTGCTATGAAGACACATGCACCCATATGTTTATTGTGGCATTATTCACAATAGCAAAGACTTGGAACCAACCCAAATGTCCAACAATGATAGACTGGATTAAGAAAATGTGGCACATATACACCATGCACTATGCAGCCATAAAAAATGATGAGTTCATGTCCTTTGTAGGGGCATGGATGAAATTGTAAATCATCATTCTCAGTAAACTATCGCAAGAACAAAAAACCAAACACCGCATATTCTCACTCATAGGTGGGAACTGAACAATGAGATCACATGGACACAGGAAGGGGAATATCACACTCTGGGGACTGTTTTGGGGTGGTGGGAGGGGGGAGGGATAGCATCAGGAGATATACCTAATGCTAGATGACGAGTTAGTGGGTGCAGCGCACCAGCATGGTACATGTATACATATGTAACTAACCTGCACAATGTGCACATGTACCCTAAAACTTAAAATTAAAAAAAATTAATTAAGAAAAATAATAATAATTATATGTATTTAAGATTAATATGCTTTCTTTCACCTGACATTTGGTCAATTTTGTTAATTTCTTTACTAAAAAGTTTAAAAATAAAAAAAAGACAGGCGTAAGAAATTATAAAAGTATTAATTTGGGGAACTAATAAATGTCCATGAAATCTTCACAATTTATGTTCTTCTGCCATGGCTTCAGCTGGTCCCTCCATTCAGGGTTCCTGACTTCCGCAACAGTCCTACCAAGGAATCAGGCTGAATTTATAGAATGAAATGCATGGACACAGTCTGAAACATATACAGTCAAAGAGTTGATCCTGAATGATTCTCTAGCAGTAAATTCATAGACATAGACAATAGCTGATGCAGACAAGCTGTGGACCAAGCCTGAATTTCCAGCCATAAATCTCTGTACAAAGTTTCTAGGTGATAGTACATACCATGGATTCAGGATGCCTCTCCAGCGATGAATCCATTTACACAGTATCTATCTTATACAATCAAACCATGGGACCAAGATGAGTCTTCAGCAGTAAAACTCTGTACACTACCTGAATTTGATAACATTATCCTGTGGATACAAGCCAAGTCTCCAACAGTAAATCTGTGCATAGAGGATGTTACTTCCACAGTCATACCATGGGCCCAGGCTGTATCTCCAGCAGAAATTCCATGGACACAGCCTATACCTTTGATAGTCATAGCTTGGACCCACATTGAATATCTATCAGTGAATACCTGGACAACCTCCATAGCTGATAGTATCACACTATAGAAAGGGGCTGAATTAACAGCAGGATTTCCATGAATACTGCCTTGGGCTGCTACTATCACACTAACGGCACAGTCTGAATTTCCAGCAGGAAATCTTTGGACACAGCCTGTGAATGATACAGACACATTATGGCCTCAGGCTGAACCTCCAGTAGTAGGGTACTGGACAGAACCTGTAGCTGATACATTTCGTGGACTCAGTTTGAATTTTTAACACGAAAGCCTTGGATCAAATCTGTATCTGATACACTCATACCATGGACCCAGGCTGAGTCTTCAGCAGTAAAGCATTTGACAAGGGCAATAGGTTATACAATCAAACTATGGAACCAAGTCAAATCACCTGCCATACATCTCTGGAAACAATATGAAACTGATATCCTCACACAGTGGACCAAGACTAAATGTCCAAAAGTAAATGCCTGGACACAGCCTATACCTGCTACAGTTAGTTATACCACAGAACCAAGCAGGTAAGAGTAGCAGTAAATCCCTCCACAGAGCTTGAAGCAGAAATTGTCTTACTGTGGACTCAGGCTGATTCTACAATCAATAATCTCTGTACACAAACTCTACTGATAGATTGAAACCATTGGCTAAGAATGTTTATGTAGCAGTAAATCCATGGAGCCAGTCTAAAACTGAGAAAGTCACATCATGGACCCAGGATATGTTGCCAGCAATAAGTCACTTAACAGTGGCTGTGACTGGTATAGTCACACTGCAGTACATGGCTGTATTTCTAATAATAATTCCCAGGACAGAGGCTCTAGATGATACAGTCATAACATGGACACAGACCAAATCTTCAGCAATCAATTTCTGGTTACAACCTGTACCTGATACAGTCACACTATGGACCTAAACAAAACATCTAAGTAATCACTTGGAATGAGGCTGAATTTCCAGCTGTAAATCCCATGATGAAGTCTAAGTCTCCAATTGTAAACATCTGGACAGTGTCCAAATCTCCAGCCCCAGGTCCTCTGTTGCAGGATAAGACTATTGATACAGTCACACCATGGACCCAGACGGAATCTTCGGCAGTAAATGCCTTGACAAATCCTGTTGCTGATACACTCACACTGTGTACACAGCCTGTAACTCCATCATTAATCTTCTTTTCACAAAGTTTACATGCTACACTGAAAACAGGGCATCAAACTGAATGTCTACCCATAAATACCTGGACAGAGGCTATAGCTTCCTAAGTTACACTCTGGACCAAGGCTGATTTTCCAGCAATAAATACCTGGACACAGCCTGTTTTTTATAAAGCTACAATTTGGGCACAGGCTGTATGTGCAACAGTAAAGGACTGTGCACAACCTTCACCTAATACAACCAGATTATGGTCCCAATCTGAATCTGCAGCACTAATTATGTGGATACTGCCTGTATCTGAGACATACATAGGATTGATCCAATTTGAATCTTCAGCAGTAAATCCCTGATTACTGCCTATATTTAATAAATTATCATTGTGGACCCAGCCTGTATCTCTAGCAGTCAATCGTGGATAGAGTCAATAGTTTCCAAGTCACCCCATGGACCAAAGCTTTACTTCTAGCAACAAGTCCCTGGCCACATCCCATATTTGATATAGTTGCACTGTGGACTCAGGCTGAATCTTCTGCAGTCATTACCTCCACACAGCCAGTATCTGACAAAATTATACTGTGGCTGCAGGCCCAGTATCCAGTAGGAATTACCTGGACACAGACTGTATCTGATATACTTACATCGTGGACATATGATGAATCTTCAGCAGAAAATCCAGGGGCATGGGCCATAGTTTCCTCAGTGTTACCATGGACACAGGATATCTCTTCAGCAGAAAAAGCCTGGACACTAACTGTGTCTGAATCAATCATGCCATGATCCCAGTCTGAGTCTCCAGTGGTAAACACATGGACAGAGACCGCAGCTTCCACAGACACAAAGTGGACCTATGATGATTTTCCCGCTGCAAATTCTTATACACAGAGTGATATGGGCTCATTTTGGACAATGCTTAAAACTGAAGCTAAGAAACTCTGGGCAATGCCTGAAGCTAAATTATTTATAGAATTTCATTACTGTCTCAACCTGATACCATACAACCTTTGATCCAAGATGAAAATCAAGCATCAATTTTATGGACACATCATTAAATTGAAAATATCGATGAATGGACCTTGCCTAAATTTGGAACACTTGTATCTTGGATAGTGCCTATGCCTCAGGCAGCAAAACCATGGTCCAAACTTGAAGCTCTAGTTACAGAACTTTGTTTAAAACTGGAACAGAAAAAATAAAACCTTGGGCTCAGTCAGAATTTCAAACATTAAGCACATTTACTCCCTTTGAACTTGGTAAAATTGAATCCTGGGCCAAACAGAGAACTACAACATTTATAACATGGATCCAATGTGAAACTGATGCCTCCTTCCTGTGTACCCAATCTGAAGTAGGTACAATGAGACCCCAGATCATTTCTGAAGCTGCTACAGTAAAACTATGGATCTGGACTGAAACAGGCACAATCCACCCCTGGACTCAAGGTAAAACTAATACGATCCTTGTCTGATACACTACTTTATCAGGCTGAAATGCAGGCAGTGAAATGCTTGACCATGCCTGACATTAATACTCTGAGTGCTGGGTTTCAGACCCAAAACAGTGTAAGAAGAAATGGTACTCAACTTTATTCTCACAGAGTTACTACCCGGATGAAGCCAGAATGGCAAATAATCCACCCATTGAACCAATCTGAAAAGAATGCAGTCAGACCCTGGACCCAGTCTGAAGGTGATGTTCTGCAACCTTGGATCTATGCTGAAACCAATACAGTCAGACTCTGGGCCCATTCTGAAACTGATAAAATAAAACAATGGACTGAGCCTGAATCTCAAGCAATTAGGACCTGACCTGAGGCAGGTATGTTGACAAGTTGGTCCCCAGCTCAAAGCGCTGCAGTTTGGACCTGGACCAAATTTGAATCTCAAATGACACACTTCTGGACCCAGAATCAAATTAGCATAAATTACCCTTGGGCTCAGCATGTACCTGCTACAATCATACAATAGACTTATTCTGAAATTCATCCCTGGACCCACTCTGAAGCCAATACAGTGATAAGATACTGGTTCCAGATTCGAATTCAATAAGATCTTGGAACCAACCTGAAACTGAAGTATTCCAAATTTGGACTGTAAGTCAAGAAATGAAACCCTGCAACATGACTGAAATTGATACAGTCACATCTTGCTTATAGACTCAATGTGATACAGTTAGACCCTGGATTCATCCTGAAAGTTAGCTGCTCTCTCCCTGGCCCCAGACTGAAGTTGGTATATTTTGGCCCTAGACTCAGCAAAGAGTTGCTACATATCCAACCTGGACCCACCTGAAACCCAAGCAGTGAGATCCTGGATCAAGCAGGAAACTGATATAGTCAGATCTTCATTTTACATTCACATGAATAAAGGCAGATCACGGGCTTATTCAAAATCTCAAAGAGTCAGTCCCTGGATCCAGCTGGTAGTTGATATAATTCCATCTTTTATCCAGTCTGAATCCTTCCTACTAAGATTCTGGCCCAAGGTTCCATCTCCAGTAGTCAAAACATGGACCTTGCTTATGGGAAGAACACTCATATCTTGGATACTGCCTGTAACCTAAGCAGACAGACACTGGATCCAGTCTGAAGCTGATATTATTGAATCCTTTGGTGTTTTTAAAGCTGGCATAGTAAGAACCTGGATCCAGCCTGAAACAGAAATACTAAGACCCAGAACCCATTATAAGGCTGATATAAGTGCATAGTTTTCTCCTCCTGAAATTGAGTCTGAGAGACACTATTAATGAGTCATTTTGGCTGCTTGTCTAAACGTGCACTCTTTTTGCCTGTAAAAAACTGTTTCTTTCCCAGATCAGTATTTTATCTCTCTGTTAACTGAGATAACTGCCTCAGAAAGCCAATATGAAATCAATTATCTCCAACCAAGCCAGCTTACAAGCATTTGGCTTCCTGGAAGAGCTGTTTACCAGCACTAAAGCAGGAAATTAAAAATTATCCAAATAAAACAATGCCCTGATGTCCCAGGTACCTCTCTTATCTCTCTTTCTTCCTCCATTTTCCTTCCTCTTTCTTATTCTCTTCCATCTCCATGTACACTGTGCCCTTCTTGTTCCGTCTTTTCTTCTGGTACATTCCCTTCATTCTTCATTTTCCCATCTTGTTCAGTTATTTCTCCTCTTGTCTCCTCTCCTATTCTCCTTTCCATAGCCTCTTCTGCTAACGCCCTTCAGAAAATATTTTCCTCAACATTTCCTGAAGAGTCCATTCTTTCTCATTCTTTTTCATTCTTGCATGCTGCTGCAGCCACACTTTTAACAAAATAACCTCATCTGATGCCTGGACAATCTGGACCCAAGTCTGAACAACAACCTCTTAGGCATTCAGAACTCAAATGTTTCCCTGGTTGAGTGTCAACTAGCTGTGATCTGGAAAGAAAGTTTGCAGGCTTTCTGGCTCTTCAGAATAGTTGTTATTTCTCATGAAACCACAGACACCTTTGGTCTAGTCATATGTTTAAGTTATTATACCTGGTACAAAGACTCTTGTTGAACCCTAAAACCACAGTTTGTAAGATCAGAGGTTATGTCCTCAAACCTTTGCAAAACCAAAATTTATGTTATTGTATGAATCAGCACAGACATCCCAATATTGAGAGAATATCTTATTTTTGCCAGACAGGATTTGTGGGCTATGTTTTATAAACACAATTCTATTCAGAGAACAGTATTTTAAAGATAGTCTTACTTCTTAGAAAGGATTTATTATTCCACTTGAGGTATATAAATATATACACACATTATTGGATAATAGTATAATATCTTGGATATAAATAATAAGATATATATTTATATATACATTAAATTATTATTTGAAGGAAAAGCATGCAGATAACCTCTGTAGTATATCTAAACTTGTAGGATGAATAATGTATATTTCCAAGGATTTTCTCAGATTGAAGATACTGAATTTCCAAGCTTATTCCTAAAAACCTAAAATTAGATTTTAGAAATGGAAGAGTAGTAACACTAATCTCACTCTATTCCATATGTATATTCCTTCTGCAGAGTGTGGATTATGCCCTGGCAATGTCACCCTCTGTCCCAACTGCTGGGAGTCAGAAATTGGTGAATTCCCTTGGATAGTTGCTGTACCACTTTCTCTCATGTCTGTGCTGGCTCCATACTAAATGAACAGTGGTTCCTTACTACAGCTAGATGTGCCAATTTTATGTGAGTCTAAGTAATTCATCTTAAGATTAAGATATCATTATAAAACAATAACAACATTGAGATTATAAATGAATATATTTCCCTTTATTTGTGTGTGTGTATGTGTGTGTGTGTGTGTGTGTGTGAGAAAGACAGAGAGAAAGATAGATAGAGACAGGGTCTTGCTCTGTTGCCCAGGCTGGAGTGCTGTGGCATGATTCAGAGTAGCCTCAAACTACCAAGATTAAGGAATTCTCCTACCTCTGCCTCCTGAGTACCTGGGACCACAGGCACACACCAATGCATCTGGCTATTTTTTTCAGCAGAATTAAAGTCTTATCATGTTGCCCACCTGTTCTCAAATAAACCTTGAAAATAGTTTCTAGAGGAGTATTTGTATTTTAGTGCTTTGCTGGACTTCATCTGATTCATGTGACCTCCAGGGCTTTATTCAAATTGAAATGTAGAAATAATATGACTTTTTATTGACTTTTTTCCCCTGAAAAACTCAGCAGCCCTGGTCCTGGTCCAAGTGGGGCTTAATCATCTTCTGGATTCTGCTCAGACTGTCAGCATTGACTGTGCCATACCCTACCTAGGTCCCAAGGGACTTCTGGGACCTGTATTGATCTTCCTGAAGCAGCCACTATATTTTCAAACCCTGGTCCTTCCTATATGCCCAAAGGAGAGTCTGGAACAGGAGAAATTTATACTAGTATATGGCTGTTGACTACCTGTTGGTCCCTTATGAGGGCTGAGTAATGAAGAAGACAGTGGGATGGAAGAGAAGCATGTTTGGAAAGATAATATTATCCTCTCTTGAATAATAAATAACTTGTCTTTCTCTTCACCATACTTCTCTCTCTAATCTAGGCTAGGTTTGAAAACAAGCAAACACAAACACCTCTTCTCTGTTTTCTATCAGGAAGTCCTGTAGTTCTGCAAAAACAGCACCTGAGCGTCCTACAAGTCAGCACTTGTACCAAATTTTGCCCAAAGCTGAAGGAATTCACTTTTTGTGTGGAGGCCCAGAAAGCTATGTGGGAGCCTGGCTGTAAGGTGACAAATTCACGGGGTGTGACTGCCAGGGAGAAAGAGGAATATCTTGAACACCAAAAGTTACTTCTGGCCCTCCTTCAAAATATTGATTGCTATCTTCTCTCTTGTTTCTTGCAGGGTGAACTGGCAGCACCTTTGGTGTGCCATCTACACCAAAAGGACACTTGGGTGCAAGTGGGAATCTTGAGTCATTTTGAGGAGCATTGCACAAAGCCTTATGTCTTCAGGCAAGTGCACTCTTTCCTTTTCTGGCTCCAAGGAGTGACATGACCTAGCCATGGACCCTGGCAACACCAAGGGCCCATGACTACTTCTGCTTCCATGTCCCTTTCAGTCTACTTCTACAAATGCTTCAGCTTTTATCCCCACTCCCACTTCAATGTGGCCACATTTCATCTCTCTGCCACAGCCTCAGAGTAAGGCTCAAAAACCTGGTAGGACAAGTAAAGGAAGAAGAAAATGGAAATATAAAATAATAGAGAGAAGGAAATGGGAGCTAAAGCTCTTCCTGAGAAATGCATGAGTTTTTTATCTACCAAATCATAGAAATTATTTTCTTTTTGGCTTACAAAGGCATTTCATACTTGATATATGATACAATTCCCAGAGTATCCCCATAGATTACTCTGATATAGAACACATAACATGATTATTATACTTATCTTAAATGTATATTCTGATACTACATAAATACAATGGACTGATCAAATTCCCATGTCAAAAGATGAACTGGGTTATCATTAAGACACACTCTCCTAATACAAAGATATTTCTTTACTACCACACAGAAGCTTACATTTGTAATAGAGTTATTTTAAATTAAGTATATTTTAAGTTAAAGATATGATATTTGGAAACAGCATAGTTGGTAAGTAATGAGATGTAGGTGACGGTGTACCAGACTGCATTACATTGGGATTATCAGTTTCTCCCTTCCCTTGGCTGCTAGAAAACCTACCAGAATATTAGCAATGGCTATTTCACATTACTGTCTATCCTCTTATTTTCTTGGAAATTGAGACATCTCTTTCGGTCTCATCAATTAAACATGCTCTTAACCACAGCTATTTTATACCTAACACCCATTGCCATAGCTACGGTGAATAATACATTTAAAACATAAAGGAGGCCATAATTATTTGCTCACATCCTCCAAAGTCTAATTCAGAGACAATTACATATAAGATCTTAGTTATGCTTCCAATTTCATCTCTAGTTGCTTACCCCTTCTATAGACAGATTATCTTCACCATTTTTCTCTCCCTATTTATATAATGATGAGTATATCTTCCACTCAATTTTCTGAGGAACTCTCAAATGATTTTAAAAATATGAGCTCTTTCCTGAAACTCAGACTTGGATTTTCTATTTAAAGTATTGGTTTGGTATCTTACTAACATTATAAGTTTATGAAGATAAGCCCTCTCCAATTTAGAGACAGGTGCTTTATCTCCAAATTTTTCATTATTTATCTAATATCTTCAAATCATTGCATTTTTTGTTGCCTATCTACTTCAGTGACTTCTAAGTAGCTAAAATCATAGATATATAAATGTTGCAATGGGGGAGAAAGCTGGAATGACTCCCAGTATTTTGATTAAATAAACTTAAGCTAGGACTTAAAGAAACTATGATCTTGGAAAGATAATAAGAGGCATACTTATTTTCAAGAAAAATTCATAAACACAGAAGAAGTAGAAGTTTGTCTTTGTTAGTCATATTTAACAATTCTGACTCAAATAGCAGAAATAGGAGGGATTTAAAACTTTAAAAAATGGTCTACAAATGGCAATTCTATTTAAATTAGCACAGTTAGCTTATTATTCCTCCTCAGCTTCAGCAGATCAGATTTCTCTTGAATACGCCATGCCTTGGAAGGCTGGGATCAACATCTTTGGCAGTCATGTCTGCCATAGTTAGCAGCTCTTGGGTTCTCACAGCTGCCCACTATGTTAGCAACGTGTAAGATTGTGCCTGCCTCTTCTCAACTGTATAACTCATTATCCCATAATTACATTGCTGATGGTGTCTATGTCCAAATTCACTTCTATAATGCATGACCATCTCACTTGTACAGATAACTTTTTTTAGGCTAAAAAGAAATTGTCTCACTGTGTTTGGCTTATAGTACCTCTGTTAGTTAATTCCTCTGCAATCCCATTGTCTATGGACTCTTTATTCATAGATTTCTGATTTCTCCGAAGATGAGCTAGGGACCTTGTGTATCATGACTAAAGCAATATACTGGAAAGCCTGATGTAGACTTAAGGTTGAGGTTTTCTTTTTTTTTTAACTTTTTTTATTATACCTTAAGTTCTAGGGTACATGTGCACAATATGCAGGTTTGTTATATATGTAAACATGTGCCATGTTGGTGTGCTGCACCCATTAACTCATCATTTACTTTAGGTATATCTCCTAACACTATCTCCCTCCCCACTCCCCCCACCCCATGACAGGCCCTGGTGTGTGATGTTCCCCTTCTTGTGTCTAAGTGTTCTCATTGTTCAGTTCCTACCTATGAGTGAGAACATGTGGTGTTTGTTTTTTTTTCCTTGGGATAGTTTGCTGAGAATGATGGTTTCCAGCTTCATCCGTATCCCCACAAAGGACATGAACTCATCCTTTTTATGGCTGCATAGTATTCCATGGTGTATATATGCCACATTGTCTTAATCCAGTCTATCTTTGATGGACATTTGGGTTCATTCCAAGTTTTTGCTGTTGTGACTAGTGCCACAATGAACATACGTGTGTATATTTCTTTATAGCAGCAAGATTTATAATCTTTCATGTATAATCCCAGTAATGGGATGGCTGGGTCAAATGGTATGTCTAGTTCTAGATCCTGGAGGAATGAACAGACACTTCTCAAAAGAAGACATTTATGCAGCCAACAGACACAAGAAAAAATGTTCATCATCACTGGCCATCAGAAAAATGCAAATCACAACCACAATGAGATACCATCTCACACCACTTAGAATGGCAATCATTTAAAAGTCAGGAAACAACAGATGCTGGAGAGGATGTGGAGAAATAGGAACACCTTTACACACTGGTGGGACAGTAAACTAGTTCAACCATTGCGGAAGTTTCAGGTTTTCTAAAGAATGTACTATAATAAATATTTGCCTATGCATACAGGAATCCTGAAGACACTGCTGTGATTCTGGGCCTGAGGCACCCTGGGGCACCAATGAGAGTTGTGAAGGTGTCTACCATTCTACTGCATGAGAGGTGCCAGTTGGTGAATGGGGCAGCAAGGAATGACCTGGCATTGCTACTCCTCCAAGATGTCCAGACTCCCATTTGGCTCTCAGCACCCTTGGGCTATCTGAAGAACCTGAATAGTTCAGAATGCTGGCTGTCTGCACCACAGATTATTATACCAGGTCAGCAGTGAGTTTTCTTATTAGGGTAGCAGTTCTACAAAATGAGGTTCATATTTTTAATATTATGGTTCAAGGAAGAAGTATGATCACAACTGTATAAATTACTAATTATAAGATATTTAATGCACATAAAAAACCCAATATGAAATTTGTTTTCATGTTATAAGTTGATGGTTCTGATGATAACTTCATAGGATTTTAGATCTGAAAACAATTATATGAGTATCTTTCTCTGTACAGTCAATTTTGTAAACTAAAGTAGAGATGATTTGCTTTCCAACTCTTTGGTGACTAAAAAAAAAGGAAAAAGAAGTTTTTGTTTTGTTTTGTTTGTTTTTCCCTCTTTGTGAAAAAGAAGCTGAACTTGACTTGGAATTTGGAATTTCGTAAGTAAAAATTTACTTATTACTTTTGAAGGGTGGCATTTAAAAAGTGATTAAAGAGTGACAGTGCTGTCCACAGTGTCTCACTCCTGTAATTCCAGCACTTTGGGAGCTTGATCTAGGAGAACCCTTTGGGCCCAGGAATGTGATACCCATCTGGGCAATGTAGCAAGACTTCATCACTAAACAACAACAACAAATAGCCTGTTGTGGTGTTGCACACATGTAGTCCCAGCTACATGGGAGGCTGAGACAGGAAGATAGCTTGAGACCGGGAGGTTGAGGCTGCAGTGTGTGAAGATGGTAGCAATGCACTCCAACTTTACGTGGGTGACCACGCAAGAACTTGTCTCAAAAAAAGGGGGCGCTAGTGTGGTGGTTCATGCCTGTAATTCCAGTATTTTGGGAGGATGAGGCCAGTGAATCACCTGAAGTCAGGAGTTTGAGACCAGTCTGACCAACATAGGGAAAACCCATCTCTACTAAAAATATGAAATTAGCTAGGAGTGGTGGTGTGTTCCTGTAATCCCAGTTACCCAGGAGGCTGAGTCAGGAGAATTGCTTGAACCCAAGAGGCAGAGGTTGCAGTGAGATCAGGCCACTGCACTCGAGATGAGTGACAGAGTGAAACACCATCCCCACCCCCCAAAAAAATCAAGGACTAGAAAGCGAATGAAATACATAAACATATCATGTAAAATGGTAATGGTGACAAAATAAACTGAATTTATTTGTATAGGTTATACGTACAAGTTTAAAGTAATGATGACACAGTGATAAGACAGTTCATGGTTTTATCTCAATACTTAGTGTTTAAATGTAACATATGTTCCTTAGGATGGTTATACTCCATTTTTCTTCCTAGGAGAGAATGATGAGTTTCTAGAAATGTTAAAGGTGCAAGTGATGGAAGCTTCCAGCTGTGCCCACCTGTACCCTGACATAGGCAGTTCCATTGTTTGCTTCATTACCCAGGCCAAAGACTCTAATGCAAATGTGTACACAGTCAAATGTTTTTTCTATCTACATGATAGAAAATATAACTTTGTCCCTATGTTAAAGGGTATACAGCATATGCTTAAATGAAAAATTTAAGTGAATCATTGATCAACAGGAAACCATTTTAAAAGTCTTTAATTACAGAAAAAAATCTCTGAAAAAAATTTGTTGTTAATCTCTGAGTTTTCTTACATGGGTTGTTAATCTCTAGCCATACTAAATAGCTAGCATGCTGCACTTGAAACAAATTAGACATTATATATAATTCCCATATTCTAATAATAGTATCTTCACACCTCAAAGTTGAAAACAGTCTAACCTTTTCCTATTTCCCCAATTAAATAACTTTTTAAGGCTTAATCCTCTGATTTTTTTGTAGTAATATTTTCGAATGTATTTGATCAGGATGATTTTCTTGTGTACTTATCTGATGTCTCACTTTCTTCTGAATACATATTTTATTATCCATTTATTAGATGTAAGTTTAAGATGTTGGAACAGGGATTTAAATCCAAATTCTGCATTTGAATTTACAGGAGTCAGTGAGTCCAGGAAGTGCCATTATGTGCAGACCAATATCTGGCAATGGCAGTTGGAGACATATAGGCTTCAATAGTCTCAAAGCCCTAGCTACTACAGTGAGTTCACACTTCTCCTGGATCTTATCTACTTCAGCAAAAGAAGGCCACCCACTAAACCAGGCCCTTATGCCTTGAGCGCAAACTCCTAAGTCCTCTAGTCTCCTTAAACAGCCAACCACACTGCCACTTTCTTCAATAATAATTACTGCAGCCCTGAGACTTTGGTAGCCTAGTGACTATAACTAGTGATGCTACAGTCTGCTCACAGTATGATAAAACACCAGAACAACAAAAACAAAATATTGACTTAAGCCTCCTAAAATATCTCTAAATATACCTTCAATAAATATGCTTTTTCTACATAACAACTGCTTTCTACTTACTTCCTGAACTAATGCTTGGCCTTGGATTGTTTTCATTCTTCAGATTGATTCAGAAGTGTCTATTTAACATGAAAGTGAATACAGAATTTCATGTGTCAGCAAATAAAAATTTCAAAATGATGCAAAATACAAATGTGAAATTGAATTTGTGAACTTTACTATGCTTTCAAATTATGTATTCATACCTACCCACTCACACAATTTTTTATAACTATCTGCATGTTCTCCTCAGGTGGGAGAAAAACAGCATCAGAATTCTTGAATAATTTATGAAAGACAGAATGACGACACTATACAAGGTTTAACCTATTCACAATACTGTAGTGAATGAAAACATTACATTTAAAATCCTACCAAGTGTTGAGTAAGTAAATAAAATATGTGATTTCAATCACTCTAAAATATGTGTACATGAAGAAAATAGAACAATGATTAAAACCTCAGCATAACCAGGCGACTTTTCTCCCACGCGCCGGCCTGGACCCACTTTCCCCAGGCCACTCCCGCTGCCCTCGCCCCAGCAGCCAGAGAATTCTCCGGATCTGCAATATTCCGTACCATCTACCTGGCTTGCGTAATGAAGTGAGACGTTTCATGTGTTCCTTGTGGGTCAATGGCTTGCCACACTCAGGATGTCAGTTAGGGCACAGGGCTCACATGCCAGCATTTCCAAAGGTCACGCAGCCCGCGTGTGCCTGGATGCAGCGCTACCTGGCACTAGCTCTGAGGGCTTCTCAGAGTAGGCTTACCCCGGGAGGCTGGGACTGCAGGCCAGCCTTGGTTGGTGCCGCCCAGGGAGATGCGCACCGCCTCGCACTGATTGGCCGCAGGGGGAGGCTGGCGGTCTTGGCGCGGCTCCAGGTGCCCTTTGAGTGCAGTCCGTTAGGTGGCGCCTGGAAGCCAGGTGCATGCGCCCTGAGTTCCCGCCCACCCACAGGCTACAGAAAGGGCAGCGCAGGGTTCCTGTGCTATGGGTCGGGCTGCACAGGCGGTGGTCTATGGGAGTCCGGAGAAGGACACCGTCTTCAGGGTGCACCGTCTTCACTCTGCCCGAGGCGCAGAGGGAGGAGGCAACCTTGAAGCAGGAGACAGTGCTGGTGTTGGATGACATAATGGCGGAGGTGGGGGTGATGGCCGAGGAGGAGGCCCTCGTGGAGCGGCAGAAGGACCAGCGGGCACAGCCTGGCCCTGGGCCCATGACCCCAGAGTCTGCACTGGAGGAGCTGCTGGCCGTTCGGGTGGGGCTGGAGCTGGTTAATGCCCAAGCCAGGAAGGCCTTTTCTCGGCAGCGGGAAAAGATGGAGCGGAGGTGCAAGCCCCACCTGGACCGCAGAGGGGCCATCATCCAGAGCATCCCTGGCTTCTGGGCCAATGTTGTATCCTTTTCAGTGTTTCTTCTGCCTTTCTAGTTGAGAGGTGCTCTTGGGGAAGTGTAAGTAACTTACGGGCAGCTCGGCATCTATCAATTTTTGAGAAACTTATACAAGTCTCAGCTAAACAGCTGGCACTGGACCACTGCCCTTTCAGCTGCCTGTTGCTGACTTCTTTCGTTAGATAATATCCCCCAGGCAGCAACTGCTTGTGTCACCCTGCCTCCACTTGATATCCTAAAGACCAATATCTACTGTTTAAAACACTTTAAGTCTTAGATATAGCATAAAGGGTTTATGGGATACAAAACAACAGTCGGACACAAGAGATTCAGTCATTCTTTTTTAAACTTTTGTTTGTAAGTATTTTGTAGTTTATCTTATCAGAAGTGAGAGACCAAGAGAGTAAAAACACTGCTTCCTTTTCATCCACCCTAATGCATCTCAAACATATGTCTCATCACTTGCTTTGTATGAGATGTCTGTATATGAGCTCCCATAAAATGTTGCATAATTTATACAAGCAAATGGTCCCATGAAACAATATTAATTTTTAAAGATAAATCCACATTCAAAAGTAAAGATTTTCAAAACCAGAAATAATTTACAGAAATGCTAAAAAATGTGGCATAATTATCATAATGTGGAAATGGAAATTCAGACAAACTTTCACATTGTTACTGAGAGTACTTTTCCTTGAAGACCTACAGTTCTGGCTATCTGCATTCCAGGAATATTTTTCTTATTTTTTATCATCTCATAACCAAATGGCCAACTAGGTTAGATTTTCCATGATACAGTGTTTGACTGAAGAGTCAATAACCCTTGCAACAGAGAACATCCTTAGAAATTAGTTGACCAAAGTCTCAAGTTTCCCAAGGCCAGTCCTTAGGGTTCAATCTCAGACTGTAATAGTGTTTTCTGCAGAACAGTGTCTTTAAGTAGGCAGTTATTTTCACATTTATAATCTGTTGGTGGAAACTCTGGTCCTAAAGTAAGAGCAGAAGATGCATCTCTCCTTTCATGACAAGTTTGACACTCAGGAGATGATAAACTTATAGGAAAAAAATTATTTTCTCCATTTTTCTTTGGCCATTTATTCCCAGAAGAAATTAGAATAAATATATGAATGATATTTAAAAACATTTTGGAAAAAATTAAAGAATATATTAAGAAACAAAACTTTTGCCAGTATCAGTCTTTGACAAAAAAGTTAACCATTTTAACTATAAAGTATAAATGTATTTACAAATAAAGTGATGCATAGGGAAATGTTTCTTGCATTGTACACACTTTCTCCAGTGATGTCCTAGCCACTCGTTTAAAATGGGTCATTGATTGAATTACAACTATAACCTTAATGCAAATAGTACAGTAGAAAGTTTTTTAAAACAGAACACATGTACACAACAGTTGGTCTTCCAGTTGCACAGTTTTTTTTTATGCATGTGTGTATGTCTATGTAATTTTATATACTTATAGAGATTAGATTTTGGGCAAGCAATTAGAAGTAACCAGATTTTCTTTGTAATAAGAAGGAAAATGTTTAAATTGAAATTTTAGTTGAACAGTAAAACTGTATAAGAATTTACACTGCTCAGGGAAAAGATGTATTGTGTTTTGCAGACTGAAAGAGTTCTTTCCTGAGTAACCCAGTGTTGGTATTCACTGCAGAAATAGATTTGTTTTGGTAGACCCCTCTAACCAGCTACCTGCAGAGAAGGAAATCCTGCTGAACAGAATTATAAATAGAATAGTTAAATATTCTTTCATTTCAGTGAAGCGTTCACATACGATATTCTCTTTTATTCATTTATAAACATTTATATTTAATACATTTCCCAAAAAAATAAAGTAATTATAAAAATTAACAAGAGATTTGTATATTCCTTATTTAAAATTTTTAGCCTATTCAAATATAAGAAGTCCACTCTGAAATGCCTGAAGATGATATATGAAATGAATAAGAAAAGAAAATACAGCAGAATGTACCAGATGTTTTTTGTGTGTTGGATGTACATATATCTGTTAGCTTTTAGTGGCAGACAGAGTGCAGTCTACATAATTTTATTCATAATAGATGCCTATGCATCATACATTCACACATAAATATTATTTCTCTGAAGATTGAAATAGAAAGCTAGGAGAATACAACATGACACATATGCTGAATTACATATAAGCAAGTGTGAATTATGTAGTTAAATGATCTCTTCACCAGTCTTCTTCTCACTCTCTCACTGGGTAGTCTAAGGATTAATTAAAGTTCCTCAGCTCTTTCAAGCTAAGAAACAGTATGTAAGTGCTATGCATTATCATGGTAACACAAGAGGGAGGTATAAGTGATTTATAACTTCACAGGCTCTGTGAAATGTGTCTAGCCTGATAGGTTTTTCTAACAGTGTTTTATGGATTGGAAAGTGCTTATCAGATTTGAAGATGGAATTTGCTCTATTAAAATCATGCTAATCTGCAAAACCAATCTTTGTTCTATATGTATGTAGAGTGATGTTTCTCAAAATAGAAGAAAACTTGGGATATGATTTCGGAGGTAATATAATAAGGTAGAATGGTGACATGAATTATAACTTATCTATTATTGTTTGACTCAGCTGATGCTCTCTTAATTAGGGCAACTGAAGTCTAATTAATTTGCATAAGGTAGCCATCCCATTTTTATACTTTTAAAGACAGTCAGGAGACATCACCGTTTCCACAAAGCTTATATAGATTTTATTAGCATGTTTCAATTACGTATCACTGCAATAATGTCAATTCTGTAATGTAACATATTATTTCCTTTAGTAGTGTATTTATTTTATTTGTATTTCATTTTTAGTATAGATTCAGAGAGTACATGTGCAGGCTTGTTACAAAGGCATATTGTGTGATGCCGATGTTTAGTCTTCTGTTGATCCCATCACCCAGATACCGAACTTTGTACCCAATAGGAAGATTTTCAGCCCCTGCCTCTCTCCCTCTGTCCCACTTTGGAGTCCCACTGTATAATGTTCCTGTCTTTATTTCTGTGTGCACCTAAGTTTAAGCTCTTTTTCATAATTGAGAATATTCAATATTTGTTTCATAATTGAGAATATTCAATATTTGTTTTTCTGTTTCCTCATTAATTTGCTTAGGTTAATAACACAGCTAAGTCCGTGTTGCTGTAAAGGAGATGATTTTGTTCTTTTTATGGCTGTGTGCTAGTACAGGGTTCATATGTACCACATTTTCTTTATCCCATCCACCATGGATGGGCTCCTAGGTTAACCTCGTGTCTTCGCTATGGTGATGAATATGAGATTTCCTGTGTCTTTTTGGTAGCTTTAATGATTTATTTTCCTTTGAGCATATACTGAGTAATATGATTGCTGGGTGGAATGGTAGTTCTATTGTTAGTTCTTTTAGAAATCCCCAAACTGCTTTCCACAGTGACTGAACATTCTTACCACCAGTGTATAAGAGTTCCTTGTTCCCTGCAGCCTTGCCCACATACATCATTCTTATTATTTTCGCTTTTTAATAATAATAGTCATTCTGACTTGGTATGAGATGGTATCTTGTTGTGATTTTGATTTGGATTTCTCTGATGATCAGTGATGTTGAGCACTTTTCTTATGTTTCTTGGCCACTAGTATGTCTTAAGAAGATATTTTTAAAATTTTCTCTCATTATGTAGGTTGCCTTTTCACTCTGATAGTGGTTTCTTTTGCTGTGCAGAAACTCTTTAGTTTAATTAGATCCCATTTGTCAATTTTGGCTTTTGTTGCCATTGCTTTTGGTGTTTTAGACATGAAGTCCTTGCCCATGCCTATGTCCTGAATGGTATTGCCTAGGTTTTCTTCTAGGGTTTTTATGGTTTTAGGTCTAACATGTAAGTCTTTAATCCATCTTGAATTAATTTTTGTATAAGGTGAAGGAAGGGATTCAGTTTCAGCTTTCTACATATGGCTAGCCAGTTTTCCCAGCACCATTTATTAAATAGGGAATCCTTTCCCCATTGCTTGTTTTTGTCAGGTTTGTCAAAGATCAGATAGTTGTAGATAAGTGGCATTATTTCTGAGGGATCTGTTCTGTTCCATTGGTCTATATCTCTGTTTTGATACCAGTACCATGCTGTTTTGGTTACTGTAGCCTTGTAGTATAGCTCGAAGTCAGGTAGCATGATGCCTCCAGCTTTGTTCTTTTGGCTTAGGATTGACTTGGCAATGCGGGCTCTTTTCTGGTTCCATATGAACTTTAAAGTACTTTTTTCCAATTCTGTGAAGAAAGTCATTGGTAGCTTGATGGGGATGGCATTGAATCTATAAATGACCTTGGGCAGCATGGCCATTTTCACGATATTGATTCTTCCTACCCATGAGCATGGAATGTTCTTCCATTTGTTTGTATCCTGTTTTATTTCATTGAGCAGTGGTTTGTAGTTCTCCTTGAAGAGGTCCTTCACGTCCCTTGTAAATTGGATTCCTAGGTATTTTATTTTCTTTGAAGCAATTGTGAATGGGAGTTCACTCATGATTTGGCTCTCTGTTTGTCTGTTATTGGTGTATAAGAATGCTTGTGATTTTTGCACATTGATTTTGTATCCTGAGACTTTGCTGAAGTTGCTTATCAGCTTAAGGAGATTTTGGGCTGACATTATAGGGTTTTCTAGATATACAATCATGTCATCTGCAAAAAGGGACAACTTGACTTCCTTTTTTCCTAATTGAATGCCCTTTATTTCATTCTCCTGCCTGATTGTCCTGGCCAGAACTTCCAACACTATGTTGAATAGGAGTGGTGAGAGAGGGCATCCCTGTCTTTTGCCAGTTTTCAAGGGAATGCTTCCAGTTTCTGTCCATTCAGTATGATATTGGCTGTGGGTTTATCATAGATAGCTCTTATTATTTTGAGATACATCCCATCAATACCTAATTTATTGAGAGTTTTTAGCATGAAGGGTTGCTGAATTTTGTCAAAGGCCTTTTCTGCATCTATTGAGATAATCATGTGGTTTTTGTATTTGGTTCTGTTTATATGCTGGATTATGTTTATTGATTTTCATATGTTGAACTAGTCTTGCGTCCCAGGGATGAAGCCCACTTGATCATGGTGGATAAGCTTTTTGATGTATTGCTGGATTCGGTTTGCCAGTATTTTACTGAGGATTTTTGCATCAATACTCATCAAGGATATTGGTCTAAAATTCTCTTTTTTTGTTGTGTCTCTGCCAGGCTTTGGTATCAGGATGATGCTGGCCTCATAAAATGAGTTAGAGATGATTCCCTCTTTTTATATTGATTGAAATAGTTTCAGAAGGAATGGTACCAGCTCCTCCTTGTACCTCTGGGAGAAAATTTTTGCAACCTACTCATCTGACAAAGGGCTAATATCCAGAATCTACAATGAACTCAACATATTTACAAGAAAAAACATAAAACCCCATCAAAAAGTGGGCAAAGGATATGAACAGACATTTCTCAAAAGAAGACATTTATGCAGCCAAAAAACACATGAAAAAATGCTCATCATCACTGGCCATCAGAGAAATGCAAATCAAAACCACAATGAGATACCATCTCACACCAGTTAGAATGGCGATCATTGAAATGTCAGGAAACAACAGGTGCTGGAGAGGATGTGGAGAAATAGGAATACTTTTATACTGTTGGTAGGACTGTAAACTAGTTCAACCATTGTGGAAGTCGGTGTGGCAATTCCTCAGGGATCTAGAAATACCATTTGACCCACCAATCCCATTACTGGGTATATACCCAAAGGATTATAAATCATGCTGCTATAAAGACACATGCACACGTATGTTTATTGCGGCACTATTCACAATAGCAAAGACTTGGAACCAACCCAAATGTCCAACAGTGATAGACTGGATTAAGAAAATGTGGCACATATACACCATGGAATACTATGCAGCCATAAAAAATGATGAGTTCATGTCCTTTGTAGGCACATGGATGAAGCTGGAAACCATCATTCTCAGCAAACTATTGCAAGGACAAAAAACCAAACACCACATGTTCTCACTCATAGGTGGGAATTGAACAATGAGAATGCATGGACATAGGAAGGAGAACGTCACACACCGGGGACTGTTGTGGGGTAGGGGGAGCGGGGAGGGATAGCATTAGGAGATATACCTAACGCTAAATGAGGAGTTAATGGGTGCAGCACACCAACATGGCACATGTATACATATGTAACAAACCTGCACATTGTGCACTTGTATCCTAAAACTTGAAGTATAATAATAATAAAAAAGAAGATATTTTAAATAAACATACAAATGTTTCCTCTACTTATACATGAAATTCTGCCTGTGTCCTTCTCTCTTCTACTACGTGATTTTACATGGATAATGAGTCAAAAAATGTGAAGTGCTGGTAATATATTTTATCTCACACTTGTAAAATGTTTTTCTTTGAAAATACCACTTGTTCTAATTTTTAATTTTTTTAATTTCTTGGAAGTGACAATTGAGACAAGGAAATTGTAAAGCAATTACTTCACAAGGTGATTGCAATGTAAATGGTATTATAAAATTATTTGGTTTTGAGGAAAATTTAAAAAGATATAGAAATACAAAATAATATAACAAATACCAATTTAACCCCACTTAAAAATAGCAGCTATTAATATATTCCTTTTTCTACTTACATTACCTCTGGTTGTAATTGGAATATTCGCCCTCAGGTTAGTTTCCTTTTTACCATTTCTTAGGCACCATTATCAGGAACTGGTATTATATTCATATTTTTAAAATTTATTAAAATATTTATTTCTGAATAATACTGGTGTTTTGTGAATTTTGAGTGTTTATGTCAATATTATAATGTGTGTATTATTTCACATTTTTTTTCTGTTAAGATTCTTGTTGACAGCTGCCATTATTGATGGCATAGTTCGCAGTCTACTGAATTCTTATGTTCCATGATGGCTTTATTGAAATGCTACAATGAAAAACCTTCCCTATCCCTCCAGTTACACATATGTGAGAGTTTCTAATGAATATACTAGAAGAATGTCAGGACTGCAGTGTGTGTACAGTTTTAATTTTGAGGAGATAAAATATTCTCATTAGCTCCCTGGACTACCACTTTATTACTATTGTTGATCCATGCTAATCAGCTTAGCATATGTCTTAGATTTTTCATTTTTAGTGAAGTATTATTATAAGTTACATTAATTAGAACCAGCATGTGTGTGCTAAATGTTCATTTTGTTTAACAATTACAGCTTGTCAGGCCTCTATCAGTATGTGAGAAAAATAAAATGTTAACAGAACGATGACTTTAGTGTGGGGATAATCTGAAAATCAACTTTAGTTTCCTGACACAGTTCACACAAAACATAGATCCTGCTACTTTTCAAGGACTGCATGTAGCAGACTGAGTGACGGTAAATCAATATGCACTGAATCAGTAGTAGCTAGGGATGAGTAGTTTCTTCCAATCTTGCCTGGTGATGGAAGAAGTATTTGACATGGTTTATTTTTTGTTTTGTTTTGTTTTCTTTCTATGTGGTCCACTTATATGACACTCCCAGATCATCGTGTGGTAGGTTTGGGGAAAATGAAGGAAATAATAGGCTAGATATACGTAAATTATGTGCTAGAAATAGAAGCTTAACACACAGAGCATAGTTAATTGGTCTGGCCACAGTGGTTTTGTCATCTCTCATATACCTACAACTATTTATGGGCTGCTTGCTAATGACTATTTTACAAAAATCTGTTTCAGCAGCAATGGTTGAAAAATGCAAGTAGGTATTTAATTAAAAACTTCTCAATTTCCCTTTAAATCAAATTATGGGTTGAAAAGTGCCAATAAACAAATGATGTAATCATAAAGCCTTGTATTCCATGTTAGAACCACAAGGCTAAAAGTGATATCCTGAAATCCAGCATATAGAAAGCTGAGGGGAAAAAGCAGCTGCTATTTCAGAAGGTAATACTTAGTTACATTAAGAAAACTGTGCCTGAAGATGACATTTTCACAGGTTTAGTATGTGAATTCGGAAAAATTAAGCATATAATTCTGAGATGCAGGGCTTTTTATTTACATCAAATTACTATTTTTTAAAAAATCAATTGTGTATATATTTTAATTCTAATTTTTTTGCAGTTAAGAAATATGCATCAGTAATTGTTAGTATGTTAGCTCCATTAGCTACAGAAGAAATTCCAAAAGAATTCAATAATGACATTTAGATGTTTCAAACAGAAAATTAAATTAAAAATGGTTTGAACATTTAGTCAATCATTGGAATTAAAATAAAGCTCTTGAAATTTTATTGTGCGAGAAATAAAACATTGAATAATGTGACAAATGATTTTTAATGTTCAGTTACACTAAACATTGTTGATAACTTTTATTGGTAACAAGAAGCAACTTTGGAAAAGCTTGCAAGTAACTTTATTTTAAAAACCAATATAAAATTGAAAGAAATGCATTTTCCAGAAAAGAACTATGGATAATTATTGATAAGAAACAGATCAGTTCATATAAATATGTTCCGGGGTCATTATTCTGCCTACTATTTCTAATGTTTAAATAATAAATGTAAAGAAGCTATTTTTCTGTTTTGCTTGAAGATATGTAATTGTGGTTTTAAATTTTTGAAGGAATTTCATTTTCAAAAATAGTTGGAAGATAACTATGTAATAGATCCATCGATATAGTAAAAACAATTTGCCTGTAAGGAAATAATATACTAAATAATAAATGGTTTTGTATATGTTAGGACTCTTTTATCCTAAAAAAAATTTCCGTTGGAACAATAACCCTTGTAGTCACCCTAATTTTACTAAATATCATTAGATAGTCCTGTGGATTGATGGAAAAAATTACACTTTTCTTACATTCTTGACTCCACTCAGTGTTATTATTTTAATAGTTGCCAAGCTAATGAAGGAAAGTTAGAACCTAATGTGGTTTTGATTTATATCCCTGGATTACTAATGAGCTCAAGCATCTAGTCATTTTTCGTTGGTCATTTGACTTTCCTCTTTTCTGAAAAAGATCTAACTACTTACCTGTACTGCTTTTTCCTTCTCCTGGGCTAGATTGTATATATTTTTTCTTGTATATTTGTAAGAGTTATTTTTATTATTTTGGATACTGGTATTTTTATTTATATTTTTCTTAGTGATTTTTCTTGAGTTTTATAAACACTCAAGATAGTTTTTAGAATTTATGATCTGAAGATTTTCAAAAGGCTAACTCAGAAGTCATTTGTGGCTATGATGCTAACTTCAAATGAAAAAATAATTTTGCCACTTTAGCAAAACATACTTTAAAGATACTAATTAGAAAGCACTGAAGTGCTTAATTATGTCTTTTTCATAAAACTCATCTAAATAGTCATTTCAATAAAATCATTTACCCTTATAGTAAGAACAAATTATTAAATGTTGATTACCTAGCTCCTGCATGGTTTTCTAAATATCTCACAATTGTCATTTGTTAATAATCTCTTAGCATACTTGTTAGAATTACTGGTTCTCCAGGTCTCATTTCAGATGATTGAACCAGGATTTTGAAGGAAAATAGCTGGAAGTATCTGGACATATATTTTATGACCCACATAATTATTTGGGGTTGTTTGTGAAACTTTGGTCTCACACATAAGAGAAAGTAAAAAAATAACAAAACAAAACAAACAAAAAAAACCCAAAACACAAAAAAAATAAAAAACACACACACACACACACACACACACACACACACAAGAACATCAAGTCAGGAGTCAGGAATAAATACCTTATCCTTCCCTCACTCCAGGCTTCTCAAGTTGTATGCCCCTAAATGCATTTTCATTCTTGGCAAATACTACTCCAACTATCTAGCACTTCAGAGTAGTAATTAACCTGTTAGTTTGCAATTTAGCAAAAAATAAGAAACCTATTTCTTAACATTTTCTTTAGGATCATATTTCTAGCTATACCCTGTGTGTCAGTTAATGCTATGTATGGCTATAAAATAGCAGTATTTAACAAAAATATTTGACCACTGCAGCAAAATTACCTTCTGTAAATGATCCACTGCTACTAAGATTAACTGACAATTTGGAGATTGTACTGGCATTTTGAATTTCATACATTCAAGGAAGATTGGAAAGCATCTTCAGATGCCATTGTCTATAATGATAATAGTTAATAATCATATTAACTTCCAAATTTTTCTGTGTTAAAGCAGGTGTGCAGGTATTGGATGAACAGGTAGGCCACTACTGTGGTTAGAGTTGTAAAAGTTTTGGTGAAATTGCACATGACAGCATCTCCACAGAAAATTTAGATTTTGGCACAGCTAGGAGAGGTGGAAGAAAATGACGTTTTTGTTGTTGTTGTTGTTTTTAATGATTCCCCATCTGGATCTTAAAGGGAGATAGCACAATATTGTGGAAAGAGGTATTTTTGTAATCTGAAATTAGACTTTAAGAGAAGTTAAGTATTTTGAGACCCAAATTTCAGACATATGAAGTGGGGTCTAAAATATCTAGTACCTGTATATGTAGTTATAAAGATCATGTAATGATGGATTCTATTTGCCTTGTACTTGTCTGTAAAACAAAGCCCTCATTTAATTGTGTTACTTAACATAGCTTCATGTGGGCATTTTTAAGGAACATTTATCTCGTGATAAATAAAATAGTAATATTTGCAGAGAATGGTACTTTCTCCAACATTGATATTGCAGAGCTCCAGCTGTTCTGTAGAGAAACTGACACAAATTGAAAAAAAAAAAGGATGATTGAAGGTTGTTTAGGGGCCAGTCATTATTTACTGAGACTATATAATTCTCAGAGGGGACACACAACCTGTGAAGAGTTGGATGTGAATGATGAAGAGTCATTGAGAAAAGGCTGCCTGAAGAATCATCCTCTACATTTCTAGCTTGAAACACAGGGTATTTGGTGCTGTGAATTTCTGAAATAGTGGAATACTGTAGGAGGAAACAT
This sequence comes from Homo sapiens, assembly GCF_000001405.40. Lineage (NCBI taxonomy): Eukaryota > Metazoa > Chordata > Mammalia > Primates > Hominidae > Homo > Homo sapiens. The sequence goes on along the minus strand of NC_000024.10, from coordinate 9,629,295 downwards.
GTTTGGAGGATGAAATGAAGATCTGGTTTTGTTAGTGGAGATGTAAGGCATGCAGTTGGATATGCCAAGTCTGAAGGTCAGAACAAAGATCTGGCCTGAAACTGGGAATTTGTTAATGGTCAGCACAAAAAGGGTGTTTTAGCCTTGAGAAAACCCAAGAGGATCCATGACTGAGACCTGAACAATGTCACCACCTACAGATTTAGTAAAGATGTCAACAAAATACAGACCAAAGTTCATATTAAAATTAATGGGAACAGTCAAACTACTTAGTGAGTGGTATTCAGTCAACTAGCATTTAGCTAGTTATTGGCTAGCAAATTTGGGGGAAAAATGTATAAAGAATCTTTGATTAGGTTTCCAAATATACAAAATAAAAGCCACTCACATGTTAGAAGTCAATATACAAAATTATATTATGTTAATGGTACTATTTAGTGCTAATAGAGAAAAATGAAAATTATTCTGAATTAAATCAATAGACAATGTATTTTCTATCGTTGTCTTTGTTTTCTTCTCAATTTATTTGTGTGTCATTTTAACTCACTAAGCAATGACTCCTCTTAATCCCATTACTTTTTATTTAACACTGCATTTGTTTTTCATGTGTACAATATCATACTGCCCAATAGAGAGGAAATGCAGAATTTGGGCTATTATATCAGAAACATCTTTGCTTTTCAGATTTGGACTTCTGGAGTGTGGTTAATTTAAGTATTCTCATCAGGCCTTGATATTTCAGATTTCCATAATCACTTCTCCAAAATAAACAATGTCTGAAGGTGATGACTACAATAAAATTAAAATTATACTGGCTTTTAAGATAATTATGTTTATGTAAATGTGACGCCTTTTTTGGGGGGGTGGGGTGGAGAAAAAGTTTTGCTCTTGTGGCCCAGGCTGGATTGCAGTGGTCTGATATTGGCTTACTGCAACCTCCACCTCATGGGTTCAACTAATTCTCCTGCCTCAGCCTCCCGAGTAGCTGGGATTCCAGGCACTTGCCACCATACCTGGCTAATTTTTGAATATTTAGTAGAGATGGGGTTTCACTATGTTGACCAGGCTGGTCCTGAACTTCTGACATCTGGTAATCTACCTGCCTTGCCTACCCAAGTGTGCAGATTACAAGCATGAGCCATGCCTCCTAGCCTTCAAATTACATTTTCATACACACTCACTCACACAATTTTTTGTAACTATCTGCATGTTCTCCTCAGGTGGGGGAAAAACAGTAACAGAGTTATTGAAGAATATATGAAAGAAAGAATAACAGTACTACACAAGGTTGAACCTATTCACAATACTGTATTTAGTGAATAAAAATATTACTTTTAAAATCCTACTACAGTATTCAGTAAATAAATAAAATATATTATTTCAGTAACTCTAAAATACATGTACATGAAGAAAATAGAACAAGCGTTCAAATACATAAAAAAACAAATGAGGCCAGGCATGGTTGCTCACACTTGTAAGCCCAGCATTTTGGTATGCCAAGTCAGGTGGATCACTTGAGGTCAGGAGTTTGAGAGCAGCCTGGCAAATATGGTGAAACCCAGTCTTGACTAAAAATACAAAAATTAGCTGGACATGGGGGCATGTGACTGTAATCCTAGCTCCTCAGCAGGCTGAGGCAGGGGAATTGCTTGAATCTGGGAGGCACAGTTTGAGGCGAGTGGAGATCCTGCCAATTCACTCCAGCCTGGATGACAGAGCAAGACTCCATCTCAAAACACACACACACACACACACACACACACACAGAATAACCAATGAAAATAAAAATTTTGTACTAGAAAAGGTACTCACAGCCAAACTCACATATCTAACAGAAAAAAAAAGTCCTTTAAAAATTCCACAAGAGGCAAATAAGAAAACAAATTTATCACCTTGCATATAAAGTTCAAATAATAAACTGAAGAGAACCACAGGAGAAAAAATTCAAAATTTACAAGTAAGTACTCTAAAAGAAGCTAAAAGTCACTCAAAAATTTTCGGATTCTATGTCTGTACATTGCAAACATGACCATAAAATTTGCCAGGAGCAGAACAATCAAAATGTATCTTAAAATTCAATAAACACTTCAAGTCTCACATAAGAATTGTAATGGAAAATGGATGCATCTGCAGTATTTCCATACAAATCTGAACAAACAGTATTTCTTCTTACTCATTGTTTCACTATTCCAAGAAAATAACTTCCATATTAATATTAGGGGATGTGACAAAGCAGGTCTTCATCATGATAAGTAACACTGGGTGTCCACACCAGTACTCAGGTGGGCCTTAATTCCCCACCAGTTTCCCTCCCTGGACACACACTGAAGGTCCCCAGCTATTTTGCAGTCTCTTCACATTTCCTCCCCTGTAAGCCCAGTGTGGTCCTTCAGATTCCCTGTGCAGTGGCCTCTCGTCTGGAGGAGTGGGCCAGTGTGAGTGAGGATGGCAGAGGGGAGTAAACATGTCAGGGGAGCCTGGGATCATTGTAACTGAAAATGATGGGCCTGGGAGAGCCATTCTGGGAGGACACAGAGACTGGCCCTGGGGGACATCTGTGTGGAGGGTGAGAGAGAGTGAGAGAGCCCAAACTGAGCACCAAGTGGTAGCCGGCCTCAGGGCAGGGAAAAGAGCGGGCAGGGATGATGAGACAGCTATCCCTTGAGCCTTGCTTCTCACCCACTGGCCTTAAACACTTATGCCCCTTAGGAGGCTTCAGGTGCCCCAATCCTAAAATGTGGGTGTTACAGTTCTCTGATGGCCATTTCTCCACCACCCCTTGAATGGCTTGGGATTGCTCACTGCAGTCACCTCCCTGAGGCTCAGATTCTCCATGTGGGGCACAACTCCAGGAATCAAAGGCCTCTCAGTCCCCAGCCCTAGACTGCTCACCTGACCTCCTCTCTGTTCCCTCTCTAATGGCCTCCCTCCATTGGAATGTACGCAGGGTATTGAGCACAGGCCCTGGCTGACGATCTGGGGGACTGCAGACGGGGCTACAGGACAAATCAGGTCATGGCTCAAAGCCAATTACCCAGAGGTGAAGGAATGACCAGCAAGGTTCTTTTCCATGATGCCCCACCATGGTGCCTACCTCAGCTATTCTGCCAGAACCTGGGCACCCATGGTCAGCCAACCAGCTGAAAAAGCTCAGGTAGGAGGTGTAACTGCCTGCAGCATTGACCTTCAGGATGCCACAACCACTGGACTGCAGTGGAATGAGATACCCTGTATCCTAGAGAGAGAGGAGACAGACAGGTTCATGCCAGACCCACCCTCCCATACTCCACCTCCCCTATTATGCTGGGAGGCCCTCCTTACAGAGGATGCCAACACAATATCCCTTAATGATACCTTCATTGTGGAAATAAAGGTTATGATGAAAGGAAAACTTCATCCTGCCACTGGTACTCAGGATGGCTGTGTTCCTCTCCCTACCTGGCCAAGAAGAAGAAAGAGGACGGACTCAAAGGACCATTTCATGTAGCTAGGCTGAGTTTCATGGAGTTTCACTGAGTTAGCTGGAGTGAAGAACGCGTTTCCCCTTTCCAGCTCTCCCGCTGAGACACCCCGCGGCCCCAGAGCGACCTCAAACTCACTCAGAAACTGAATCCCTCCTGCAGACCCAGGTTCCTTAGCCTGACCTACAAATCCGTCAAGTAGCTTAGGAAGACTGACTTCATTATCATTTGTGATCCTGGCCAACATCTGCGTGTGCCGCACAATCTGCCTCTGGTCAAGGAGCCGCCAGATGACTGGGTGGGCATGCAAGGAGACACCCTGCAACTTTGCAAGAGCACGGAGAGTGTGGGGCAGGGCTACCTCGCAGGACTTTGGTCTAGCACCTTCCCTTCCTGGTCCTTTGTCTCTGTCTGGCATGGGGGGCACCATCGCGGCTGTGGTGGTCTTGGCCGCCCAGACAGCGTGCTCTGACCAGGGTCAGACACAGAAGAAGTGGTCAGGGGGTTGTGGGCGGGGTATTGTGGTGTCAGGCGGCTACTTGCTCAGAGTTCCTGAGCTGCAGGAGGCCCTCGTGTGCTGGGTGCTGGACAGCTTCTGCTGCTGTCCGGATGTGCGCTCTCCCCTTCTCCTGGTCTCCCTGAGGGGTGGGCTTGTACACACGAGGGAACCTCTGTGGGTAGAAGTGGCTGCAGGGCTATGCCTGGCTCTCCCCATGGGGCTCGTGTGGGTTCAGGGGAGGTTATATATGCTCAGGGCCTACACGTCTTTGGGTGCAGTGCCGGGGGAGGGAAGAAATCCTGTCTTGGGAGCTGTTGCCTGCCTTGCAGGGTACAGCAGCCCTGTGCACTGTGAACCCAAGTCTTGAGCACCTTGTGTTTCTGGGGTGAGTCTGCTGGACACAGGCATGGGGAGCAGGAGTAGTTCCATGGCTGGCATGGGCATGCAGACTCCCTTTCCTGCAGGGACTTTCCCAGTGAAACCTGTCCTTCAACTTTCTGCTGTTTATGAAGGGTCCTTTGCGCTGTTATTCTCCCTTGTGTGTGTTGTGCTTGGCTTCCTGTTCTTACCACGTGCCCTCAGGGCACCCGCAAGCAAGCTGCCCTCCTATCTGCAGGAGCCTGTCCTCGGTTGCCATCCTTGTCCCCCAGCCCCTGAATCTTGCTGACCCCTGGTGCCTACCACCATGCTTCTCCCAAACCCTCTCCCGGGAGCTTGATGCCCACCCGCTGCTGCCAGCCACGCTGAATTGGCAGCTGCAAAGATATGGCTCTGGCCCAGAAGTAGGGGATGCCCTGCAGCCTGCGGCATTCACGGAGTCCAGCTCCAAGTGAAGGACGTCCAGAGAGTCTGTTGTGGGCCGTGGCGTACTGGGGCCTGGGCCAGGCTATGCCTGCTAGTCCTCCAACTGCCGCTCCACATTGGCCTCCTTGGTCACCACCTCCATCTCTGCCATGGTGTCATCCCCCACTGCCATGCCTCCTCCCGCAGGGTTGCCTCCCTGCTCTCACACAGTCCGCCCTCTCCTGCAGAGCCTAAAGCCTTAACACAGTGCCCTCCTTGAGGCTCCCACAGATTAAGGCCTGCACCCCCCATCTCACCTCCCTAGCACCCCTAGACTCTAGAGGAAGCTCCCGGAGGAGCCCGCCGGCCTAGCCCTGCTGAGAACCACGTCTCACACCTAGGTGTATACAGGGCTCCTGGGGAGCTCCTCAGGGCCCACAGCCTGCCGCGCTCTTCATGGGGCCCAGACACCCAGCAGGGTTACCTGCGCACAGTAGCCCTGGAGTCGGAGGCCGAGGCCCTGGGCTTCCAGAGCCCCGCTAGCAGGCACTACGGCTGCTACTGCTCTTGCAGGAGACTCTGCGCCAGCAAAGCAGTGCACATGGGTCATCGAATGGGGGACCATGGCGGCTGGCCTCCCGTGTGCCCAGGGCACAGGATGAGAGGTCCTTTGGAATGCCCCTGTGAGTAGAGTATCCTCAGGGAGGAAGTGTGGAATTCGGAGTCTGCATTTGCCTAGACCTGAGAGTCCTTGTGGGGTTTTGGCTTCTGGTGCAGATGAAATCCACCCCAGCAATGTACCAGTCGACTTTCCTCCCACGTACCAGCCCTGCCCAACCGCCCCCTAGCCACCACTGCTGCCCTCGCCCTAGCAGGCGGCTCTGGTCCCTCTCTCTCTCCTCTGGATCTGCAATATTCAGTACCATCAGCCTAGCCTGCCTAATGAAGTGAGGTGTTTCATGTGTTCCCTGTGGATCAATGTTTTGCCACACTCAGCATGCCAGTTAGGGTGTAGGCCTTCCATGCCCACAATTCCAAACGGCTCACAGTCCGCGTGTGAATGAATCCACCGCCGCGCGGCACAAGCAGCTTCTCAGGGGATGCTTACCAGGGGAGGCTGGAGCTGTGGGACAGGAAGGGGCGGGGCACCTCGGGAGACACCTACAGCCCTCGCAATAATTGGCCGATGCCCACCGCCCTTGCAATGATTGGCCACTGGAGGTAGGCAGGATTTCCGGGAATGGTTTCTCCCGTCCTTCCAGCTCAGGCCAGCTCCAGGTGTCCTTCCTGCAGTTGGCCCTGTAGTGTCCCAAAACAGGATGCATAGGACCAGAGGCCCGGATCCTGAGGCTGTTTGTCCTACTGAAAAGCACCTCCACTTTCTGTTTCTCTGGACAGGTTGGTCTCTCGGCAAGAATAGAAAGCAAACTTTTGGGATTTTGTCTGTAAAAGGGGATGGGTTTTCCATGTGCGGGTGTTGAATTGTGGGAGGAGACAATAGGGAAAGAACTCCTTAGTACTATTAACTCATTTTTGTTAAACTCACTGATTCTTCTTGAGGATTCTACCTTTAACTGTTGGATATGTCCGACAGGTGGGCAAGTTGCGGGAGATGGTGCTAAGGTGACATTGTTTTCATGTGCACTTTATATTAAAGTAGTTTTTCACTGTGAAATGTGCTCATCATTCAAAATACAGGCAATATACTTAACCACTGCAATTAAAAACTTATACTTTTCGTCAGCACATGTCACATGTCTGATTTGCTTGGAAGGAATTATCAAATTTTGACATAAATTGTGTGACTTTCATGTATGTAGAAATGTGGGGCCATAAATAATCTCAGTTTAAATTTGCCTCTGTAAAAACTGTAATTGTCTTCTTCCTTGCATGACAGTATTTGAAACATGTTTCAGGTATCTCTGGCAGCGTAAATAATTTAAACTAAGTAAGTGGATGTAATCAAGATAAATGGAGTTAGATAGCCTAAAACGGGAACAAAATAAATGCGCTTAAGTTATTCTATTAACCTGGCACACTGACTTACTCTTGTAAACCTGCCATTTTGGGAAGAGGAGGTGTGAGGATGGTTTGAGGTCAGGAGTTGGAGACCAGCCTGGGTAACATAAAGGGCTCCTTTAATATATTGCCATTTTTGCAATGGGGATCAGTTTAGTGGGAGACAGTTTTTCCTCAGACAAGGGTTACACAGGGGAAGAAGGTGGCAAGGTGGACACCTTTGGCAGTGGGGGCTGGCAGCAGGGCCCGGAGGGGCACGTGGTGGGGCTGGGCTTCCAGTGGGAGCAGTGTGACAGAGGGCGGGTGGGGCAGCGGGGCTGTCACAGGGACAGGGTGGGGCAGCAGGGGAATAGGGAGGATGGTTTCTGGATAAAACTATACTACTTCAGGTCATCCTCAAGCTTTACATTCTCCACAGACAGGTATTACAGGTCATCCTCAGGCATTACATTCAGGCCACAGACAGGTACAGGTTGAAGACCAAGATTTGGGAATCCTTAACCTATTGTATATTTCAAATTACTAAAAGATGGTAAACTATTTAAAGTGTTCCCCCCTAAGAACATTTTAATTAGCTTGATTTAATCTTTTATCCAAATATCATTCTGGGTGTGGTGGTTCACCCTTGAAATCCCATAACTTTGGTAGTCCCAAGACAGCAGATCACTTGAGCCCAGGATTTGGAGGGTTTGGGCAATATGGGGTAACCAGTGTCTATTAAACACACACACACACACACACACACACACACACACACAAATTGCCCATCTCTGGTAGAAAGCCCCTGTAGTTCCAGCTATTTGGGAAGCTGAGATGTGGGAGGATAGTTGAGGTGGGGTGGAGGAGGCTGCAGTAAATAGTGCACTCTGGCCACAAGAGATATACATCTCAAGAAAAAAAAATACACAAAATATCACACTGTACCTCATAGATATATAGTTTTCAAAAAAATTATTTAAATGGGGGCATCTTTCATATTGCAACTTAGGAAAATTACAATAGCTTTGCTTATCTAATGTTTAGAAATGAGATTTTGTGAGGTACATATTAAAATGCATCATTTGTCCATGAAGTCATTGCCCCATTTGCTCTAGATGTTACAAATTTTACATATTTAAAGTAAGAAATACTAAAAAGATGTCAGCCTCTGGAAGGGAATTTTACTTGAGTTTTCAACACAGTATGTAACAAAATTTTATCTTTTTAGCTTATTTATTTTTATCTAATTATAGATAATTTTTTACCACCTACAGTACAATGGCAGAAGCAGATCATCCCAGCAAGCTTTTCATTGGTGGCCTCAATAGACAAACCAATGAAAAGATGCTTAAAGCAGTATTTGCAAAACAGGGTCTCATATCTGAAGGTAACACTTAAAACTGTGTGTGTGTGTGTGTGTGTGTGTATTTTCATAGGTATACTTCAATATGTATATTTAAAATATGTTATATGTTTTGAAAAATATATTTTTTTCAAAGTTCATTGTATGCATACACTAAAATGCTTTATCATTTTTAAATTCTTACTTTGAAGTTTCTGTTTGATATTTGGAAAATCTCATAGCACCAGATGAAGGGTTTGTGGTAAGGATCACCTACTACTTAGAAAGGAAAATGAGGAAAAGTAAATGTGTTGTGGAGTTCAGGAACAAACTGGAATAAAATAGGCTGACTATAGGGGTGACTTAGTATTAAGAATCATAGCAGTGATGTGAAATGCAGTTATTTTTTGGTTTGATGTAATTTTCAGATAGTACCTTGGTGATTCCATTATATAAATGTAAAATGTTTTCATATGTTTTAATTCTTTTGTTAAAGGATTGAACCAGCAAGTCCAGAGGCTTTGTGTTTATTATTTTTGAGAAAAGTGCAGATGCTAAGAATGCTGCCAAAGATATGAATGGAAAGGTAAGTTTCCCTTATAAATAATATTCTAATGCTGTTCTTCAATTAACAGAATTTCCATGTATTTTTATTATTACTAAACTTTTGAAGGTTATAAATGCCATCTGAACCAAAATGCTTTAGCCATGTTCTTCTTTTTGCCATATACATGCAAGTGTAGTTTGAAGGGTATTGGAATAAACATTATATAAATTAATATATGATAACCTTTTTCTATGTTTTTATTTCTATAGATAGATTTTTGAAGCTTTTGAAGATCTTTAAAACTTAGAAGGAATCCTCATGTGAATGAAAGGAATAAGTCAATATTTATTAAATGCTATTAATGGAATTACATCCAATTCATGGAAATACTCCTAGAGCATAGACAAACTGTGGATAGACATCTAGACAGACTCACAAAAAGGAAAGATTCTCTCCCACTTTCTGAAAATATATTTTTGAGAAAGTATATTTAAATAAGACCTTTATATTTATGGAAGTGTCAAGTACTTGAAAATAGAAAATAATATGAGAACATTGAAGTTGGATAACAGAAGAAGTAACTGGCATTTTTGCCTCATCCTTGCTCTCTTCTCCTAAGGACTTTTTTTTCCTGTCACCAGAGTGATTTATGTAACAGGAATACCTAATAACTCATTTTTCCCAGTGTGTTTGAGGACTTGTTTTGATCCAACCAATGGTCTCTTGTCCTACTGAGTCTTAAATCTAGGGATTGTGTGTTTACTAAAGCTTTAAACTTTCATATAATTCTATTAGCTATTGAATTCTTTTACATGGTAGTCAACATCCTTCCATTCTGGGCCCTTTAGAGGTTTTTTTTATTTATAACATTATCCCAGTCAGGCAGGGCGTGGTGGCGCAAGTCTATTATTCCAGCACTTTGGGAGGTCCAGGTAGACGGATCATGAGGTCAGGAGATGGAAACCATCCTGGCCAACATGGTGAAATCCCATCTCTACTGAAATACAATAAAATTAGTTGGTCAGGCTGGTGTGCACTTGTAGTTCCAGCTACTCAGGAGGCAAGGCAGGGGAATCAGTTGAACTCAAGAGGCAGAGCTTGCAGTGAGCCGAGATCAAGTCACTGCACTCCAGGCTGGCAACATAGCGAGACTCTGTCTCAAAGAAACAAAAAGTAATCATAAATAACATTATCCCAATGTGTTTTTAGCTCCTGTTACTCTCTATGCTATCCCCCAAATGCTTTTTTGGACTCCTTGAGAATTATCCTTCCCCGTGTATGTCTAAAAATAACAATTTATGCTTCAAAGAAACCCCTTAAATTTCATATTTTCTTCCTCATTGCATATCGTAGGTATTTTATACTCACTGTATCATGTATTAAACTATTGATTGTTAAATTGTCTATAGTGCATATTTAAGTCTTTCTAGTTGTTTTTATTTCTATTACATCTAGCACACTTCCTGGCACATAGAAGAAAGTACATTTTTATTCACTCTTATAAATTAGTAGTTTTTCTTTTTTTTTGAGACAGAGTCTTGCTCTGTCACCCAGGCTGGAGTGCAGTGGCACGATCTCATCTCTCTGTAAGCTCCACCTCCTTGGTCCACGCCATTCTCCTGCCTCGGCCTCTCCAGTAGATGGTACTACAGGCGCCCGCCACCACACCCAGCTAATTTTTTTAGTTTTTAGTAGAGACAGCTTTTCACTGTGTTAGCCAGGACAGTCTTGATCTGCTGAACTCGTGATCCACCCACCTCAGCCTCCCAAAGTGCTTGGATTATACAGGCGTGAGCCACCACACCCAGCCTCACTCATAAATTAGTATTTTAAGCTGTGGTAAAAACTGAGAGTGGCTTTTGGTTCATAGCTTTGTGGTAGGTATGGAGATAATTTTGACTTAGGCACAGTAATCTATGATAATTTCTTTTTTCCTCCTATTTTTTGAGCACAAGAGCAGGTAATTTGTGTAGCATTTGTTAGTTTGTTTGTTTGTTTATTTTTTAGGACAGTCTCGCTGTGTCACCAGGCTGGATTGCAGTGGGGCAATATTGGCTCACTGCAACCTCGGCCTCCTGGGTTCAAGTGATTCTCCTGCCTCAGCCTCCTGATTAGCAGGGACTACAGGCACACACCACCAAGCCCATCTAATTTTTTACTTTGAATAGAGACGGGGTTTCACCCTGTTGGCCAGGATAGTCTCTATCTCTGCACCTCGTGATCCACCCGCCTAGGCCTTCCAAAAGTTTTGGAATTATAAGCATGAGCCACTACACCTGGCCAATGTTATTTCTAAATTACTTCCCCTCACATATTTTACTGTGTAAAAATTAATTTGAATGTTACATGCACATAAATGTTAAGATGGCCAGTAAAGGAGGTTCTTAGAGTTTTCAGGGGGAATTAACAGTTTAAGGAATTTTGGATGACTTTGGAACACTGGGAAGGAAGCAGCCATGCAGAAATCTAGGGAAAATATTTTGGGCCCAGAAATAACAAAAAAAGTTCCATGGTAGGAGCAACTGGCGATGTGGCTGCAAAAGGTCCTATAAGGTATTTAATATCTTCCCCCAAATAACAAAAGCCATGCAGTTTTTAAATCAAGTTCTTAGCTGAGCTGTTTTCAAAAATTAGAGTGGCCTACAGAAAAGAGTACACTGAAAAATGTTATTGTGAAATTAATTAGAACATTTAAGGATTTCTGAGAAATTACATGGAGTACTGTATTAAGAGTCATTTTTTATGGACAAGTCTAAGACAAAATAAGAAATGAGTAAGGCAAGAAACCTTAATAAGACCAAACAAGGATCATATTTATAGAAACATTTCTAGAGTAAATATATAATTGTAAATCATATGGGGGTATTTTATGTAAGTATTAGCAGATCAAACAAGAAACAACTCATAATGAATAATGTGACTAATCACTTTGAATAGGTAACCTCACTTTTTTAAATGACACAAGTTTCACTGCGACACTGAAAGTTTTAAATCAGTGTTGTGAATACAAAGATGAAGTGGATTATAAATGTGCCACATTATTTCATAGAATGTGTGATAGGTTAATCTTTTTTTGTTTGAGGTGTTTTTGTTTTAATAATGGAGGAGTTTTCAAGGAATTTGAATAATAACATTTGTGTTTGGTTCCATAATGGAAGGCATGTGCTCAGTAAATATCTCAAATTTGGCATTGAGAAAGATGTGTTCATTTTAGGAGAAAAAAAGGTTGTTTTGGGTGAAAATATATAGAATTGAATTATAGTTGATGTAAAACTGTTAGTAAAATGTGCTTAGGTTAAACGTGCCAATGTTATTGATAGTACCCTTAATACTTTTAGTCTTTTGATGGAAAGGCAATAAAAGTAGAACAAAGCCAAAAACTATCTTTTCAAAGTGGTGGTAGGTGGAGACCACCACCTTCAAGAAACAGAAGCCCTTCAGGAAGTGTGAGATCTGCAAGAGGAAGTAGTGGAGGAACAAGAGGGTGGCTTCCCTCACATGAAGGACACGTGGGTAATGTTTTAAAATATAAAGATGGAACCATAGGACTGAAAGAAAATAAGTTTGAAGATACTGGAATTTCTCAATTTTTTTTATTTCCTTTATGAACAGAAAATTAACATGATAAGCAAAATTATTTCTAAGTACTAAAGTGTATTATAAGAACGATTAAACTAATATCTAAAATTTGTTTTAACATTGTAATAACTTTGCATTAAAATAACACAAATTTTAAACTGAACTGAGTTTATGAATGCTGATTGCCTGTACTCAACAGGTTTTCTGCAGAATTCATTTATATTCATTATACTTTAGAGTTTTCTAATTTGAGGCCCAGAACTTCATATCAGTTGTATTATCAAAATATGATGGAATATTTAAAACTTTCCAACAGGAAAAAAGTAACTCAGTATTTAAGATTGATTTTGCAGTATTTGTTTTATTTATGTATACATGTGCAAATATCTAAGCAAATCTATTGCTTTGTAATTTCGATACAGGGAGTTTGTACATTGGCCTGCCATAAAGCATTTTCAATTTAAGAAATGCAGAAATTTAATTTCTGAAAAGAGTCTGCTACTCTGGAAAGGTCTAAACACCACTGCTTCACAGATATGTATGTTTCTTTCTTTGCTGGAGGGTTAATCACTGAAAATGATATTTATTTGTGATTTACACAATAGAAATCAGGGGTCAATTTTTACATAAAAAAGAAAAACAAACCACGTATTTAAAAAAAGAAAAAAAAACTATTAGATGGGGTGGGCAAGGTGGCTCACGCCAGTCATCTCAGCACTTGGGGAATATGGGGCGGGTGGACCAAGAGGTCAGGAGTTCCAGACCAGCCTGGCTAACATGGTGAAACCCTGTCTCTCCCAAAGATACAAAAAATTATCCTGGTGCGGTGGTGTACACCTGTAATCTCAGCTACTCAGGGGGCTGAGGCAGGAAAATTGCCGGAACCTGGGAGGCAGAAACTACAGTGAGCTGAGATCACACCATTGCACTCCAGCCTGGGGGACAGGGCAAGAGTCCTTCTCAATAAATAAATATATAAATAAACAAACAAACAAGCCTATTGGTTAACTTGTATTATGTATTAACCAAGCTTCAAAAATCTAACATTTAAGTTTGAGTTTTAATAACCAGATGTATAATTAATTGGAGATTTTTTAAAAAGTTGAAATTACAGTGTTTGCTCCATTTTAAGATGTATAGCTTCATGGTTACTTTGTCTCTATTCGTCTTGAGGGTGAGGTTAAATAATACTCTGCCATGAAGGAGAATGTGCATAGTCTAACCTGAAACACCACCTGGAAATTGGAATATATCTACATTTTTGGTAGATATATAAAAATATTTATATATTATTCAATGTGCAATTCTTAAAGATTATTAAAATTTAGCATAGTCTAATCTGAAGATTAGTGTTTTGTAAGAGAATCGTAAGAATTCTATATTATATTAACAATTTTTAGTGATAATGTATTTTCCTGATGTGTCACGTTTTGATATTGTAAATATTTAAATTTCTTTGAATGGAATTTAGTTTATGATATGCTTTGAAAATTTTTCCTCATAACAGAATGATATAAACAGTCATTTTTCATTTTTCTTTTAGTATTTTTATGTATATTATACTTAGATATTTTACTGATAGATTTCTGCTCTGTGTTCACTTCCCACTTTTCCCACATCTCTGTCTCTCACCAACATATTATGATTCTTGAGTTTCTTTCTAGATTTTCTAAATGGACTTTTATTGCATGAATTGCACTAATTTCATATAGAAATGTTAATTTTATTAGTTTAGATAAATATGAATTTGTAAGATTTTAATATGTAGAAAACCTTTATAAACAACCAAAACTTAGCCATTTAAGAAACAGTGATGTTAGTCAACTAAAAAGATTTTGTTTGAAATACACATGATGGTGGATACACTCTTGATTTCAACATGAGTTCTTCTAGGGGACCCATTCCAATTAAAAGAAGTCCATCTTCAAGAAATGGAGGTCCTCCTCCTACAAAATCTGCTCCTGTGACAAGAAGCAATAGTCGGATGGGAGGCCAAGGTAAATGCTACCTGATAAAAAGACTGTATTTTTTGTATGAATAAAAATGAGTTATTTTACCTGTCTGCTTAATTTTAAGTTCATCAAACAAGAGAAGTGACACATACATGGGCATAATTACAGATCGATAACTTTTATTATAGTTTCTATCTCACTAAGTACATTTCAGATTTATGGTGAAAATATACTTGAGCCTCTCATTGCAGATCGACGAAGTGATTGGATTGAGGCTGACATTCCTTTTCATCCTGTGTTGCTAGCAGATTCATCTTAATTTTTCTAAAAGCTCCTAGAAGTATTCTTTGATGGTAGGTTTCTTCATCTAATGAATTCTTCCATTTTCTAGGTCCCCTGGTAATGGTCCCCTGGTGTCCCAATCTAAAAATTGCTTGTTACATTTGTTTGTTGGATTGGAGTCTTGCTCTTACGAGGTCAGAGTGCATAGGTGAGATGATGGCTTACTACAGCCTCAAATTCCTGGACTCAACTAATTTTCCCGTTTCAGCCTTCAGAGTTTCTGCAACCACCAGCATGCACCACCACACCTAGCAAAAATTTTTTTCCTGTATTTTTGTAGAGAGAGGATCTCACTATATTGTCAAAACTGACCTTAAAGCCCAGGGATCAAGCAGTCCATCTGCCTCAACCTTCCACACTAGCTCATAGTGTGAGCCGCTGAGCATGGCCATCCAGCTTCTGAGAATTCAATAATGCTTATGTACAAGGCATTCTTACAGCTTATATAAAGACTCAAAAGAAATACAAGAGCATTGGGCAGAAAAGGCATCCCTGGGTTTAAATATTTTTTAAATATAAATTTAAGGCTTGAAAGGTAGACATGAAGGAGTCCAATATTCGTAAATTAACTGGATATCACAGTAGTGCAGAGTTGTGAAATATAAGGGGAAGTGAAATCAATAATTAAGATTGTACCTGAAGGACTATAAATCATGCTGTTATAAAGACACATGCACACGTATGTTTATTGTGGCACTATTCACAATAGCAAAGACTTGAAATCAACCCAAATGTCAAAAAATGATAGACTGGATTAAAAAAATGTGGCACATATACACCATGGAATACTATGCAGCCATAAAAAATGATGAGTTCATGTCCTTTGTAGGGACATGGATGAAATTGGAAATCATCATTCTCAGTAAACTATCACAAGGACTAAAAACCAAACACCACATGTTCTCACTCATAGATGGGAATTGAACAAGGAGAACACATGGACACAGGAAGGGGAACATCACACTCTGGGGACTGTTGTGGGGTGGGGGGAGGGAGGTGGGTGGGTTAGCATTAGGAGATATACCTAATGCTAAATGACGAGTTAATGGGTGCAGCACACCAGCATGGCACATGTATACATATGTAACTAACCTGCATATTGTGCACATGTACCCTAAAACTTAAAGTATAATAATAATAATAATAATAATAATAAAGAAAAAAAGGAGATTGTACCTGGATGTTTAAACATTAACACAAGATCCTTAGTGCAAGAAGTGAAATTGTTTGAGGAGAGAATTTAGAACTAAGCAATATGATGTGAGCGGTAGGACTGAATAGAAGTAATATTTTGAGAAGGAAAATTGTAAGATTGCAGACTGTACAGAAGAAAGCAAGACAATAAATTAAATTTCCTAGTAAAGAAGCTTAAGCAGAACTAATTAAAATTCTTATTTAGTCCTCCATCCCAATATGGAGGAAATTGAAAACTGCCATTTTCAACTTTACATTTCATATGTAGAGTATTGGTGAAGTTAGGTATTTATCAACTTCAAGATACATAAGCCAACATATTTCCATTGGAAAATTAGCCAGTGAACATATCATAGGTGAAAGACTGACCTCTAAGAAATAGCACATGAAGAGTATATTACAGGAGAACCTTTTCTATTTTGAAATAGCAACAATGTTGTAATCTCCCCTTTAATAGAATTGCTTATTGCAATAAAATAAATCTTGGCCATCATTAGAATATCTTCTCTAGTACATTTTAATTTGTCAACATTTAAAATAAAGCCAACCACTTAGAGATAAAGGAGAACTTTTATGTAAAAATTTAGCATGGAGTTGTTCAAAGGTGGCAGTGTTTGTGTGTGAGATGAAGTAAACAAGGGAAAATTTACCTTCTTCAGCTGAGAAAGGACAATGTACATAAACTTTAAAATCAGTGAAGAGTTTGATGGTTTTACATTTGTCCATGTGCCATTAGTAGTAATCAGTAATTCATATGAAAAGGAAAATAATAACTAAGGAAAAAGGAAAATAATAACTAAGTAGTTATTAACCATTACAAATGAACTTTTACCTATGAATTAATGTTTGGCTTCAGCTTCCTTAGAAGAATTGGCCTTGCAGGAGCCATGAGATTATCCAAAGCCATAAGAAATATTCACAGTATCATGACTGTCTAGCGATTTAAGGAATGAGGAATGGAGACATAGAAGAAATAATTTTAAAAAGTTGCTTGAGAGAAGAGAAAATAGTGTTTCAGAAAATAGTGTTCTTTTCATAATGTTCCATCATTTTTAATATTAAAGGTCCCATATCATATGGAAGAGAGAATTATGGAGGTCCTCCATGCAGAAAGCCAATCTCTTCCTGGCAAATAACCATATGTCACCAAGAGATGACGGTTATGCAACTAAGGATGGGTAAAGGAAAAATTTTTAAAAAACAGTTGATTGTTTTTGTGGTGATGAAATTCACATAACAAAATTAAACATTATAAGGTAAACAGTTAAGTGGCATTTAATACATTCTGTGTCACACACCAACTACCTCCATCGAGTTCCAAAACATTTTCATCACTCCAAAATAAACCTCCAACTACCAGTTAAGCAGTCCCTTCCATTTTTTCCCTTTCCTCAGCTGCTAGCAAACACCAATCTGTGTTCTAACTCTGAACCCCTGGTTGGGAGCATTTAATGTTAATGGGCTCAAACACTACACACTTTTCACATCTGTGATGTCCTGAAGATTCATTTACATCACAGCACTTTACTCCTTCCACAAGCTGTTAACCCATTATTTTATTTGGGTTGTTTCCATGGCAGTATTTCTACGCACTAATATTTGTTTGAGTATGCTTATTCAATTCTGGGTGTATGTGAGTGGAATTGCTTGGTCCTGTGATAATTATGTTTGTTTTCTTGAGGAACCACCACATTTCTCCATAGTAGCTGCATCATTTTCCATTCCAACTAGCATTGTATCAGGGTTCCAATTTATTTACATCCTATCAAACACTTGTTATTTCCTGCTTTTTAAAATTTATTGCCATTCCAGTGTGTGTGTGAAGTATGGTATCTCATTTGGGATTTGAAATGCGTTTTCTGTATGACTGATTATGAGTATCTGTTCCATGTGCTTTTCAGGTGTCTATTTTATATGGAGAAATATCTATTTAGATGTTTGGCCTTTTAATTTTGTTTAAGTTGTAAGTTAGTTATGTTTTGGATACTAGAAGTTGAAAATTTAAAATTTGTTTAGCTTAAACTTATGCACACAGAAATCATCCAAGTTCCCCAGAAACCAGGGATTATGCTCCACCACTTAGAGACTATGCATACCATGATTATGGTCATTCTATTCAGGTTGAACATTCCTCTAGAGAATATAGGTACTATAAGGTTTTCCAGATTTGTCAAATAGATTTCTTAAATTGTTTATTCTAGCATTAAGAAAACTTTTTTTTTCCAATTTAGTGATCAGGATGGCTATGGTGAGGCCCGTGGTAGAGATCATTCTGAACATCCAAGTGGAAGTTCTTACAGAGATACAATTCAGAGATATGATGAGGGTCCAGGATGGATTCATAAATTATAGAATTATATTTATTAGATCAGATCATTATTTTAATGAACTTCTAAGGAAAATTATAAGGGACAAATATAACGATTAAATATTGAATATTGTTAACAGTATAAAGCATATTAAATGATATGAAGGTGAGAACTTCACTTCGTGTTCAGAAAATGTGACTCAACCTTTACTTTAGGATTAAATTTGTTAAGCTTCAAAATGCTACTCTTACACTTCTTTTAAATAAAACTTCTGACTATTGCAGGCATAATTAATATCCTGCAACAAAGGCAGAGGAAAACAGATATTTCCAAATAGTACTTTAACTAATTCATGCTTTAGTGGTAGCAGTAAAAATGTTTGGATGTAGTCCAACATATTATTTTATCAACCCTGCAGGGACCTCTCATGGTGCACCACCTGCACAAGGGCCTCGGATGTCTTATGGTGGAAGAAGCCGCCATTATTATAACAATACACGAGATAGATATAGCAGAAGTCGGAGAGTTACTCAAGACACTGTGGTGATTTTTATTCCTGTTTTCATGAGCACGTTGGCAGAAAAGACCAAAGGAATCTAATTTCTCTGGATAGAGTGCACCCTGCTCCTCGTGAAGCATATGGTAGCTCAAGTTATGTGGCATCTACAGGAGATGGTAAGAGAAGCTGATCTGAAAAAGGAGACTGAAGTAGATATTAAAGCAAGTATTCAAAATAATAGTTATTGCATACCAAACCTTCTTTGCAAATCGAAAATTGAAATGTTATTTATTCATTGTTACCTGCATACCACTCAAAGCAACATGCTGGTTTTGTGGAGAGACATAGATACTTACTCCATAATTTTTCTGAGATATTCAGAGGAAAAGGAATTTTTTTCAAAGTAATTTCATACTTGTTAATGCTATTTGGAAACTCTTTGTTTAGATGTAATATCTGCATTAAAATTTTCATAAAGAAATTTTACATGTAATGCAAAATGCCTGATGTTACTGCTTAGCTACACATGCTTAAAAGCAAATTGAATAGGAGAGTAAATTGTGTTGTTTTTGAACATATTCCTTTGTTTCTTCGAACATAAGTAGATACAAAATCAAGCATATGTTATGTCTCCCTTGCAAGCTGCATAAGTTTTCTAATTATGCTGTGTTTCTCTTTAAAAAATTACAAGCTTAAAATGTTTGAGAAATCTTCAGAAGGACTACACAACTGTCTGCCTCACCATATAACATTTATCTTTTAGAGGAATATTACAGGTCAAAGGAAATAATTAGATGTGGTTGATATTAAAGTTTAAGACATCTGGAACATTCTACATGAAGGATTCTGTGACTGAAGGGGGATATTGGGAATGAAAACTTTTTTTTTTAACCTAAATCAAAACTGAACCAATTAAGTTTCTCAAGTGCATAGCATAATGAAATTAAATGTTCCTACTTTAAATAGTGGAACGTATGTGTTTTGTCTTGAGAGTTATGCATGTTAATTTTTTCTTGAAAGATTTGACAATGGATACTATAAGTAACGGTTTAGCAATAAGTTCTTACAAACAGGAATAATCTAGTATAGTTGGGATTTTATCAATTTTTTTTTGAGATGCAGCGTAGCTTTGTTGCCCAAGCTGGGGTGCAGTGGCTCGATTTTGGCTTACTGCAAACTCTGCCATCTGGGTCCAAGCTATTCTCCTGCCTCAGCGTCCTGAGTAACTGGTATTAGATACGTGTGCACCATAGCTGGCTAATTTTTTGTATTTTTAGTACAGACAGCATTTCACCATGTTTGCCAGGCTGTTCTTGAAATCCTGACCCACCTCCTCAGACTCCCAACGTGCTAGGATTATAGGCATGAGCCACAACTATCAGCCGATCAGATTTATTTGAAGATGCGAATGTGAACGTTTTAGACCTCATACTTTTGGAAAGTGAAGTATATAAAACATAAAACAACAGCCTAAAGTTTCAGACAGGGGATTGCTTAAAGGTTTAATAAATCATCAAATGATAAAAAAAATAAAATATTTGTACCCAAATAACTAAACCAATTAATTTTTCTGATTATCCAACCTAAAGAAATGAAATATATGAAGTTCTAGAAGTTTTACAGTCCATCATTCTTACAATTAACAGACTATTCTGCAAGGACAAAGTATTTTCTTGGCAAAATTTTAATAAGATCATCAATTTTTATAGGGTAAGGGTGCAAATAATTTTAAAGGGAGAAGTTACCAACTTTGATTTTCAAGTGAGTTATTCATGTTATGAAGTTGTGTTTTCATTCATCTACAATGTAGCATTGTGAGGATGAAGTAAAAAGATAAATTCCCTAGTCTTTTGTATGTTACTGTCCAGGTGTGATGGCTTAGTTCTTTAATTGCAGCACATTGGGAGGCCAAGGCTTGCAGATCACTTTAGGTCAGGAGTTCAAGACCAGCCTGGCCAACACCATGAAACCTATCTCTACCAAAAATACAAAAATTAGCCAGCCATGTTGGCCCACACCTGTAGTATGTTACAGCTAATTGGGAGGCTCAGACAGGAGAATCATTTGAACCTGGGAGCCTGAGACTGCAGTGAGCCCATATACAGTCTAGCCTGAGTGACAGAGCAAGACTCCAACTCAAAAATAATTATATAAATCAACAAATATGTAGATAATCTGGTATCCTTCAGTTTAAGCACTTATCATTTCTTTATTATTTTTAGAGACAGGGTTTCACTATGTTGTCCAACCTGGACTGCAGTGTCACCATCGTAGCTCGCTGCAGCCTTGAACTCCTGTGTTGAAATGTGTGAGCCTTCCATTTCAACCTCCCAAGTAGCTGGAATTACAGGCACACATCACTGAGCCCAGCTTTTGTGTTTGTGTGTGTGTGTGTGGTAGGGACAATGCTTCGGATATATTGTTCAGGCCGGTCTGAAACTTCCAGGCTTAAGTGATCCTCCTTCCTTGGCCTCCCAAAATGTTGTGATTATAGTTGTGAGCCTCTGAGAGTGGCATATCATTTGTTGGTATGAGTGACATTCCATCTTCACTCTTTTAATTCTTTTGAAATATACAATAAGTCATTGTTAAATGTAGTCATCCTATGCTGCTGAACACTAGACCTCATTCCTTCTAAGCAGCCATAATTTAACCCACCCCCAATCCCTCTTTGATCCCTTCCTTACCAATACACATTACTTGTATCAAAATATCGCATGATATTGCCGAAAGTATCTACAACTGTTGCGTACAAATTTTTTTAAATAAGTAAAAAAATAATAATAAAGGGTATATCCACAAGGTGACAAAATAGGAGGCTCTAATTTGTTCCTCCACACAAAAATGCAACAAATAAAAAGCCACAACCACATCAATTTCCTGTGAGACAAACGCAGAAACCAGTTAAGATACACACGTAGAATTATGAAAATACTCACTTAAAAGAGGTAAGAAAAATTGAATAATAATTTTTTTCTAGAGTTTATGTCTGATACAGTGCCCTTGAATGAATAGGGAACTGTTATTTCACAGCTCCTCTCAGAGGACTGAAGTATTAAACCACATATGTAGTACTCCACCTGTTACATCTGCTTCTCCATGAAATGATTCCTAGCTTGCCATTCTCTGGATTCTAACACAGACTGGCATTTATAACTCTCATAGGACCTCCAAGATGAAAGAGGGATTGAAATAGACATTCAAGAACTTCCGAAACTGTTTCCTCCTGGCTTACTGGATCTCACGCAGTCAAGAAAGCTCAGCTCCCACTTTGTACCTCTAAGAACTTAGTTTGTACATCTAACTTCTTGACATTTTTTTTCTTTTTTGTTTTGATACGGTGTCTTGCTCTGTTGCCCAGGCTGAAGTGTAATGGCACAACCTTGGCTCACTGCAATCTCCCCGCCTCCCAGATTTAAGCAATTCTCCTGCTTCAGCCTCCTGAGTAGCTGAGATTGCAGGCATCCACCACCATGCTCAGCTAATTTTTGTATTTTTAGTAGAGATGGGATTTCAAGATGTTGGCCAGGCTGGTCTTTAACTCTGGACCTCAGGTGATCCACCCATCTCAGCCTCTGAAAGTGCTTGGGAGTACAGGAGTGAGCCACTGTGCCCAGCCTTTTCTTCAGCTTTAATATCATCTAATTTTGAAAACATTAGCAATTAAATTGTTATTTTCTTTTTTCTTTTCTTTTCTTTTTTTTTTTTTTGAGAAGGAGTCTCACTCTTTTTGCCCAGGCTGGAATGCAATGGTGCCTTCTCGGTTCAACACAACCTTCACATCCTGGATTCAAGCAATTCTCCTGCCTCATCCTCCTAAGTAGCTGGGATTACAGGCATGCACCACCACACCCGGCTAACTTTGTATTTTTCATACAGATGGTGTTTCTCCATGTTGGTCAGGCTGGTCTCAAACTGCCGACCTCAGGTGATCTGCCTGCCTCTGCCTCACAAAGTGTTGGGATTACAGGCATTAGCCACCATGTCCAGCCAAAATAATATTTTCAGTGTGCATTTCTCTGATCCTTGGAGGAGGTTGGGCAGCTTTGTCTACGTTTGTGATCTTTTTCTTCCCCCTGTGGATTGCTGTATTCTGTCATCTTCAGTATTTTGCTCTTTAGTTAATTTGGTTAGTCATCATCACAATGTTACATTGAAAACTGCTAATAGTTGTGTGATAATGGCAAGCTTCTTCCCCCAGACAAATTTTAGGGTCAATGATACTAGACTGGCTTGACCACCAAAGTGTGCTTTGAGAACTGTAATGGAATTACAGGAACTCATGTCTGGAAAGAACAGAATTCTAGCTGTCATTTAGTCCTACCCAACCACCTGATGTGTAAACCTTGTCTTCAAAATCTTAGCCAAATATTCAACTTCAACTGTCTGCCTCCTGAGACACTCCACTCCATCTGTAGATAATTCTGTTGATTATAACAGCCTTGCTTGTATTAAACCAGATCTTGTCTCCCTGTATTTTCTACCCTCTGTCTCCAGCCTTAGAGAACAAATTTACCTCCTCTTCCACGTAACAGCCACGTATATAAACTGATACGTAGTAACAGTTTATATAATAATTGAAGTCATCTTTTCTTCATGTTAAACATGCTGGTTCCCATAAGTTATCCTTATATGTTGAGATTCTGAGGGTCTTTTCAGTCACTTTGTGATCACAGTCTGTTGAATGCTTACTAGTTTATCCCTTTTTAAAAAATGTATCACTGAGTTCAGTGTCTTAGGGTGATCTGAATAATAATAATAACTAATAATAATGGTAGCTAGCCTTTATTGAGTATCAAGTACTTTGCCAAGTACTTTACTTGTATTAATTAATTTAATCCTTACAACATGACAAGGAGTGTGGAATTTGAATCCCCATTTGGACAATGAGGAAATTGAGGCATATGGAAATTAAGTAATTTACCTGTAACTGCACTCAGTGGAGTGGAACTAGAATTTCTCCTATTACAGTTATCATATTTCAGTGTATATGTGCCTAAGATTATATGATTTTTAACTCCTAATTGATTTATATTAACTATCTACTCAAACTCCCAAGTCTTATTTGAATGTATTACTGGTAAGCCACTACTTCCCATCTTGTACAGTTGAGTTCTGAAGCCAAGTCCAGGACCTGAAAAACTACACTTAACCTCACTGAGTCTATTATAGTTTGTAGCCCACAGTGCTTTTCAGACATCTTGCTTATCCAGTTTTTCTTCCCTGATATAGTTAGCTGGCTCTCTTCTCTTCTGGTAGTGATTGACTTCACATTTGACACTGTCATCTACAAACTATATACTACATGTTTTCATCTTAGCTGTATGTGGATGAGTTGCTTAATTTATTTTACTTTTCTTTTGTGTTTGCATTCAGAAAGTAGCTTCCCAAAATAAAGAGCAGTGGGTGTTTTCCCACAGTTGTATGGAGGTTATCTACTCCATTGTCCCTTCCTCATGGAAGGATCAAAAACATTTACCAATATGTTATACACTTCAGGTAACAGTTGTTTGTGTTCCTTTCAATATTTTTTTCATCAGATATACGCTTGAAAATGATACTGTGCACAGGACTTCTCAACTTAGTTTCTGCCTTTCTAGTTAAGAAAAATGTATGTTTTAGTTTATTAACTATAAAATAAAATGCTCCTTTTTCTCTTCCTAGGCTTAAATAGAAAAATTAGTTAAAAAATCAAGAAACTATCTTATACACATTTCCACTATATTTTTCTGCTTTGAATCCAAAAGTAAATTGAGTGGTATAGTGAAAAGACAAAAGGATGGGGATTGGTGAGTTCATGGGCAGGAGACTTGGTTTCCACTGTTAGTTTTCTCATTATCTGTCAGTATGAATTGCCAGAAGTTTTTTCTCTTCTCTAGGCTGTAAAATCTGTAAAATGAGGGGACTGGAATAAAATGAGGTAAGACAATTCATTACTTAAAAATTACCTTGAATTCAATGTAAATGTAATATAACTTGTTATCTTCCAAAATATTAAAATGGCTTTGCATGAGTGCTTTGTAAACAACTCCCCAAGCTTTATTTAAAAAATATTTCTGGATATTTGTTTAGAAGAAACATTGCCAATTAAAACTTAGAGGACAAAACATTCTGAGTATTACTTACTGCTGGATCTTATAAAAATGCCAATAACATTTGGCTTTTTTGTTGTTGTTTTTTTTGAGGCGGAATCTCCCCCTGTTGCCTAGGCTGGAGTGCAATGGTGTGTTCTCAGCTCACTGAAACCTCCGCCTCCCAGGTTTAAGCAATTCTCCTGCCTCAGCCTCTCGTGAAGCTGGGATTATAGGCACATGCCAGCACACCTGGCTAATTTTTTGTATCTTTGGTACGGACTAGGTTTCACCATGTTGAGCAGGCTGGTCTGGAACTCTCGACCTCGTGATCCACCCGCTTCAGTCTCCCAAAGTGTTGGGATTACAAGAATGAGCCACCACACCCAACCTTTAGATTTTTTTTATAGTGTAAGTTCTTCTGTGGATGGCTATAGGCAAATCCGAGAGGCATTTTCACATTTTTGGCATTTAAAGGGGAGTCAGAGGCCCGCAACCCTCTGCTTCTACCCTGTAATCTATCTACTGAAGGATGAGCCCCCAGGAATGCTGGGAACCTCTCAAAATTCATTCACACACCTGCACAATCACCCACCAATTTATTAAAAAACAAGTTTCCTGTGAAAATTCTTGATTGCTTTCTGTGTGTGAAAGAAAAAAATCACAATAAAAAACATCTCGGAAATATCTTTAAACTTCTTTGCAAATTTATTTTTGGTGATTTTTAAAAGCTACACTGAATTACCCAAAATACTATAAATCATGCTGCTATAAAGACACATGCACACGTATGTTTACGGCGGAACTATTCACAATAGCAAAGACTTGGAACCAACACAAATGTCCAACAATGATAGACTGGATTAAGAAAATGTGGCACATATACACCGTGGAATACTATGCAGCCATAAAAAATGATGAGTTCATGTCCTTTGTAGGGACATGGATGAAATTGGAAATCATCATTCTCAGTAAACTATCACAAGGACAAAAAACCAAACACCACATGTTCTCACTCACAGGTGGGAATTGAAAAATGAGATCACATGGACACAGGAAGGGGAACATCACACTCTGGGGAATGTTGTGGGGTTGGGGAAGAGGGGAGGGATAACATTAGGAGATATACCTAATGCTAAATGATGAGTTAATGGGTGCAGCACACCAGGATGGCACATGTATACATACGTAACTAACCTGCACATTATGCACATGTACCCTAAAACTTAAAGTATTATAATAATAAAATAAAATAATAAAAAATAAAAGATATGCTGAATTTTCCTTTTTTAAAGGCAATGCAGACTTAAAAATGATTTTGTAATAGTTTACTGGTGTAAACGAAGATATCAGTGAAGATAACATTTATTTATATGCATTTTTAAATGCTATTTTCCTGCTTGTTTTCACCTTGTGTTTTATTCTTTATTTATAGTTTCAAAATGTTTTACTGAAGGGAAAATTTAATATTTTTGTTTTTTTTCTTTTCATTAAGTCTATGGGTACATTTATCATTTAAAAGATACTTTCAAAATAAAATTAGAGAAATTTAAAATAGATGTATGTATATATATTTATTGCCAATTTTCCTCAATAATTTGCTTGTAAACAAATACAATTGGCTGGGCGCAGTGGTTCATGTCTGTAATCCTAGCACTTTTGGAGGACAAAGGGGGCAGATTGCTTAAGCTCAGGCATTCAAGACCAGCCTGGGCAACATGGCGAAAGCCCATCTCTACCAAAAATACAAAAAATTAGCTGGACATGAGGGTGTGCACCTGTATGTAGTCCCAGCTACTCAGGAGGCTGAGGTGGGAGGATTGCTTGAGCCTGGAAGGAGGTGGAGGTGGCAGTGAGCCTAGATCATGCCACTGCACTCCAGCCTGGGTGACAGTGAGACCCTATCTCAAAAAAAAATACAATCAATGCCAGCAAGATACATCCTTGCAGAAGTGAATGAAATGATACAACTTAAAAATACTTAACAAAATTAATTTCATTAGTTAACATAAGTTTTTTCTGGAGTCTCACACTGTTGCTTGGGCTGGACTACAATGGTGCCGTCTCAACTCACTGCAACCTCTGCCTCCTGGATTGAAGAAATTCTCCTGCATCAGCCTCATGAGTAGTGTTCGCCAACACACCCAGCTAATTTTTTGTACTTTTTAGTAGAGATGGGGTTTCACTATGTTGGCCAGGCTGGTCTCGAAATGCTGACCTCATGATCTTCCCACCTCAGCCTCCCAAAGTGCTGAGATTACAGGTAGCCACCAGGCCGGCCTAACGTAAGTATCTTAACTCTATTTTCCTCAGAATATTAGTTACTTTATTAAGAACTGGAGAAAAAGAAACTACTGCTAAAATTGAACACAAACTTAGTAGAAATGTGTGTATATATATATATGATATATATGTTATATATGTTATATATGTTATATATATGTTATATATATGTTATATATGTGTTATATATGTTATATATATGTTATATATATACACAAACACATTTTATATATATACATTATATATGAATAGATTAATAGGAAGTTAAATAAACAGATTTTTCCTATTCAACTACCCAGTATATTGGGAACTCAGAAGAAAACTGATGAGGAAAGGGTAGAACTTAGGCTTATCAAAGAGTAAATTAAGGCACCAATACCAATAATTATATACAACAATTATGATATGCATGAAACATATCTAATTACATCACTTTCCCACTCACAATCTCTTCTTAAGACAAATATGCACATTCTCTTCTAGTCATAAGATATTAGATTAATCTGTAATCTTCAAAGGCTTCTTTGGTGTTTCCTTATCTATGACTTCCAAGCTTCCAAGTTTCCCCTTTTCTCTAGTTGGCTGCAATAGCTCTGTGCTCAGATTCACTTGGCAGTCCTTGCCTGCAGATCTTTTTGCCTTAAGAGCCAGCATTTTATTTATTTTCACTTTTAGTGTAAGTCCACAATTACTCATATGATCATTCAACAATTCTTTCATCAGAGATTCCTATTTGTGAAGTACTCTTCCAGGCATTGGGTGATTCAGTAGTGCATAAAACTAACCAAATGTTTCTGCCTTCATATAGCTTCCAACTCAAGAGCAAACAAATATTTAATTTCAAGTAGTGCTGTGAATAAAAGAAAAGGGAGTAGAGAGTTGGCAGAAGGAATGGGGTGAACAATGCTTCTACAGAGAGATGACATTTAAATGACATAAAGAATTAGGTAGGTAAATACTTGGAAGAAGAGCGTTCTGGGCAGAGGAGATAGACAAGTTCCACATCCTTGTTGTATGAAGCAGCTTGAAATGTTCAAGGAAATCTATAGAAGACCAGTGTTCTGCTCTTCTGGCAGGTGAGGACACAGCATTCTTCTCCTCTGGAAGATGCAGTTACAGGGTGCCATCTTGGAAATAGAGAGCAGCACTCACCAGACACCTAATCTGCTTTTGCATTGATATTGAACTTCATGGCCTCCTGAACTGTAAATTACTAAGTCTAAGGTACTTCATGGCCTCACAAATTAAGACAAATTGGTATTGACAAGTGAATGTGCTGCTCTAACATATACCTAAAAATGTGAATGTGGCTTTGGAACTGGGTAGAGGTTGGAAGAATTTTAAGGTGCAGGCTAGTAAAAGCTTAGATTGCCATGAATAGATTGTTAAGGGCAATTCTGGTGAGAGCTTAGAAGAGGAGAGCTATAGAGAAAGCCTCAGTTTTAGAGATTACCTATGTGGTCATGAACAGAATGTTCATAGAAATATGGACAGTAATGGCCATTCTGATGAGGTCTCAGATGGAAATGAAGACTATCTTACTGGAAAATAGAGGAAATGCCATCCTTGTTACTAAGTGGCAAAGTATTTGCCGGACTCGTCTCCATGTTCTGTTTTGTGAAAGGCAGAATTTAGGCTGGGCGCGGTGGCTCACACCTGTAATCCCAGCACTTTGGGAGGCCGAGGCAGGTGGATCATGAGGTCAGGAGATCGAGACCATCCTGGCTAACACGGTGAAACTCCGTCTCTACTAAAAACACAAAAAAATAGCCGGGCGCGGTGGCGGGTGCCTGTAGTCCCAGCTATGCAGGAGGCTGAGGCAGGAGAATGGCGTGAACCCCGGGGGACGGAACCTGCAGTGAGTGGAGATCGCGCCACTGCACTCCAGCCTGGGTGAAAGACTGAGACTTCATCTCAAAAAAAAAAAAAAAAAAAAAAAAAAAAAAGAGAAAGGCCAGATTTACAATGATGAACTAGAATATTTGGTGAAATAAATATCTAAACAAATTGTTCAGGGTGCTGGATGGCATGGCTTAGCTGCTTATAGTAAAATGCAATAAAAGAGAAACACATTAAAGATTTATAATTCTAAGGGAATTAAAAAGGGGAGAAGACCCTGAAGATTTCGAAAATTGTTAACCTCGCCTAGTAAAGAATAAAAACCTATGTTTAGGAGACAAAACCAAGTGTGTGGCCAAGTGACCATTAGATGAGGAGATTAGTATAGATAGGAAGAAGCCAGATTCCTTTTATCAGAACAATGGAGGAATGATCCTGATGGCAAAACAGAGATCTTCCAGGCTACCTCTCTCACCACAGGCACAAAGAACTAAGTCTTTGAGGGCAGAATAGTTTCAAGGGAGGGTCCCGGGATGCCTGAAGATCCTCAGTGTTTGCTGCCTAAGCCCACCTCAAGTCTCTGCTTCCCCCATTCCAATGTAGTGCTCCACAGCATTCTCAGCTGTGGCTCAAGTGGGCTTAGTTGCAGCAAGGGCAAGTTCTCTGGAAGATACAGGCTATAATCCTTGACAGCATTCATGTGGTGCTAACTTTGCAGTCACGCAGAGCAAATGAGCTGTGGAGGCATGGATACCTCCTAATTTTCAATGAATGCCCCAGAGAAACTTGGGGTCCAGTCAGAGAAATACTGCAGGATCAGGGCCACTGCGGAATGCCTGCATTAGTCTGTTTTCATATTGCTATAAAGAACTGCCTGAGACTGGGTAATATATAAAGGAAATAGGTTTAATTGACTCACAGTTCAACATGGATGGGGAAATCTTAACAATCATGGAGGAAGGCAAAGAGGAAGCCAGGCACCTTCTCACAAGGCAGCAGAAAGAAGAAGTGCTGAGTAACAGGGTAAGAGCCCTGTGTTAGTCCATTCTCACACTGCTAATAAAGACATACCTGAGACTGGATAATTTATAAAGGAAAGAGGTTTAATTGACTCACAGTTCTATGGGGCTGGAGGGGAATCAGGAAACTTACAATCATGATGGAAGGGGAAGCAACAAGTCCTTTCTCACATGGCATCAGAAAGGAGAAGTCCTGAGCAAAGGGGGAAAAGCCCCTTATAAACCATCTGGTGAGAACTCACTCACTATCATGACAACAATATGGAGGTAACCACTCCCATGATTACATTACTTCCCACTTGTTCCCTCCTATGACACATGAAGATAATGGGAACTACAACTGAAGATGAGATTTGGGTGGGGACACAAACAAACCACATCAAGCCCCTTATAAAACTATCAGATCTCATGATAACTCACTAATTATCAAATGCCCCCATGATTCGATTACTTCCACCTGGTCCCACCCTTGACATGTGGGTATTATGGGGATTACAGTCCAAGATGAGATTTCGGTGGGGACACCAGGAAGCCTAACCATATCATTCCCTCCACTAGCGCAATGCGCAGTTGAGCCATGGGGTCAGGGTTACCAAAGGGGATCTCGACAGGGGAAATGTCCAGTGGAGCTAAGGGGTCATGGATACTGCAGATAGCCACCACTAGAGCAGTGTTTACCAAGATTATTGGATGAAGGTCACCTCCAAGACCCCAGGCCTGCACAGCCGCTACTGCAATGCCAGCCTGGGAGAGCTCCAGGCAAATTAAATCAAACCCTAAGAGCTGTGGCATGGCTGTACCCCAAAAATCAATGTGAGAAAGTTTTTTGCAGCCTTGGGGACTCAACCTTCACTCAAGTGTGTCTGGAATGTGGGACATGGAGTCAAATAATATTATTCTCAGGCCTTAAGATACAATGTTGTTCGTCCCGTTTTGTTTTGAAACCAAAAGCAAACTATCACCCCTTTCCTCTTACCTAGTTGTATCTTTTGGATTGGGAATACCTATCCCATGACCATCTTCCAATGGTATTTTGGACTCTGAATGGTAATTTGACTCTAGATGAATCATACTTTGAGTATCCCCCATATCTGATTTAGATAATATTTGCATGTTCTAGATCAGACTTTGCATATAGACTTTAAAAGTTATGCTGGAATGTGTTAACACTTTTGGGATAGAATTAATGTATTTTTGTATGTGAGGAGAACATGAATTTTGGCCCACCACTGGTAGAGTGCTATGGTTTGAATGTGTCCCTTCCAAAATTCACATGTTGAAATTCACCCCCATGGTGATGATATTAAAAGGTGAGGCCTTTTGGGAAGTGATTAAGTCATGAGGGACAGATCATTATAAAAGGGAAGGAAGGAACTAACTTAAGCCCTTTGGGCTTTTCTTCCACATGAGAATACAGCATTTCTCCCATTTGGAGATGCAGCAACAAGGTAATAGCTTAGACAAAGTGTGTAACCCTCACTAGACATCAAACTTTCTGGTATCTTGATCTTGGACTTCCTGGCCTCTGGAGTTATAAAAGGTTAATTTGCTTTCTTTATAAACTACCCAGTCTAAGTTATTTTGTATAGCATCACAAATAGACTAATATAAGTTATTGACTTTTTTCTTTTATATTTTGTACTTTTTCTGTTGTATTTTAAAAAATCTATGCCAAATCCAGATTCATAAATATGTTGTTCCACATTATCTTCTTGAAATTTTATAGTTTTAGATGTTATATCTAAATCTAAATTCCATCTTGACTAAATTTTAATATATGGTGTAAGGTGTGGATTGAAGTTAATTATAATTGTTATTTACATATGGATATCTAATTTTTCTAACACAATTTGTAAAAATGACTATCCTTTTCCACCAAATTTTATGTAGATCTTTGTCAAAAATCAACAGACCATTTTGGTCTGGGTCAATTTCTGGACTCAGTATTCAATTTCATTGATATATGTGTCTGTCTTGATAACCATTTGTAAAATCAAGTCTACAAATCATCTGATGTTAGTATTTCAGTGGTGTTTTTACTTTTAAAGTTTTAATGGATATTCCAGTTCCTTTGTATTTCCACATACATTTTATAATTGGCTTCTCTTTTTTCTTAAGCCTGCTAGGTTTCTGATTGAGATTACATTGATTCTATTAATAACATAGTGGAAGATTTGAAATTATAACAATATTCAGCCATCAAACCCTCAATAAGCCCCTACTGAACCCAAAAGGGGCCTATTATCCCCTTCCATTATTCATATGCTATATCAATATATGATATTTCTCCTATCAATTATGCATAATAATATGCTTCACTGTATTTAGGTTTTCTTTAATTTGTCTTTACAATACTGTGTTGTTTCTGCTATATAGTTCTTGCATAGATTTTGTCAAATTTATTATTATGTATTTTATATTTTTGTTTGTTAGTGGCATTGTTTTAAAATTTTAATTTCTAATTTTTAGTGTAGTTTATAGATTTATCATTTTATACTGACCTTAGATTCCACAACCTTGAAAAATCCACTTATTAGTTCTAGATGATTTTTGTAGATTGTAACATTTTTTTAAATTTAGATGATATTGTCTATTAATAAGCGGTGTTATTTATTTCATTCTGGAAAGATTTTTTTTAATTATACTTTAAGTTTTAGGGTACATGTGCACAATGTGCAGGTTAGTTATGTATGTATACATGGGCCATGCTGGTGTGCTGCACCCACTAACTCGTCATCTAGCATTAGTTATATCTCCCAATGCTATCCCTCCCCCCTCCCCCCACCCCACAACAGTCCCCAGAGTGTGATGTTCCCCTTCCTGTGTCCATGTGTTCTCATTGTTCAATTCCCACCTACGAGTGAGAATATGCGGTGTTTGGTTTTTTGTTCTTGCAATAGTTTACTGAGAATGATGATTTCCAATTTCATCCATGTCCCTACAAATGACATGATCTCATCATTTTTTATGGCTGCATAGTATTCCATGGTGTATATGTGGCACATTTTCTTAATCCAGTCTATCATTGTAGGACATTTGTGTTGGTTCCAAGTCTTTGCTATTGTGAATGATGTCGCAATAAACATACGTGTGCATGTGTTTTTATAACAGCATGATTTATAATCCTTTGGGTATATACCCAGTAATGGGATGGCTGGGTCAAATGGTATTTCTAGATCTAGATACCTGAGGAATCGTCACACTGACTTCCACAATGTTTGAACTAGTTTACAGTCCCACAAACAGTGTAAAAGTGTTCCTATTTCTCCACATCCTCTCCAGCAAGTGTTGTTTCCTGACTTTTTAATGATCCCCATTCTAACTGGTATGAAATGGTATTTCACTGTGGTTTCAATTTGCATTTCTCTGATGGCCAGTGATGGTGAGCATTTTTTCATGTGTTTTTTTGGCTGCATAAATGTCCTCTTTTGAGAAGTGTCTGTTCATGTCCTTTGCCCACTTCTTGATGGGGTTGTTTGTTTTTTTCTTGTAAATTTGTTTGAGTTCACTGTAGATTCTGCATATTAGCCCTTTGTCAGATAAGTAGGTTGTGAAAATTTTCTCCCATTTTGTAGGTTGCCTGTTCACTCTGATGGTAGTTTCTTTTGCTGTGCAGAAGCTCTTTAGTTTAATTAGATCCCATTTGTCAATTTTGGCTTTTGTTGTCATTGCTTTTAGTGTTTTAGACATGAAGTCCTTGCCCATGCCTATGTCCTGAGTGGTAATGCCTAGGTTTTCTTCTAGGGTTTTTATGATTTTAGATCTAACATTTAAGTCTTTAATCCATCTTGAATTGATTCTTGTATAAGGTGTAAGGAAGGGATCCAGTTTCAGCTTTCTACATATGGCTAGCCAGTTTTCCCAGCACCATTTATTAAACAGGGAATCCTTTCCACATTGCTTGTTTTTCTCAGGTTTGTCAAAGATCAGATAGTTGTAGATATGTGGTGTGATTTCTGAGGGCTCTGTTCTGTTCCATTGATCTATATCTCTGTTTTGGTACCAGTACCATGCTGTTTTGGTTACTGTAGTGTAGCCTTGTAGTATAGTTTGAAGTCAGGTAGTGTGATGCCTCCAGCTTTGTTCTTTTGGCTCAGGATTGACTTGGTGATGTGGTCTCTTTTTTAGTTCCATATGAACTTTAAAGTAGTTTTTTTCCAATTCTGTGAAGAAAGTCATTGGTAGCTTGATGGGGATGGCACTGAATCTATAAATTACCTTGGGCAGTATGGCCATTTTCACGATATTGATTCTTCCTACCCATGAGCATGGAATGTTCTTCCATTTGTTTGTATCCTCTTTTGATTCATTGAGCAGTGGTTTGTAGTTCTCCTTGAAGAGGTCCTTGACATCCCTTGTTAGTTGGGTTCCTAGGTATTTTATTCTCTTTGAAGCAATTGTATATGGGAGTTCACTCATGATTTGGCTCTCTGTTTGTCTGTTGTTGGTGTATAAGAATGCTTGTGATTTTTGTACATTGATTTTGTATCCTGAGACTGCTGAAGTTGCTTATCAGCTTAAGGAGATTTTGGGCTGAGACAATGGGGTTTTCTAGATATACAATCATGTCGTCTGCAAACAGAGACAATTTGACTTCCTCTTTTCCTAATTGAATACCCTTTATTTCCTTCTCCTGCCTAATTGCCCTGGCCAGAACTTCCAATACGATGTTGAATAGCAGTGGTGAGAGAGGTCATCCCTGTCTTGTGCCAGTTTTCAAAAGGAATGCTTCCAGTTTTTGCCCATTCAGTATGATATTGGCTGTGGGTTTGTCATAGATAGCTCTTATTATTTTGAGATACATCCCATCAATACCTAATTTATTGGGAGTTTTTAGCATGAAGCGTTGTTTAATTTTGTCAAAGGCCTTTTCTGCATCTATTGAGATAATCACGTGGATTTTGTGTTTGGTTCTGTTTATATGCTGGATTACATTTATTGATTTGTGTATATTGAACCAGCCTTGGATCCCAGGGATGAAGCCCACTTGATCATGGTGGATAAGCTTTTTGATGTGCTGCTGGATTCGGTTTGCCAGTATTTTATTGACGATTTTTGCGTCAATGTTCATCAAGGATATTGGTCTTAAGTGCTCTTTTTTGGTTGTGTCTCTGCCTGGCTTTGGTATCAGGATGATGCTGGCCTCATAAAATGAGTTAGGGAGGATTCCCTCTTTAGGATTCCCTCTTTTTCTACTGATTGGAATAGCTTCAGAAGGAATAGTACCTGTTCCTCCTTGTACCTCTGGTAGAATTCGGCTGTGAATCCATCTGGTCCTGGACTTTCGTTGGTAAGCTATTGATTATTGCCACAATTTCAGCTCCTGTTATTGGTCGATTCAGAGCTTCAACTTCTTCCTGGTTTAGTCTTGGGAGAGTGTATGTGTCGAGGAATTTATCCATTTCTTCTAGATTTTCTAGTTTATTTGCGTAGAGGTGTTTGTAGTATTCTCTGATGGTAGTTTGTATTTCTGTAGGATCGGTGGTGATATCCCCTTTATCTTTTTTTTATTGTGTCTATTTGATTCTTCTCTCTTTTTTTCTTTATAGTCTTGCTAGCAGTCTATCAATTTTGTTGATCCTTTCAAAAAACCAGCTCCTGGATTTGTTAATTTTTTGAAGGGTTTCAAAAATTAGTTGAGCGGTTTTGAGGGAGATTCTTAATCCTGATTGCACTGTGGTCTGAGAGATAGTTTGTTACAATTTCTGTTCTTTTACATTTGCTGAGGAGAGCTTTATTTCCAAGTATGTGGTCAATTTTGGAATAGGTATGGTGTGGTGCTGAAAAAAATTGTATATTCTGTTGATTTGGGATGGAGAGTTCTGTAGATGTCTATTAGGTCCGCTTGGTGCAGAGCTGAGTTCAATTCCTGGGTATCCTTGTTGACTTTCTGGCTCGTTGATCTGTCTAATGTTGACAGTGGGGTGTTAAAGTCTCCCATTATTAATGTGTGGGAGTCTAAGTCTCTTTGTAGGTCGCTCAGGACTTGCTTTATGAATCTGGGTGCTCCTGTATTGGGTGCATATACATTTATGATAGTTAGCTCTTCTTGTTGAATTGATCCCTTTACCATTAAGTAATGGCCTTCTTTGTCTCTTTTGATCTTGTTGGTTTAAAGTCTGTTTTATCAGAGACTAGGATTGCAACCCCTGCCTTTTTTGTTTTCCATTTGCTTGGTAGATCTTCCTCCATCCTTTTATTTTGAGCCTATGTGTGTCTCTGCACGTGAGATGGGTTTCCTGAATACAGCACACTGATGGGTCTTGACTCTTTATCCAATTGGCCAGTCTGTGTCTTTTAATTGGAGCATTTAGTCCATTTACACTTAAAGTTAATATTGTTATGTGTGAATTTGATCCTGTCATTATGATGTCAGCTGGTTATTTTGCTCGTTACTTGATGCAGTTTCTTCCTAGTTTCAATGGTCTTTACATTTTGGCATGATTTTGCAGCGGCTGGTACCGGTTTTTCCTTTCCATGTTTAGCACTTCCTTCAGGAGCTCTTTTAGGGCAGGCCTGGTGATGACAAAATCTCTCAGCTTTTGCTTGTCTGTAAAGTGTTTTATTTCTCCTTCACTTAGGAAGCTTAGTTTGGCTGGACATGAAATTCTGGGTTGAAAATTCTTTTCTTTAAGAATGTTGAATATTGGCCCCCACTCTCTTCTGGCTTGTAGAGTTTCTGCCAAGAGATCTGATGGGCTTCCCTTTGAGGATAACCCAACCTTTCTCTCTGGCTGCACTTAACATTTTTTCCTTCATTTCAACTTTGGTGAATCTGACAATTATATCTTGGTGTTGCTCTTCTCGAGGAGTATCTTTGTGGCATTCTCTGTATTTCCTGAATCTGAATGTTGGCCTGCCTTGCTAGATTGGGGAAGTTCTCCTGGATAATATCCTGCAGAGTGTTTTCCAACTTGGTTCCATTCTCCCCGTCACTTTCAGGTACACCAATCAGATGTAGATTTGGTCTTTTCACATAGTCCTGTATTTCTTGGAGCCTTTCTCATTTCTTTTTATTCTTTTTTCTCTAAACTTCCCTTCTCTCTTCATTTCATTCATTTCATCTTCTATCGCTGATACCCTTTCTTCCAGTTGATCGCATTGGCTCCTGCATTCTTCACGTAGTTCTCGAGCCTTGGTTTTCAGCTCCATCAGCTCCTTTAAGCACTTCTCTGTATTGGTTATTCTAGTTATACATTCTTCTAAAATTTTTTCAAAGTTTTCAACTTCTTTGCCTTTGGTTTGAATGTCCTCCTGTAGCTGGGAGTAATTTGATCATCTGAAGGCTTCTTCTCTCAGCTCATCAAAGTCATTATCCGTCCAGCTTTGTTCCATTGCTGGTGAGGAACTGCGTTCCTTTGGAGGAGGAGGGGCGCTCTGCTTTTTAGAGTTTCCAGTTTTTCTGCTCTGTTTTTTCCCTATTTTGTGGTTTTATCTACTTTTGATCTTTGATGATGGTGATGTACAGATGGGTTTTTGTTGTGGATGTCCTTTCTTTTTTTTTTTTTTTTTTTTTTTTTGTATTTAAGAGTAGAAACATTTTAATTGGAATTTTAACAACACTAATGGATTTTTGTTGGAGAAGATGCTTTCTGAGGAAAAGACTAAGTCAATTTAAGACCATAATTTTCTCTATCGCACAAATTATTTCCAATTGTTTTCATTTACATTGTTATTTCACTAAAATTCTTTTTTTTTTTTTTTTTTATTATACTCTAAGTATTAGGGTACATGTGCACATTGTGCAGGTTAGTTACATATGTATACATGTGCCATGCTGGTGCGCTGCACCCACTAATGTGTCATCTAGCATTAGGTATATCTCCCAATGCTATCCCTCCCCCCTCCCCCGACCCCACCACAGTCCCCAGAGTGTGATATTCCCCTTCCTGTGTCCATGTGATCTCATTGTTCAATTCCCACCTATGAGTGAGAATATGCGGTGTTTGGTTTTTTGTTCTTGCGATAGTTTACTGAGAATGATGGTTTCCAATTTCATCCATGTCCCTACAAAGGATATGAACTCATCATTTTTTATGGCTGCATAGTATTCCATGGAGTATATGTGCCACATTTTCTTAATCCAGTCTATCATTGTTGGACATTTGGGTTGGTTCCAAGTCTTTGCTATTGTGAATAGTGCTGCAATAAACATACGTGTGCATGTGTCTTTATAGCAGCATGATTTATAGTCCTTTGGGTATATATACCCAGTAATGGGATGGCTGGGTCAAATGGTATTTCTAGTTCTAGATCCCTGAGGAATCGCCACACTGACTTCCACAATGGTTGAATTAGTTTACAGTCCCACCAACAGTGTCAAAGTGTTCCTATTTCTCCACATCCTCTCCAGCACCTGTTGTTTCCTGACTTTTTAATGATTGCCATTCTAACTGGTGTGAGATGATATCTCATAGTGGTTTTGATTTGCATTTCTCTGATGGCCAGTGATGATGAGCATTTCTTCATGTGTTTTTTGGCTGCATAAATGTCTTCTTTTGAGAAGTGTCTGTTCATGTCCTTCGCCCACTTTTTGATCTACAACTATCTGATCTTTGACAAACCTGAGAAAAACAAGCAATGGGGAAAGGATTCCCTATTTAATAAATGGTGCTGGGAAAACTGGCTAGCCATATGTAGAAAGCTGAAACTGGATCCCTTCCTTACACCTTATACAAAAATCAATTCAAGATGGATTAAAGATTTAAACGTTAGACCTAAAACCATAAAAACCCTAGAAGAAAACCTAGGCATTACCATTCAGGACATAGGCGTGGGCAAGGACTTCATGTCCAAAACACCAAAAGCAATGGCAACAAAAGCCAAAATTGACAAATGGGATCTAATTAAACTAAAGAGCTTCTGCACAGCAAAAGAAACTACCATCAGAGTGAACAGGCAACCTACAACATGGGAGAAAATTTTCGCAACCTACTCATCTGACAAAGGGCTAATATCCAGAATCTACAATGAACTCAAACAAATTTACAAGAAAAAAACAAACAACCCCATCAAAAAGTGGATGTCCTTTCTGTTCGTTAGTTTTCCTTCTAACAGACAGGACCCTCAGCTGCAGGTCTGTTGGAGTACCCGGCCATGTGAGGTGTCATGCCCCTGCTGGAGGGTGCCTCCCAGTTAGCCTGCTCAGGGGTCAGGAGTCAGGGACCCACTTGAGAAGGCAGTCTGCCAGTTCTCAGATCTCCAGCTGCATGCTGGGAGAACCACTGCTCTCTTCAAAGCTGTCAGACAGGGACATTTAAGTCTGCAGAGGTTACTGCTGTCTTTTTGTTTTTCTGTTCCCTGCCCCCAGAGGTGGAGCCTACAGAGACAGGCAGACCTCCTTCAGCTGTGGTGGGCTCCACCCTGTTGGACGTTCCTGGCTGCTTTGTTTACCTAAGCAAACCTGGGCAGTGTAGGGCGCCCCTCCCCCAGCCTAGCTGCCGCCTTGCAGTTTGATCTCAGACTGCTGTGCTAGCAATCAGCGAGACTCCGTGGGCATAAGACCCTCCAAGCCAGGTGGGGGATATAATCTCCTCATGCACCGTTTTTTAAGCCCATCGGAAAAGCACAGTATTTGGGTGGGAGTGACCCGATTTTCCAGGTGCCATCTGTCACCACTTTCTTTGACTAGGAAAGAGGGAACTCCCTGACCCCTTGCGCTTCCCGAGTGAGGCTGTGCCTCACCCTGCTTCGGCTCGCGGACAGTGCATGCACCCACTGGCCTGTGCCCACTGTCTGGCACTCCCTTGTGAGATGAACCTGGTACCTCAGATGGAAATGCAGAAATCACCCGTCTTCTGCGTCGCTCATGCTGGGAGCTGTAGACTGGAGCTGTTCCTATTTGGCCATCTTGGCTCCTCCCCCCCAGAAAGATTTTACATCTTTTTCTTCAATTATTACATTGTCTAGAAACACTAATACAACATTGAAGAGAAGTAGTCAGCACTAATATCTTCATTTTTTTCTCTATCTTCGAGGGAAAACCATTCAACGTTTTATCATTAAGTATGGTGCTGTAGGTTTATTACAGATGCCTTTTATCAGATAGGAGTATTACCTTTTTATTGCTAATTTGCTGAAAGTTTAATTTTATCAAGAATGGATGTTGGATTTTGTCAAGTGCTTTTTCTGTGTCTATTGTCTTGCTTTCTTTTATAGGCTGTTAATTTTTAATGATGCTGAGTGATACTGATTATTTTTCTAACGATAATTCAACATTACATAAAACTCACTTGATTATGGATATTTTATCCATTCTGCATACTGTTTTAGTAAAAAAATAGTTAGAAAATTTTGAATTTGTTCATGGGGGACATTAGTTTGTGATTTTCTTGTAATTTGTTTGTCTAGCTTTGGCATCAAGGTAATGTTGGGCTTGTATAGTGAGATAGATAGCATTCTCTCCTTTTAATTTTCTAGAAGATTTTGTGTAGAGTTGGTATTATTTCTTCTTTTGATGTTCGTTAGAATTCTTATGCAAAGTAATCTGGGCCAGACATTTTCTTTGTGTGAAAGTTTTGTTTAAAAATTTCATTTCTGTTTTTAGATATAGTGTTGGGTTTATCTATTTATTTTTGTGTTAGCATTGGTAGCTTGTCTTTTCAAGGTATTTGTCATTCAGTTGTTGCTTTTATTTGCATAAAGTTGTTTTTGACATTTAATTATTATCCACTTAATAGATGTAGAACTTTAGTGATGGCACCTCTATCATTCCTAATGTGTATATTTTTTCCACATTGATATGGCTATAGGTTTATCAGTTATATTAATCATTTCAATGAACTACCTTTTCATTACATTGATTTTCCTTAGTATATTTTTGTTTTCTGTTTCATTTCTACTTTAATTTTATTTTCTTCATTCTGTTTATTTTGGGTTTCATTTGCTCTTTTGTCTTATTTTCTCAATATAGAAATGTAGATGCTCTCATTGTTATGAGGGCAATCTTTTTTTGTCTCTCTCTGATGTCCAGGCTGCAGTTCAGTGGCACCACCTTGGCTCAGTGCAACCTCCGCCTCCTAGGTTCAAGTGATTCTGTTGTCCCAGCCTCCTAGGTAACTGGGATTACAGGCATGCACAATTATGCCCTGCTAATTTTTGTATTTTTGGTAGAGACAGGTTTTCCATGTTGGCCAGACCCGTCTTGAACTGCTGACCTCAGGTGATTCACCTGCCTGGCCCTCCCAAAGTGATAGGATTATAGGCATGAGCCACCACGCCCAGCTGAGACCAATCTTGTATGACGTAGAAATTTTAGTGCTATAAATTTACCTTCCAATATTTTTAAATCTGAGTCCCACAAATTTTGGTAGGTTGTCTTTTCACTCTCATTTAATTCAAATTATTTTCTAATTGTATCTTATTCTTTCCTTGATCCATCTCCTCTCCGGAACTATGCTATTTAGTGTTAAAATACTTGGGAATTTCCTAGACATTTTTTTTCTGATATTAATTCCTAGTTTAAGTCCATTGTGGTCAGCGAATGTACTTTGTATGGCTTCAATCATTTTACATTTATTCAGACTTGTTTAATGATCCTGCATCTGGCTTATCTTGGTATATGTTCTGTGTGCACTCGAAAAGACTGCATATTCTACTGTTGTTGTGTCACGTGTTCTACCAAAGTCAGTTAAGTCAAGTTATTTGATATTGTTTTTCAAGTCTGTATATTTTACTGATTTTTTCCAAATCTTTTATCATTTATTAAAAGAGGAATATTGACATATTTGACTATAATTGTGAATTTACCTATTTCTCCTTTAAGTTTTATTAATTTTTGCAATGTTGATTTTGAAGCACAGTTATTTTGGATGCCTAAATATCAAATTTTTAAATTCTTACATTTCCTTGGTAAATTCTCCCTTTATCAGTTTACAATGTCCCTCATTTTGCATGTGATATTCTTGCCTCTGACATCTACCCTATCATATTATATAGGTATTCTAGCTTTGTTTTCAAACAATGTTTCCTCTTTGCATTTAATGTGGAAATTACTCTCCTAATGTTTTCAATGTTAATGGTAGCTTTAGTTTGCTAAAGTGGCCATAGTAAAACACCACAAACTAGGGGGCTTATACATCATATATTTTCTCACAGTTCTGGGGACTGGAAGTTTAATATCAAGGTGTTGACAAGGTTGGTTTCTTCTGAGGGCTCTCAGAATCTACAACCTCTCTTGCCTAGCTAGATTCAGTGACTTTTCTGCCTTTGTTTTCATGTGACATTCTACCTGGGTATGTGCCTCTACCTCCAGATTTCCCGGTTATTAAAATGCCAGTAGTATTGTAGTGTTGGATTAAGTCTTTTCCTAATTACTTCATCTTAGCTCACATCTGCAAGAATCTCATATTAAAATAATATCACATTCTGTGGCACTGCGGTTTGAAACTTCAACATACTAATATGGGGGAACAAAATTCAATTGTAGTGTTGGTCTTTTCTTCTGCAGTGCTGAATCTGCTATATATCCACCCATTTTATTTTTGATTTCAGACGTGTAATTCACATCCACGGAAGTTTGATTTTGGTATGTCTTTCATATGTTTACTTAACATGTTCAACCTTTCCTCTTCCTTTTTTTTTTTTTTTTCCTGTCACCCAGGCTGGAGTGCAGTGGCGCAATCTCCGCTCACTGCTCCCTCCGCCTCCCGCGTTCAAGCGATTCTCCTGCCTCAGCCTTCCACGTAGCTGAGACTACAGGCGCGTCACATCAAGGCCCTCTAATTCTTTGAATTTTTAGTAGAGACACAGTTTCACCGCGTTAGCCAGGATGGTCTCAATCTCCTGACTTTGTGATCCACATGTCTTGGCCTCCCAAAGTGCTGGGATTACAGGCGTGAGACACCGCACCCGGCCCACCTTTCCTCTTATGTATTGAACATATATAATAGAGTTAGAATATTTGTAGCTATTTTAATATTATTGTCTACTTATTCTATACGTGCCATTTTCTGGCCTCTTCCTGTTGAATGGCTTTTCTCTTATTTTCCTGGCTTCATGCATGCTTAGTAATTTTTTATTTGATGTCAGAAAATGTGGATTTTACTTTTTTGATGGTGTTTTTCTTCTTCTAATATTATTTTCACACTTAAATCTGAGATGCTTTAAGTTTACTTGGAACAAAAAAACAAAACAAAACATTGATTCTTTCAAGGCTTGTTTTTGAACTTTGTTGGAACCAGACTAGGTATTAATCTCGGGCTTTTTTTTTTTCCACTACTGTGGCGATACCCTCTGAGGAACCTACCTAATGTCATGTGAAGTACAAGGTTTTTCACTCTGAATTATGGGAACATGAACTGTTTGAGCACTAAGAATTTTTTTCTCTACTGTTTTTAGATAGTTATTTCTCCAGCCTCGGTTAGTTTCCTCACATTCATGCACTGATTCGTGCTCAACTAGAGCTGAGGAGGACCTTCAACAAATCTCTGCAGTTGTCATATTTTTTGTGCATGTCTTTTTTCTCTTGTATTCTTCCCTGAAAATTCTAGCTGTATTTCCCTTTCTGGACTCCTAGCTCTGTCATCTCAACTTAGGGAGGCTACTGGATTCCATTTGGGTTCTCCCTTTGTATGATACAGCCCAAAATCTCCTTTCAGGCAGTAAGCCCGGACAATCATAAGGCTTTATTTTGCTTTCACCCTCTAAGGAATTATTCTCTTTCACTACCTAATTTCTAACACTTAAAAACATTGATATATGTATGTATACAGTCCAGTGTTTTCAGTTGTTTCTACCAGGAAGATAACTGCATTACAAGTTATCCCATCTCAGCTAGATGTTTCCTAAGAGAATATACTATTATTTAACTATTTGTAATGAAAATAATACATTCCTATAAAAATTTCAAGCAGTACAGATGTATATACAGAAAAACTTACATTTCTACCATTCTCCCCACCCTCTTTCTCGCAAAATTCAACTGAATTCCTGGTCTTCAAAGGAAACAGATCAGCTCACAATTGGTATGCTCACTTACAGATAATTTTATATTCATTTAAATATATATACACACATACTTTATATATATATATTCATACACATATATGCAAATATTACAAATATATAAATATATATTTTTAGACAGGGTCTTGCTCTGTTGCCCAGGCTGGAGTACATTGGCACGCTCTCAGCTTACTGCGCCTCAACCTCGCAGGCTCAAGCAATTCTCCCACCTCAGCCTCCTGAGTAGTTGGGACTACAGGCATATGTCACCATACCTGGCTCTTTTTTGTTTTTGTTTTTGTAGAAAAGAGGTCTCACTATGTTGCCTAGGCTGGTCTCAAATTCCTGGACTCAGGCAATCCTTCTGGCTCAGCCACCCAAAGTGTTGGGATTATAGGCATAAGCTGCTGCAATTGGCCTATGTAAATATTTTGATATAAATGACATATAAAGCACTTTCTGTAGATTAATTTTCTTGTCTAAATCTGTATCTTTGTTTTTCTTCTATATTTGCCATACGTATCTATATAAATATTTTAATTGCTGGCATATAACTTCATAGTATGGATACATCATTTTTAAATTTAGGTACTTCTCTGTTTGATGTTCAATGTTATTCGCCGATTTTTTCTGTTTAACAAATGCTACAATGAACATTTTTGAATCATGTTTTTGTGCACATGTAGGATTTCTAAAAGAAAAATTCTTAAAAATTTAATGCGCATTTTAAAGTTTGCTAGAGATTGCCAAAATATCCTGTAGAGTACTTGTACTTTGTTCACATTTAACAATGTTAGGATTTCCTATTCCCTCATCATTTTTTGCGTCAATTAAATGGAAGAAAATTGCTTCTTTGTTTTAATTTATATTTACTTCATGAATAGTAAAGTTGAATATCTTTACTTATCTATTTATAGTTATTAATCTGTGAATTGTTGCTGTATTTTTCTATTGGGTTGTTTGATGTTTTATTTATAGAAAGAATTGTATAGTCATTTGTTTGTTATACATATTGCAAGTATTTTCTCATAGTCTCTTCTTTATATTTTACATTTGTATAAGAAATAATTTGCCATATAGAAGTAGTGTTTGAAAACATGCCTTTTGAGAAAGGGCATATCTTGTTCTGTTTTTTCCCATTTTTGGAAAACTCCTTCTCATCCACCAGCTGCAGGGCAAATCACTCAACTAAAATGTTTAACTGGTTTTGAGAAAGAGAAAAACAGCTTCTGACATTCACAAGATATGCCCAGTTGCTAACAGCTGGC
Organism: Homo sapiens; assembly: GCF_000001405.40. Lineage (NCBI taxonomy): Eukaryota > Metazoa > Chordata > Mammalia > Primates > Hominidae > Homo > Homo sapiens. Next base: position 9,584,366 of record NC_000024.10, on the reverse strand, counting down.
TTGGCACTCACAGCTAGGCCTTGGTATTACTATTTCAGGAACACCAGCATTAAATGAGGCTACTCTGTGACCATGATAGATGAAGGCGAAAAAAAGACCACTCTGCAGTCATGTCTGAACACAGACAGAACAGGAACATTGTGCAAGTCAGAAAACTCACCAGTTGTCTCACTATTCTGACTAATATAAGTTACTGCTTTTTTTCTTTTACCAATTACAACTTTACCCTTGCTTTAGACTGCCCTCACAATAGATAAGATGTATTAAGATACTTAATCATCACATTACCCTTACTTCCTGAGAGTATTCAATCCAGAGAAAAATTCTGATCCCTCAATATTTCTCCCAAATCACCTAATACAAATCCAAACACTATAACAAGTCCTTTTATTATCTTCCTACAGAGATGCCCCCATAATTTACAAAACAGTTCCCTATGGTGTACATTCTCTCTTACTGTAATGAGTAATAAACAGAATTTGTTCAACTGTAGTGTGTTCCTGATAGGCTTTAGCTACAGAGCTTTCAAATAATCATATAAAAACATTGTGATATAAAGTCCAACTGCTTTTTATTTTTATTTCATTTTTCAACATTTATTTATTTTAATTGATGAGTAAAATTATATATATTCATTTTGTACATCGTATTGTTCTGAAACACACACATATTGTAGGATGGCTAAATCTAGCTAATTGACATATACATTACCTCACATATTTATCTTTTTTGTGGTAAGAATATTTAAAATCTATTTTATTAGCAATGTACAAGAATATAATGTTTTTATTAACCACAGTCAACATGCTATCTGTAAAATAGATCTCTTAAACTTATCCTTCCTATCTAACTGAAATTTTGTATCCTTTGACCAATATCTTCCTCACCCTTATATTTTATTAAAATTAGTTATTTCCAGTTTGATGAAATCCATTACTGTTTTAAAGCCCTGTTCTCTGTGGGTCACATAATAGTTTAAATTTTGAGAGATACTATGTATATTAGGCTAAATCGTATTAAGGAGTCAGTATAGGATCCTTGTAAGGGCATTGAATTTGATATGAGAACTGGATTTACAACATTCTAGAAGGAGGATTTTGGGGAAATGTGTTAATCACTCCGAGATTTTCCTTCCTTATTTGTAAATGAGGATAATAACTCTTAACAGTACTGTTTTAAGGATTCAATAATGGAGCTTTTTATAAACTAAGACATGTCCTGTAAATAGGAAAGACTTTCAAAATAGTGATGGTAGAGGTTGGAGGGAATTGATTGAATGCACATATCCTTTTGTCGCCCCTTTTTTTTAATTCATGAGAAACAGAAAGAAAAGAGAAGGACAATTAGTTTACTTTAGACCAAGATTGGACTCCAGTTTTTTTGACTCCTAGTCTAGCACCCTCTATACTGCATGGAACCTCTTTTCTATTTTATTTATTTTTGCTTCTATGTAATAAAAAAATCTAGTAAATGATTTTTGATACACTATACTATCTTCCGGGATTAACTCCTCAGAATCCTCCAAACAATTTGCAAAGTTAATGACTCCTGAGTATTTGTAAGCTTATGGTTAAGCCAAGTGAAGCCACAAAAGTATATAAAAAATAATTTCCAGACTTTCCATATCCAAATGATTCTTGAAGAGTTACCTCCCACCCTTGTTTATAGTATGTTGACCACCTTCTTTCTATCCAAGATTCAAGGTCTTATTTCATCATGATTTCACCTGTTGTGATTGGGATCTGTGCATTTTGTTTGTTCTGCCCAGCAGTATATGTTTAAAATAATAATAATGATAATAATAATAATAATAATAATAATAATAATAATAATAATATTGGAGCCTGAGAAAAGTATTCTCTTCACTGATTGTAAATTGCTATCTGTTTGCCTCTCAGCTCCTTGTTCTGGTTACTTATTCTTTCTAACATGCTTGACTGCACAAATCACAGAATAGAGGGATAAAGTGATCTTTTGGAATCTGTATTTGCTATGTTCCAAGCTCAGTTACCATATGGCACACAGAAGCCCAGAGCCTTAAGTCTCAAACAGAATTTTTTTGTTTTTCTTTCTTCCTTACCATTTTAACAATGTGTCTTTCATCACTTCTGAAGTGAGTCTTTATTGAAGAAATTGTGTGTATGTGTGTGTGTGTGTCTTTGTGCACATGCCCCCATGTATTGTGTATGAAGTGAGTGATGGGGGGGCACCAAAACTGTTATAAGAAGCAACATTTTATGCTATAGGCAAAGACAGTACTTTAGGTGTTGTAAATAATCAGATATTTTTGTGAGCCTTCTGAATATTGCTCAGGAATTGATTACTCAAACGTATGCATTACTCTTCTTCTATCTTATCAGAATAAATGTTTATTATAGCATTACTTAAAAGGTTTTGGATAATGAGAATTGGCTGCAAGGTAAATGAAAGACGAGACAAATGGTCACGTGAGACTTTTCTCCATTCATTTCCTCATTCACTTTTCACACAATTTTTAGACCTATTTAGTGTCACAGACTCTGCTCTGGGCAAGAGAATGCAGAGTGAACAAGACATAGGACTACCCCTATTATGAAGCAAGTATAGGGAAACACATGACAGGTAGACAAATTGCTGTGTGTTGATAGTGACAATTCTATCATTCCTCTGAGCTTTGTAGATGAGGCATCTTCCATGCAGTCCACTACATAGACTGAGCTTCATTAGTTGTACACTTCTTGGATTCCATTGATAAAGCCTCAAGGAATGCAAACCAAATTGGATATTAATGTAGATATATTCTTAGGAAGACTCATCGGCTTTTCAGGTTAACATATGACATTGTTTTTTGTGTGTTTGTTTGTGATGGAGTCTTCCCTGTTTCCCCGACTGGAGTGTAATGGCTTGATCTCGGCTCACTGCAACCTCCGCCTCCCAGGTTCAAGCCATTCCCCTGCCTCAGCCTCCTGAGTAGCTGGGATTACAGGCAAGTGCCACCACAGCCGGCTAATTATTATTATTATTATTTGTATATTTAGTAGAGACAAAGTTTCACTATGTTGATCAGGCTGGTCTCAAACTGCTGACCTCGTGATATGCCTGCCTCAGCTTCCCAAAGACTAGGATTACAGGCGTGTCCCACTGCATCCAGCCAACATATGACATTCCTGAATCAAATATTAATGGTCATAAATTTATCTGGCCACTGATGAGGACTTTGGTATAGGTAACAGAATTGTGAGGAAATTTTGTAACTAATACAATATTATTTAACCTGAATCTGTTGCCAAAAAACCGGAAAATGTAAAATCTTGTGAAAAGAAAACAAATTGCAAAAGCAGAGGAGGCTTTGGAGGTTTTACTGATAAGGAAATTGAACCTTAAGAATTTAAATGATGTTGCCAGGATCACCAGCTGGTAAATATTGGCGTTTCAAACATCAACTCATTTAATTCTTTCAACAACTTTTTATTTTAAGTATGACTATTATTTATATGTTACAAATAAGGTGACTGAGGTCCAGAAAAGGTATGTAACTTGGCCAGGGCAATGTGGCTAAAAAGTGTCAGAACCAGGATTCAGGACAAGAAGTTTGACTCCAGAGCCCATCCTTTTAATTTTACACCATTCTGTCTCCCCAGGAATAGCTGTACTCAGTATCCAGACTTCACTTCCCTCAACCCCTCCCACTTTTCTTTTCATTATATTCTGTTGCCAAGCACACACACACACACACACACACACACACACACAAACAACTGCTAAAAAACATGTATTCCCCCCTATAAAACATTTTAAACATAAGCATGTATATGTGTATACATTCTTTGCTTCTCAATGGGTCTGCAGAATGCTGATTGATAAATGACTAAATCAGAGAGCAAAAGAGACTGATTCTGTTTTATCATCAGCCAATAATAGGAAGCTTCCTCTAGGCATTCTAAGCATAAGGCAAGATGAATGGTGTGCTAATTACCTCTAGCGCTATCAGCCTGCTGCCCTTTCTTTGTGGCCAAGAATGAAAGAGTTTAGATCTTGCCTAACAATATGGTCCCCTGGCCTGTTTACAAGGCTCCAAGAGGGCTTTTGCAACATGAGCATATGGACATTTTGCGATATTTACAGGGGGAAATGTATGCTGATTAGCATACAATCTACAAATGGCTTCATGTTGCAAGCTTCTTCAATTTATTTGCATAGGTATTGTTGCTCATCCTGCATTTGGATATATATTTTTTAATTTGAAGAAAATATTTTACTCAATTATAACCTGAGATATGACTTTTCTAGTGAATTTAAAAGAAAATAGTGTTAATATAGTATAGTACAAAAAATATTGGTCTTAGAGTCAGAAATCATGAAGTTGAGTCCCATTTTTCCCCTGCACATTAGTTATCCTTTCTTCATAGCTGGAGAAAATCAAATCATCAGCCCCCCTAGTTTAATTTTAATGCTCTCAAAACTCAAATTAGGTGCCAATACTTTCTGGAGTTTCCACTGTTTTTCTATGCAAGTTCACTTTTTCAATATCTGTAACTCATTTTCATATCTTCCCTTTCCTTAAACTTTATATACCCACCTGTCTCACTCTCCTTATTTCCAGCTGTACACCTCACTGAGAAAATGGGAGGAAGCTATGAAAAGAAACCTGCTCGATCTTTGACTGTGACATCTCCAAGCTTCATGTTAATATATCCATTTTCTTTACTTCAAACCAAAAAAGTGTCCCCATTCCTATGATGGGGCAGTCCCTCCACAATTGCACTGGGTCCCATTCTCCTTCACCTCCCAAGGATTTTGCTCTTTCAGTTGTACCACCTTTCTCTTGCAACATCAGTTTCTCCTGTATTGGATCATGTCTGTTAACACTCAAATATGTTAAAATAATACCATCTTCAAAATAATTTAAGAAAATACTTACTCACCCTAAATCTCTATCTGCAGTCTAATTTATCTGCTCTCCTCACTGCAAAACCTCTTATAAGAGTTGTTGACCAGTGGCAGTGGCTCACACTTGCAATCCCAGAGCTCTGGGAGGCCAATGTGGGTGACCGGGAGATCAAGACCATCCTGGCCAACATGGTGAAACCTGTCTCTTCTAAAACTACGAAAATACAACAAAAATTAGCCAGGCGTGGAGACTGATGCAGGAGAATTGGTTTAACCTGGGAGGCGGAGGTTGCAGTGTGCCAAGATCATACCACTGCACTCCAGCCTGGGTGACAGAGTAAGATTCCATCTCAAAAAAAAAAAAAAAAAAAAAAACAAAGAAAAGAAAAAGAAAAAGAAAAAAAAGAGTTGTTGTCAATACTCACTGTTTCTTTTTCTCAAAATTCTGGTCACTCCTTAAACCACTCCAAATTTCTATCTGTCCACTCCATAGATCTCGCTTTTGTCAAAGTCATCAGTGACTTCCATATTTCCAATTTAATGGTCATCTATCACTCTTAAAGTGTTAGTCATTTTCTCTTTGTTTGAACATCTTCTTCCCTTGTTTTTTGTAATGTCTCATTTAACTTTGTTTTCTTCCTACCTCACTGACTTCTCTTTATCACTCTCCTTTACTGGCTCCTACTTAATTCAACCTCTAAACATTTGTCCTAGGCTCTCTACTTATTTGCGACATTCACTAGATTCTACCTAACCTCTGCTTCCAATATGCTGTTTCCTTAACTATGTATGCACCATTTTTATTTCCTTCATACTTAGCATTTATCAAAGCTGATTAGACATAGTTTGTGAAAAAATATAGTTGTGGATTAGATTGGAAACCAGCTTCTGATCAGATTTTATACACCTTGAAAACTCAGGTTTACAGTCTCTCTCTTATAGTCATCAACTACCAAATATAACTTTTAAAGCAGGTTGAATTTATACAAACAGGAACAGAATATGGAAGACAATGGATGTCAAGTGTATCAGTTAAGAGTTTGAGTGTTGTAACATCTTAATGTTAGGTGAACATGACCTGAATTAGGTATTTTGTGGGAATACAAATGTAACAAACAACAAAAGACATTCAAAAATACTTGACAAGAGTAGGCAAAAGACTGAATATAAGGGTTAAAAACAGAGAATTGTACCTCCCCATGATTTTTAACCCAAATGACTTGGAGGATAAAATGCTGCTAATATTGGTAATGAACACATTTCTCTCCAGAGATTGACTGACTCCAAATTTAAAGCCAAATTTACTTTTATGGCTATGCTTAAACTAACATAGTAATATATTGGTCTGATTCCTTCTATGAAATCTTCTTGAAAAATAAATATACTTGTATTCAGATTTCTGTGTTTTCTGTTTTCATCTTTCTACTGTAGCTGAAGATCACTTTGTGGCTTTTTCTTGTTTTTTTTCTGAAAGGCTATTGCAAAAGCAATGAAGTTGTGACCTCGTTCTGTGGCAGGACAAGTATGGTCTAGAGGGAAAACTGACTTGGAGCAACAGATGTGGTTTTAGACATGTTGGGTTTAAGGTGGTGTTAAGATATCCCACTGAAAATGGCAGTTATGGAACTATGACTCAAGGTCAGGGAACACTCTGAATAGTGAATGCAGGCTGGAAAGTTATTCAACCATGATATACTGACCTGGATACACATAGCTAGTGGTATCCTAAATATTTAGGCTTGGGTTTACATTTCACAATTAGCAGATGACATAATAAAGCCAATCAAAGAGAGAGAGAAGATGCCAGCAGAAGGGGAAAGAAAAGAAGGGAGTGAACAGCCAAGGGACACACTTTGCAAGGCTCAGTCAACTTGACTATACTGAATTTTGTGGAGAGTTGTCAAAGGAAGTAAAGAAAGAAGATTTTGTAATGATCAGGTTGACCTTGAAGAGTATATTTTCAGTGGAGTAGTCGGGGCAGGATTCTTGTGGAAAATGAGATGAGTGAATAATGATGAAAAGGAGATAAGCAAACATGAGAAAAGATAAATAGCTTTAGGGAGGTGTTTTCAAGGGAAAGTATTTTTTAATAACATTAATAGCTTATTGCGTTATTCAGTGAAAAATGATATGTGCCCACTGTAGGATTTAGAAATACAAAAAGTACAAAGAAGGACGTAAAAAAAAAAAACACATGAAATGCAACAATACAAAAAAAACTACCCTTATTGTTTTGATAAACATACTTGCCAGTTTCAATTAATAGAGCATAGAATTGATTGAAAAGAGTATGTTAAGTTTTTTTTGGAAAATAAATGCTAAACACACAATGTTAATATTTATTTAAAATACATTTCTTGACCGGGCACGGTGGCTCATGCCTGTACACAGTGGCTCATGTCTGTAATCTCAGCACTTTGGGAGGCCAAGCCATGTGGATCACCTGAGGTTGGGAGTTTCAGATCAGCCTGACCAACATGGAGAAACCCCATCTCTACTTAAAATACAAAATTAGCTGGGCATTGTGTCACATGCTTGTAATCCCAGCTACTCAGGTGGCTGAGGCAGGGGAATCGCTTGAACCCAGGAGACAGGTGGAAGTGAGCCAAGACTGCGCCATTGCACTCTAGCCTGGGCAACTAGAGCAAAACTCCATTTCACACACACACACACACACACACACACACACACAGAATAGAAAAAAAAGAAAATATGTTTCTTTTTTTATATATATATACTTTAAGTTTTAGGGTATATCTGCACAATGTGCAGGTTAGTTACATATGTATACATGTACCATGTTGGTGTGCTGCACCCATTAACTCGTCATTTAACATTAGGTATATCTCCTAATGCTATCCCTCCACCCTCCCTCCGCCCCACAACAGGACTTGGTGTGTGATGTTCCCCTTCCTGTGTCCACGTGTTCTCATTGTTCAATTCCCACCTATGAGTGAGAACATGCGGTGTTTTGTTTTTTGTCCTTGCAACAGTTTGCTGAGAATGATGGTTTCCAATTTCATCCATGTCCTTACAAAGGGCATGAACTCATCCTTTTTTATGGCTGCATAGTATTCCATGGTGTATATGTGCCACATTTTCTTAATCCAGTCTATCATTATTGGACATTTGGGTTGGTTCCAATTCTATTCTATTGTGAATAGTGCCCCAATAAACATAAATGTACATGTGTCTTTATAGCAGCATGATTTATAATCCTTTGGGTATATACCCAGTAATGGGATAGCTGGGTCAAATGGTATTTCTATTTCTAGATCCCTGAGGAATCGCCACACTGACTTCCACATGGTTGAACTAGTTTACAGTCCCACCAACAGTGTAAAAGTGTTCCTATTTCTCCACATCCTCTCCAGCAAGTGTTGTTTCCTGACTTTTTAATGATCACCATTCTAACTGGTGTGAGATGGTATCTCATTGTGGTTTTGATTTGCATTTCTCTGATGGCCAGTGATGATGAGCATTTTTTCATTTGTCTTTTGGCTCCATAAATGTCTTCTTTTGAGAAGCGTCTGTTCATATCCTTTGCCCACTTTTTGATGGGGTTGTTTGTTTTTTCTTGTAAATTTGTTGGAATTCATTGTAGATTCTGGATATTAGTCCTTAGTCAGATGAGTAGATTGCAAAAATTTTCTCCCATTCTGTAGGTTGCCTGTTCACTCTGATGGTAGTTTATTTTGCTGTGCAGAAGCTCTTTAGTTTAATTAGATCCCATTTGTCAATTTTGTCTTCTGTTGCTATTGCTTTTGGTGTTTTAGGCATGAAGTCCTTGCCCATGCCTATGTCCTGAATGGTATTGCCTGGTTTTCTTCTAGGGCTTTTATGGTTTTAGGTCTAACATGTAAGTCTTTAATCCATCTTGAATTAATTCTTGTATAAGGTGTAAGGAAGGATCCAGTTTCAGCTTTCTACATATGGCTAGCCAGTTTTCACAGCACCATTTATTAAATAGGGAATCCTTTCCCCATTGCTTATTTTTGTCAGGTTTGTCAAAGATCAGATGGTTGTAGACATGTGGCATAATTTTGAGGGCTCTATTCTGTTCCATTGATCTATATCTCTGTTTTGGTACCAGTACCATGCTGTTTTGGTTACTGTAGCCTTGTAGTATAGTTTGAAGTCAAGTAGCGTGATGCTTTCAGCTTTGTTTTTTTGGCTTAGGATTGACTTGGCAATGTGGGCTCTTTTTTGGCTCCAAGTAAACTTTAAAGTAGTTTTTTCCAATTCTGCGAAGAAAGTCATTGGTAGCTTGATGGGGATGGCATTGAATCTATAAATTACCTTGGGCAGTATGGCCATTTTTATGATATTGATTCTTCCTACCCATGAGCATGGAATGTTCTTCCATTTGTTTGTTTATATCCTCTTTTATTTCACTAAGCAGTGGTTTGTAGTTCTCCTTGAAGAGGTCCTTCGTGTCCCTTGTAAATTGGATTCCTAGGTATTTTATCCTCTTTGAAGCAATTGTGAATGGGAGTTCACTCATGATTTGGCTCTCTGTTTGTCTGTTATTGGTGTATAAGAATGCTTGTGATTTTTGCATATTGATTTTTTATCCTGAGACTTTGCTGAAGTTGCCTATGAGTTAAGGAGATTTTGGGCTGAGACGATGGGGTTTTCTAGACATACAATCATGTCATCTGCAAACAGGGACAATTTTAGTTCCTCTTTTCCTAATTGAATACCCTTTATTTCCTTCTCCTGCCTGACTTCCCTGGCCAGCAGTTCCAACACTATGTTGAATAGGAGTGGTGAGAGAGGGCATCCCTGTCTTGTGCCAGTTTTCAAAGGGAATGCTTCCAGTTTTTGCCCATTCAGTATGATATTGGCTGTGGGTTTGTCATGGATAGCTCTTGTTATGTTGAGATATGTCCCATCAATACCTAATTTATTGACAGTTTTTAGCATGAAGCATTATTGAATTTTGTCAAAGGCCTTTTCTGCATCTATTGAGGATAATCACATGGTTTTTGTTGTTGGTTCTGTTTATATGCTGGATTATGTTTATAGATTTGCATATGTTGAACCAGCCTTGCATCCCAGGAATGAAGCCCACTTGATCATGGTACATAAGCTTTTTGATGTGCTGCTGGATTCAGTTTTCCAGTATTTTATTGAGGATTTTTGCATTGATGTTCATCAGAGATATTGGTCTAAAATTCTCTTTTTCTGTGGTGTCTCTGCCAGGCTTTGGTATCAGGATGATGCTGGCCTCATAAAATGAGTTAGGGAGGATTTCCTCTTTTTCTATTGATTGGAATAGTTTCAGAAGGAAGGGTACCAGCTCCTCCTTGTATCTCTGGTAGAATTCAGCTGGGAATCCATCTGGTCCTGGACTTTTTTTGGTTGGAAAGCTATTAATTATTGCCTCAATTTCAGAGCCTGTTATTGGTCTATTCAGAGATTCAACTTCTTCCTGGTTTAGTCTTGGGAGGGTGTATGTGTCAAGTAATTTATCCATTTCTTCTAGAATTTCTAGTTTATTTACGTATAGGTGTTTATAGTATTCTCTGATGGTAGTTTGTATTTCTGTGGAATCAGTGGTGATGTCCACTTTATCATTTTTTACTGCTTCTATTTGATTTTTCTCTCTTTTCTTCTTTATTAGTCTTGCTTCCAACTGAGGTACCAGGCTAATCTCACTGGGGAGTGTGCAGGACAGTGCAGGACAGTGGTTGCAGTGGACCCAGTGTGCACCGAAGAAGGGCGAGGCATCATGTCACCTGGGAAGCGCAAGGGGTCATGGAATTCCCTTTCCTAGTCAAAGAAAGTGGTGAGAGATAGCACCTGGAAAATCGGGTCACTCCCACCCTAATACTGTGCTTTTCCAATGGTCTTAGCAAACAGCACACCAGGAGATTATATCCCGCACATGGCTTGGAGGCTCCTATGCCCATGGATCCTCGCTCATTGCTAGCACAGCAGTCTGAGATCAAACGGTGAGGCAGTAGCGAGGCTGGGGGAGGGGTGCCTGCCATTGCTGAGGCTTGAGTAGGTAAACAAAGCCGCCAGGAACCTTGCACTAGGTGGAGCCCACTCCTCGCACTAGGAGACCTCCAGGAGGTCTTCCTGCCTCTTTAGACTCCACCTCTGGGGGCAGGGAATAGCCAAACAAAAGGCAGCAGAATCCTCTGCAGACTTAAATGTCCCTGTGTGACAGCCTTGAAGAGAATAGTGGTTCTCCCAGCACGCAGCTGGAGCTGTGAGAACAGACAGACTGCCTCCTCAAGTGGGTCCCTGAACCCTGAGTAGCCTAACTCAGAGGCACCCCAAGTAGGGGCAGACTGATACCTCACATGACGAGGTAGTCCTCTGAGACAAAACTTACAGAGGAACTATCAGGCAGCAACATTTGCTGCTCACCAATATCCGCTGTTCTGCAGCCTCCACTGCTGATACCCAGGCAAACAGGTCTAGAGTGGACCTCCAGCAAACTCCAACAGAACTGCAGCTTAGGGTCTTGACTGTTAGAAGGAAAACTAACAAACAGAAATGACATCCACACCAAAACCCCATCTGTACGTCACCATTGTCAGAGACCAAAGGTAGATAAAACCACAAACATGGGGAAGAAACAGAGCAGAGAAATTGGAAACTCTAAAAATCAGAATGTGTCTCCTCCTTCAAAGGAACGCAGCTCCTCATGAGCAATGGAACAAAGCTGGATGGAGAATAACTTTGACGAGTTGTGAGAAGAAGCCTTCAAACGATCAAACTACTCTGAGCTAAAGGAGGAAGTTTGAATCCATGGAAAGAAGTTAAAAATCTTGAAAAAAATTAGACAAATGGCTAACTACAATAACCAATGCCGAGAAGTCCTTAAAGGACCTGATAGAGCTGAAAACCAAGGCACGAGAACTACGTGGTGAATGCACAAGCCTCAGTAGCCGATTCGATCAACTGGAAGAAAGGGTATCAGTGATGGAAGATCAAATGAATGAAATGAAGTGAGAAGACAAGTTTAGAGGAAAAGGAAATGAACAAAGCCTCCAAGAAATATGGGACTATGTGAAAAGACCAAATCTGCGTCTGACTGGTGTACCTTAAAGTGACAGGGAGAATGGAACCAAGTTGGAAAACACTCTGCAGGATATTATCCAGGAGAACTTCCCCAATCTAGCAAGGCAGGCCAACATTCAGATTCAAGAAATACAGAGAATGCCACAAAGATAGTCCTCGAGAAGAGCAACTCCAAGACACATAATTGTCAGATTCACCAAAGTTGAAATGAAGGAAAAAATGTTAAGTGCAACCAGAGAGAAAGGTCGGGTTACCCACAAAGGGAAGCCCATCCGACTAACAGCTGATCTCTCGGTAGAAACTCTACAAGCCAGAAGAGACTGGGAGCCAATATTCAACATTCTTAAAGAAATAATTTTCAACCCAGAATTTCATATCCAGCCAAACTAAGCTTCATATGTGAAGGAGAAATACAATCCTTTACAGACAAGCAAATGCTGAGAGATTTTGTCACCACCAGGCCTGCCCTAAAAGAGCTCCTGAAGGAAGCACTAAACATGGAAAGGAACAACTGTTCCCAGCCACTGCAAAAACATGCCAAATTGTAAAGACCGTCAAGGCTAGGAAGAAACTGCATCAACTAACGAGCAAAATAACCAGCTAACATCAGAATGACAGGATCAAATTCACACATGATAATATTAACCTTAAATGTAAATGGGCTAAATGCCCCAATTAAAAGACACAGACTGGCAAATTGGATAATGAGTCAAGACCTATCAGTGTGCTGTATTCAGGAAACCCATCTCACCTGCAGAGACACACATAGGCTCAAAATAAAGGGATGGAGGAAGATCTACCAAGCAAATGGAAAACAAAAAAAAGCAGGGGTTGCAATCCTAGTCTCTGATAAAACAGACTTTAAACCAAGAAAGATCAAAAGAGACAAAGAAGGCTATTACATAATGGTAAAGGGATCAATTCAACAAGAAGAGCTAACTATCCTAAATATATATGCACGCAATACAGGAGCACCCAGATTCATAAAGCAAGTCCTTAGAGACCGACAAAGAGACTTAGACTCCCACACAATTATAATGGGAGACTTTAAAACCCCACTGTCAACATTAGACAGATCAAGGAGACAGAAAGCTAACAAGGATATCCAGAAATTGAACTCAGCTCTGCACCAAGCGGACCTAATAAACATCTACAGAACTCTGCACCCCAAATCAACAGAATATACATTCTTCTCAGCACCACATTGCAGTTATTCCAAAAGTGACCACATAGTTGGAAGTAAAGAATGCCTCAGCAAATGTGAGAGAACAGAAATTATAACAAACTGTCTCTCAGACCACAGTGCAATCAAACTAGAACTCAGGATTAAGAAACTCACTCAAAACTGCTCAACGACATGGAAACTGAACAACCTGCTCCTGAATGACTACTGGGTACATAACGAAATGAAGGCAGAAATAAAGATGTTCTTTGAGACCAACAAGAACAAAGACACAACATACCAGAATCTCTGGGATACATTCAAAGCAGTGTGTAGAGGGAAATTTATACCACTAAATGACCACAAGAGAAAGCAGGAAAGATCTAAAATTGACACCCTAACATCACAATTAAAAGAACTAGAGAAGCAAGAGCAAACACATTCAAAAGCTAGCAGAAGGCAAGAAATAACTAAGATCAGAGCAGAACTGAAGGAAATAGAGACACAAAAAGCCCTTCAAAAAATCAATGAATCCAGGAGCTTGTTTTTTGAAAAGATCAACAAAATTGATAGACTGCTAGAAAACTCATTTCTTAATGAAATGCGTGGTATTGTTCCTGTCCTCTTCTCATTTACTTTCATTCTCTATTTTAGGCATAGATAACTATTACTAAATGCCAGAGTGAGGCTGGATTCATTATTGGTTCAATTTTTATTTTTTTCTTTCTATGGATGGAAGTGTCAAAAAGAGACTTTGTTCCCATGAATATGTATTTAGGAATGGAAGAAGGAATTTTTAAAGGAATTTCACTCAATTCTTTGAATTCTTCATGAATTAAATACTGAAAACTATACACATGACAACTGCAAGTCATTCAATTTTGTTGAAAACAAAGCAATGAAAATTGCTTGACTTACAAGAAGAGTTACTATCTAGCCTTTAGAATTGTTCACATTGTGAAGCCAATGACTAACATTTCCAATGTTAGCAGGTAAACTGAGGCACATTTTTAAAGAGTTTGAGCAAGAAATATTCCCTGAATTGAGCAGCTCCAAACTAGAAGCCATTCAGGAGTTCCATCAAGGGAAGACAATGGGGAGAATTTTATAAAACACACACAAAAGTAAAGCAGATGGCATTTAATTGTTTACAATTATACAGTTGCCTCATTTGATCTATCCCATTGGAAAGTCCTGATTATATAAGTTTGTTAACTGCTTCTGATTGGTTGAGTTTACATTCGGTTTATTTATGATATAAACATTTACAAGAAATAGCTCAACTTAAGTTTTGCTTATGTTTGCAAATCAAGCAAGGTTGAGGTCACTTCTGAGGCCTAACTGTTGTTTTTCTTCTAAGAGATTCTTCAAGTCTTGTCTCTATTTTAATTTGCGTCAGCTTTAATAAACCTCTTGTCCTTGGTGTGTGTCTTTTTTGTTTGTTTTTATTTTTACCTTTTTATTTTAAGATAAAACTCAGATATGGAAACCACACAAGTGTATGGTTTTATTTCTGCCATGCAGATGTAAAGCAACAGGATATTGCCAACCAAACTAGTATTCCAATGCAGATGCCTTGTCCAAATCACCATTCCCTTCAGACCTTTTCCACAAAACTGAGACATTTGTCTGCATTATTAGGAAGCCACTCAGTGGCCAAGGAAGAAATGAATACCAAAGACAGTTAGACTAAGAAGAAATACATGATGAATCAAGGTCTTGAAGAAGGCATGAGTAGAAAGAATCAGATAAATTCTACATCACTGACAAAGTTTAGTCTTGGAAAACTGAAATTTCTCTTGGTGCAAGTCAGAGAAAAGAAAAGAGAGGACAAATTCATTCAACCTGTCATTTAAGGAAGATTTATTCAGGCCCTTATTACTTGACAGCAGTGTAGAAAGCACTGGAGAGAGATTTTAAAGAGGAAAATAAACTGTACTTGGGCTCTCCAGCTAGATGGACTTAATTGCTTCGAAAAAGGAGGAGATGAGGTTGTGGTTCTCAATAAAAGCTGTTTAGGAGATTGTGGATTTGGACATGTGAAGAGTGGGAACAAAATTTCAAAAAGCTACAGTCGAGAAAGCCCTGCAGAATCAATACATTTTATTTGCAGGACTCTGGAAACAGCCAAGTCTACCATTTTGTTTTAAAAGCTAAGCTTGGAATGCTTATATCAGACACCACAGTGAATCTAATTGATTCTATTTTTATAATTGGACCTACTGCTGGAGTGATTCCAAAACAAACATACCAAATTAAAGCACAAACACTAATAAAACATAACAGGAGCAGAATGCTGCAAACTCAAATTGCTTATTTAAAAGAATGATTAGGTTTAAAATGTTAGCACATCAGAAAACAATTTTCCTCTACTAACATCAGTTCTGAAGGTCAGCTAATCAGAAATATATAGAATTAGGACAGGCAGTGAATTCAATAAAGTAGACCTTGCAGTAAAATAAACTTCGCTGCAGGCCCATGCTATTGGAATTAGAAAGGCGTCATCAATCATATGCCTGCAGATCAGAGGTCTCAGTGAGCCAGTGAAAATTCTCATGTTTAGAGTCCACCTGTTAACAACATGTCATCTTTTTACATGTCTTATTTGATGCAATATTTAACTGTCTCTTTAAGAGTGCTAAAAAATACTAGGATGCTTGAACATTTTTAAAACAAAAATATACAAATGAGGTAGGCAGTGGGATTTCTTTTGTGTCTTCCTTTGTTTGAGCAAGACAGCCTTTTTTTTCTTTCAATCCTTTCCTTCTGTTCTCATAAATTAATCTGCATTTGTGATTTTAGATTTGTGCAGAGTGGAGTGTGATTACTGAGGTCTTAATCAACATTCAGGCTGACAGAGAACAGTTGAAGCAGCTATTGCCTGTTGTGCAGAGAGATATGTTTATTGTAAATGCTGTGGGCTCTCTGAAAAGTTGGGAGGATAGGCCTTTGAAACTGATGAAGGTGGCAAAGTGCTGCTTTAGATCTCTATATAGCTGACAGTACTGCAAGGGTCACTTGGGAAAGGAAGACTTATTTGTAAGATTTTTGAATGGAAGATAAAAAAGGAAATTATTTTACTTCAAATATGATATGTTTTCTAATTATTAACTGAATTATAGAATTTGAATTGGAAGCAATTTCATAAGGCAATCAGTCTAGTGATTTCCCAATACTGATTTCCAGACAGACACAAGACTGGGAGAATATTTTCACTAATACTTGGCAGAATTAAAAAAAAAATAAGATATCAGTATAGACAGACTTTCAATGAAGCTAGATTTGTTATTTGATTTTAATCTTAATATTACATTATTTTTATCTGTAGTCCTAAAATACTCCTTCTTCTTTTAGATGACAGATGTATATGATGGGATATGTAAATGCTCTTAGATTAAATGAAACGATCATTGTTCTTTTGGAAACTGGAGTAGGGCTAATGTGAAGCTAGACTAGAAAGTAGGCAGCATGTGGTTTGAGGAACAAGATCTTCTTGTACCTGAGCTCTTTCTTCCCTATGTACTCAATATCCTTATTTTGCTATGCAGTGTACAGTGTCATGTTGTTCCCTACTCCCTTCTTTCCCAAACAGAAACCAACTTTGAAAAAGAATCAGCTTTCAGCCACTTATCCAACTCACAGGCAAAGTGAGAGTGCACTGTAGGTGCTAGAAACCGCAATCCACTGCTCTCAATTTTATTTTCTCATGTATGTTAATCCCTCCCTCTC
The DNA here is from genome assembly GCF_000001405.40 of Homo sapiens. Lineage (NCBI taxonomy): Eukaryota > Metazoa > Chordata > Mammalia > Primates > Hominidae > Homo > Homo sapiens. The sequence goes on along the minus strand of NC_000024.10, from coordinate 9,567,568 downwards.
TACCAACTCAGTATACATATACATTTGCGATCTAAATTCTTACATTGCTTTTATAAATTAGAATTTTTCCCGTTGTTTACCCCCCGGCCACCTACCCCTTCATTACTTTTCTCCACTGAGCACGCTGTACCCACTTCCCTCGTTTCTTCCCACTGGCTTTTCAGTTCAGTTCAATTTGGTTTTGGTCTCATTCCACTGGAACTACTTTTATCAAGGACAGAATTCCCATCTGTACTATGAAAACTGCTGGTTACTTTACCATTTTCCTCTTAGTCAAATTCTCAGCATTATTCTGCACATTAGCAACTCTCTGTTCTTCAAACACAGAACTATTCCAAAATTGTCCTATTTTAGAGATTTGGCAGATTTTTTTCCCTCTTTTTCAATGGCTACTCTTTCTGATATCTCACAAAAGACTTCTTTGGAGAAAGCTTCACTTAGTGCCCAATATACAGTAGTTCTGTCTGTTATACCAACCATCACTACTGTCTGTTACACTCTTTCAAAATCCCAAAATTTCCTTCACAGCATTTACAACTGCTTGTGTCTTTTATTTATTATCTGTCTCTCCCTGTAAATAAAGCTTTATGAAGTCAGGGACCATTAACCCCATATTCATTGCTGTACCTCCAGAACCCAGCACAGTGCTTGTTGCATAGTAATAAATATTTATGGCATATTTATTATTCAATGAATCATAAATCTTAATAATCTTGAATAATAATAAAGATTAATAATAATATTGAATCTTAATAAAGATTCCTTGAATAATTTGATGGATAGATGAATGCCAAGAATCCCACAATATTTTTTACTAGCCTCAACTTGAAAACTCATGCCAAGACTTTTGTACCTTATCTTTGCAATGATTCTTGCATCTGTCTCTTTCTTCCAGTCCTTGCTTCAACTTTCCTTGCCCAGTTCACCATCATCTATTAGTTTAACCATTTAATAAAACTCATAACTCACCTTCTGTCTTCTCTTGCTGATCTTCAACCCATCCTATATATTGCAATTAGTCTTACAACCTTCGTGAAACTCTGATCTTATTTTCCTATGAAACAAAAACAACAACAACAAAAACTTGCCTTTGTGTACACAGTTTGTTCTATACTTTCTATCCTGGCATTTCTGGGTCTTGAAGACCTGGCTTTAACTGATACCAGCTCTAAGTGATCATAATGTTCCATGTATTTGCCTAGCTTTTTTTGTGTGTGTACTTCTCTTTCGAAACTTTTATGACTCAACGTTGTGTTATTACAGCATTTAATAGAATGAGAACATGATGAGGGCAGATACATGGTATGTTTTCTAATCTCAGTACTTATGCAACTCTATGCATATTTACTGAATAAATCATTGTGTGAAACTCTTCTTGAAGTTCTGTGTTCAGTATCAGAGAGAATATAGAATATAAAAATGATTAATTGCAAACCCTATATAGTGTTTGTGTGTAACTAAAAATACTGAATTCTGTACATTTTGTTTAAGGCAATGGATATGACTTATTAGCTGTGCTACTGTTAAATATTGTTGTGTAACTGATGCCTGCAGTTTCCTGAGCCAAAAGAGGAAAAATCTTGTCCTTAGAAATTTTTCGACTGAAGTCCTCCAATTAATTAGAAGACCCTTAGCAAAAAAAAAAAAAAAAAAAAACTGTTGGTGCATGTGGCCTTTTGCACAGAAAGATCTGCAAGATATGAAGAGAACAATAGCCTCAGGAAGTACACTCAGAAGATGAAACTGTATAATGTGAAAAATCCCACTCTGAATATTTCTAGCACAGGCTGACTACCTGCAGTTCCTGATATTGACCCTTAAGCATGCTGCTCAGAATTCCATTGTAGAGGAATTAAAGTGGCCAAGCATATATGTGTGTGTGTGTGTGTGTGTGTGTGTGTGTGTGTATGAGAGGGAGTTTCACTCTTTCCTATATATGTATATGTGTGTGTATATGTACATATACATGTATATGTACATATACATGTATATGTATACACACACACACACACACACACACACACATTCATATATGAGACAGAGACTCAGTTTGTTGCCCAGACTGGACTGGAATGCAGAGGCTCAATCTCTGCACACTGCACCTTCAGCCTCCTGAGCTCAAGTGATCCTCCTGAGCAATCCTCTCACCTAAGCTTCCTGAGTAGCTGGGACCACAGGCACACACCACCAGTCCTGGCTAATTTTTTGTATTTTTTGTAGACACCGGGTTTCACCATATTTTCAAGCTGGTCTTGAACTCCTCAGTTCAAGTGACCCACCCACCTTGGCCTCTCAAAGTGATGGGATTACAGGCTTGAGCCACTGTGCCCTGCAACATATATTTCTAAATATTTTAAAATATTAATGTTGGCTGGGTGCGGTGGCTCAACTTGTAATCCCAGCACTTTGGGAGGCCAAGGTGGGTGGGTCACGAAGTCAGGAGTTGGAGACCAGCCTGGCCAATGCAGTGAAACCACGTCACTACTGAAAATACAAAAATTAGCTGGGCATGTTTGTGGGTGCCTGTAATCCCAGCTACTTGGGAGGCTGAGGCAGGAGAATCCCTTGAACCCAGGAGTCAGATGTTTCAGTGAGCTGAGGTTGCGCCAACGCACTCCAGCCTGGGCAACAGAGCTAGACACCATTTCAAAATAATAATAATAATAATAGTAATAATAATAATAATTTTTACTTGTATCATGCTGCATGAGAACAGTGTAATATAATTAAGGGCAGATGAGTAGATAGGAACTTACTGTCATGGATTATTGTTCTTAACATAGTTGCTCTCAATTTTGAATGCACATTAAAGTTATCTGCCAAGCTTACAAAAGCTCACATATCCAGAATCCATTGATCCCCATAAATTCTGATATAATTGGTCTAGGGTAGATCTCAGATGTGGGATGCTTTTTGTTAACTCCCCAGGTGAATCTAAGTTGTTTGTATGATTGAGAAGCATTTCTACTCATTAAAGATTGACATTCTGCTGTAAGTTATTCAGGAATAAAATAATTGATGTAGTGGTTGAGGGGCTTTTTGTCTCATTCTAACATAATTTTTCCTTCATGAAGCTATAAGCTTGAGGTTTGAGCACTCCACATTCAACACCTTTAGGGACATAGTGAAAGCACACACTGAGACCTCCGTATTTCCAACTGCCCCAAACAAGTTACCTGTCACAGATATTCTGTCCCTTTTCTCAGCTTTTAGAGCACTTTACGTATCTGGTTTTTTTTTGTTTTGTTTTGTTTTGTTTTGAGACAGAGTCTCGCTCTGTTGCCTAGGCTGGCATGCAGTGGCATGATCTCCGCTCACTGCAACCTCCACCTCCCAGCTTCAAGCAATTCTCCTGCCTGAGCCTCCCAAGTAGTTGGGACTACAGGCATGTGCCACCATGCCTGGCTAATTTTTGTATCTTTTGTAGAGACAGGGTTTTACCTTGTTTGCCAGGATGGTCTCAATCTCCTGAGCTCATGATCCTCCAACCTTTCCCTCCCAGAGTGCTGGGGTTATAGCCGTGAGCCACCATGCATGGACTACATATCTCTCTTTTTACATCATTTCTATTTGTCTCCCTTTGGATTGAGCTATCACTGAAGGCAGAAACAATGTCTTATTCACCTTTGATCACAGAAATTAGCACAAATGGATTCATTTTAGCTGGGAGAATGTTGAAGCTTAAGTCAACTTGCCTGGAATTTAAAGGTTTGCATATGCTAAAATTCTGGAGGATACAGTGCTTGCATCTTCTAACTATTACCCATACATTTAAATTTTTGACAGTCATTGCCCTTCTTCAGGTTACAATGTGAATACCAAGAAATACAACATTTCTCCTTAATAAAACATGACAACCTTGAGCTGTGATAGTCTGACACAAACACAATCAGTGTGGTGCTATCTTCTTCTCCAATATAATTTCTTCCAATTATTTTAATTATATGAGTTATAGAAATAAAATAAATAAGTAAAACAAAGGGGAATAAATTGTTGGCAAAATAATTAAAAAGTCTCAGAACTTCAGGATGCTTATTTATAGATTAAAAGGTGAACACCTAGCAAAATAGATGAAAATAGACTCATGTCAAGATATATCAATGTAAAATTTGGGAACACTGAGAACAAAGAGAAAATTGTGTAAGTTTCCAGAGAGGTAAAAATAGGTCAGGTACAAAGGATGAGGAATCAGATGATTTAAAAATTTTCAACATTGGCCAGGCATGGTGTCTCATGACTGTAATCCCAGCACTTTGAGAGGCCAAGGTGCACTCTGGGAGGCCAAGGCAGGCAAATCACCTTATGTCAGGAGTTTGAGACCATCCTGACCAACAGGGAGAAACCCCGTCTCTACTAAAAACACAAAATTATCCAGGCATGGTGGTGCGTGCCTGTAATCCCAGCTACTGGGGAGGCTGAGGCAGGAGAATTGCTTGAACCCAGGAGGTAAAGGTTGCAATGAGCTGAGATCATGCCATTGCACTCCACTCTGGGCAACAAGAGCGAAACTCCATCTCAAATAAAAAAAAAAAAATCAACTCCACCACTATAAAGCAGAAGGCAATGAATTACGGAGTTCTGATTTGAAAATTCTAAAAGAAAATGATTTCTGATATACATTGTTATTTCCACATAGACTAAAATCAAATGTACAAGGAGAAAACATACATTTCTCAGAAATATGACAACTCTGAAATTTTGTCTCCCTGTGAAACTTTTCTCAAGAAACTACTAGAGATTTCTTCCAACCAGAAGGAAGAAGTAAACCAAGACAGACAAAGATTCTGAAATGCAGAAAATAAGAGACACAACAAAAGAGAAATAAATTCTTAAAAGCGTAGTGAATGAAATTCCTAGGATGAGACAATTGAATCAGGCCTAGAAGGCAACCAGTCAAGACTGTTGCAGAGAAGCAGCCTACAAGAGAGTGTTCTTCAAGGAGGGAGCATTTATAGAACAATTGATGTGAATAAAAGTCTTGATATGAGATTTAAAAAATTAGTAAAGAATTTTCAACTGAGTTAGCACAAGTTAAAATAAAATTAAATGGGAATTGAACAACAAAATTATAACAGCTATTTCTCAGCAACTCATGGATTATCATAATATAAATTCATAATAGAAATTAATGGTACTGCAAATATTACAGATTAAATTTGTGGGTAGCAGGAAAAGTGATATTGCAATAGGAGTTCATAGACAAATGTTTCTACAACTTGAAAATTAATGTACTAGATATTTAAAGAAAGAATTAGAACAGAAACAACAGAATCAATTCTGAAAAACTAAAGTGAGGGGATAATGATGTAGAGAAAATTAGTAAAACATACAAAGCCAACCTTTGGTTGTTGGAAAAATGTAATAAATGGTGCAAACCGCAGGCAAGGTTAGAAAAAAAGAGAAAAGCACAAATAAAATGAAGAATTTAAAAAATACATAAGCATAGATACAGTAGAGATTAAGAAGCTAATAAGGAAATATGATTAAAACTTTATGATACAAATTTGAAAACTTAGACCAAATAGAATTTTATAAATTTATAGCTTAGTAAAATTGATACAAGAAGGCATATGTAATCTGAATTATCTCATACATGTTCAAGGAAATAAAGGATTGTTCCTAGAGATAAAACACTAGGCTCAGATTTTTTCCCCAGGCAGAGCATTTCAATATATATGAAGAATTCTATAGAATGAAAAAGGGAAAATCCTAAACTCATTGTGTGAGGCAAGCAGAACTTTGATGCCAACAAGACATAAACTGAGTGGATAAAAAGATATGAAAACTAAAGTCCATTATCATTCATGAAGCAAATGGTAAAATCCCAAATGTAACAAGATTTATGTGGATTCTTTGAGGGTTAGAAGGAAATTTCCTTCTGCCAGATCCTGCTACTCTGGGACAACACACACACAAATTTATGTTTTGAGATTTTCTGTAATACCCATGCAATATGGAACTGGCTTGACAATCTGTGTGATAGCCAGCCTGTGGCCATGACTTCTCAGGGACACAAATTGTTTCTGTTTGCCTCCTTGTTCTGCTCAGCTCCAAGAGAACTTTGACCAAAGTTCCTTGAGCTTGGAAATAGGAATGGGTTTGCTTCTCTTTCACCCTTACTGTGAAGATACAGTCCGGTGGAATCCAGATCCACTGGGAGAGAGTCGGCTATTAAACTCTTTTCATGAGTAGTCCCTAGGCCTTGACTGGAGTCTTTCTTGAGATATGAGGCTAATAGTTCCTTCTTGGTCCACCACTTTTTGATATAATTAATGCTTCTTCTATTGGGAATTTTTAATTGTTTGGGAAGTGACATGGTTTGGTGTGTCTCCATTCAAATCTCAACTTCAATTGTATCTCCCAGAATTCCCACATGTTGCAGGTAGGACCTAGGGGGAGGTAATTGAACGACGGGGGTTGGTCTTTCTCATGCTGTTCTTGTGATAGTGAAGAAGTCTCACGAGATCTGATGGGTTTTTCAGGGGTTTCCGCTTTAAGTTCTTCTTCATTCTCTCTTGGCATTGCATGTAAGAAGTGCCTTTATTCGCATACCATGATTCTGAGGCCTCCCCAGCCATGTGGAACTGTAAGTCCAATTAAACCTCCTTTTCTTCCCAGTTTCAAGTATGTCTTTATCAGCAGCATGAAAATGAACTAATACAGGAGGGTTGGTCCAAATAACTTTGGCTTCCGTTATAGAAGGTAGAAGTTGGTGAAATGTTTAATCTTTTCTGTGGCAAACTTTTGCAGTGGGTATTATTTTTCTAATTTTTTTTTTGTTGTTTTATTCACCTTTGTTTCTCACAGGGAACTCTTGCTCTGTAGCCAAGGCTGGAGTGCAGTGGCAGGATCTCTGCTCAACACAGCCTCCGCCTCCCAGGTTTAGCCTCTCCAGTAGCTGGGATTACAAGCATGCATCACCACACCCAGCTAATGGTTTTGTATTTTTAGTAGAGGCCTGGCTACACCATGTTGGCCAGGCTGGTCTCCAAGTCCTGAACTCAGGTGATCTGCCCATCTCAGCCTTCCAAAGTCCAACATGCTGGGAATACAGGCGTGAGCCACCGTGCCCAGCCAACTACAGTATTTTTTACCTAAGCGAGTGGACAAGTGCAGTTGTCTTTTTTTTTTTTTTTCTTTTTTGAGACAGGGTCTCGCTGTGTCATCCAGGCTGGAGTGCAGTAGTGAGATCTTGGCTTACTGCAACCTCTGCCTCCCAGGTTCAGGCGGTTCTCCTGCCTCAGCCTCCCAAGCAGCTGGGACTACAGGAATGTGCCACTAGGCCTGGATAAGTTTTATATTTTTGGTAGAGACAGGTTTTTGCCGTGTTGCCCAGGCTGTTCTCAAACTCCTGATCTCAAGTGACCCACCAACCTCGGCCTCCCAAAATGTGGAAATTACAGGCAAGAGCCACCATGCCCGGCCTGGAGTTGTGGTTTTTTGACATAAAAAGAAATCTGTGCAGGAAAAAGCTTGGTTTGTGGGAGCATCTGAGCTCAGTTTGGCTCAAAGGTTTGGGATACCTATTATTAGTGAAGGTATGTTGTTAATATACAATATGTTCATTTACATAGCATATGTATATGCTCATCAGATATTTTCAGGTAAAAAAATAGACATTCCAGTAGTTTGAGCCATTACAGCAATTTCCACTGGGGGATTTAACAGTCAGATTCCAGTTGTGGGCAATAGTGATTAACATAATGGTTATTAATGAGAAGAGATTTTGAGATGTTCACCCATGTTTAGATGTCAATGTCTTGAAGGGATGGGTTTGGCATATTATGAAGAAAGAGTGCATTAGACTGGATACTAAGAAAAACATTGAATTTTTTTTCTTACCTCTATAACATGAAAGGACAATTAGAGATATAGAAACAATGGAACATTTCACAGTATGACTTGACATTTCACTGAACTTTTATCCTTTTAACTATGTACAAAGTTTACTACATATGCAAAGGTAGGACTGCTATAGGAAGAAAGAGGTGGAGTTAGAGGTCACAATCGACAGCAAGATGAAAGTCTTTTGTGGATCGCACCCTGAGAGTTGAATTAGAGTGAGAATTAACTTTCAGATTGACAAAAGAGAACAAGGAGAATGAAGCTAGCAGTAGTTAACAGTATTGGATTAATTGAAATGAATGTTGACAGAGTTTTTTTGGCTTTCCATCAAATTGAGTAAAGAAACAGTAACTGCTTATCCAATTTCACACATATACAATTGTGGATTAATTAAAAGATTACACAACCCATATATTATGGGTATCTCATATAAATGTATATGTACAAGGGCAAACTTACAGTGTGCAAATACGTGTCTGTATCTAAATATATATAATTCCATTGACCAACAGTCAGAAAGTTAGAAATTATTCTCCCATTTTACCATTCCCTTTCCAACAATTTTGTCACAAATATAATTTTTCATTATGTTTGAAGCCTACTCTCTGGAGGCATGTAATGTATGGATACAGTAAAGCCCTGAGATATCACAATGTTGGTGTCAGAGAAAACAACTACACTGGTGTTATAAAAGATTAATCATGAGGAGAAAGTTATACTTCACCTTACTACAATTACAGGTGTATGACTTCATCAAAAGCTGAAATCATTTAATATACTTTCTTTTTAATGTTTTATTTAAAATAGTTAATTTCAACAGGATTACTCAAGGAAAATATTGGTATTCATAATCAATAATGTTGAAAAATTCCCTTTAATTGTTGATTATTTAAAATGTAAGTAAAATACTAAAAAGTACGTATAATATAATTTCATGAAGCATTCTTTATGGTTTTCATAAAATTAATAGTCTCAATGTAATATTTTGAGACTGAGGAAGTTCCATATATCATTTTATTGTATTTTCACTTTATTACTTGCTTGCATGTCATAACTGATGGAAATAAAAATATGTATATTTACACATATGAAAAATGTGGATTTTTGTTTATGTTTTCTAGTGAGACAAAGTTACCAATAATTTTATCTATATAGGAAAATTTTTACAAACCCAAAGTTCTTAACTTTCTTTTCTTTTGAAGTTTTATATTTCAGTCTAGGTATGAAATGGAATTGGCTGTGATCATTCTTTGATTTCATTGTTATTTGTGAGTTTCTGATACAGTGTTAGGAATGTATAGACTTTAAAGCTTGCTTTCTTCTTCGTCATCTCCCTTTGGACCTGTATATGTGATTTCTGCAGTAATGTGCACTGTTATCTGACATATGGTTGCTGAAAGATACAAGCGTAAATAGAATTCTTAGTTTCAGTGAATCTTTAGGAACAGAGAAGTAAAAGTGAAAGAAAATTATGGTATGAATGTAAGTAAGCAGTTTATCACAGAGGTACAATAAGGGTGAAAATAAATTTAAAAATACATGCCTCATCCAAAACATGAGGTAGTAAAAATGAAAAATTTAGGTTGGCATAAACAACAGTTTAAAAGTTATGATCATTTCTGATGACAGCAAGTAGCTCAGAAACCATGAGGAAGTCCTGCAAATCTACATGTTGGATTGGCAAGTCAGGATGGGAAGCCTGGGTCTGGAGGAGGGTGCTAAGGTCCTGGTCAGGTTGAGGTTCTCCTGGGGCTCAGTGGTGTCTCAGTGCGAGAGCTGGGAAGTGGAAACGCATGCTTCACCCCAGCTACAAGGCCACATCAGCCCACCTAGATGAAATTATCCCTTGACTGTCCTCTTTCTCCCTCTTGGACAGGCAGGTGAAGGAACTCAACTATCCTGAGTACAAGTGTCAGGAAGAAGTTTGCCTTTCATCACAACGTTTACTTCCGCAATGAAGTGATCAGTAAGGAGTATTGCATTGGTATCCTCAATGAGGAGTGCCTCCCGGCATGTTAGAGGGGACAGTATGCAGGAAGCCGTGCCTGGCGTGAGCCTTGCTGACTCCTCTCTCTCCAGGATACAGGGCGACTGGCTCCACTGCAGTCCAGTGGTTCTAGGGTCATGCAGGTGAAAGCCCGAGTTTCCCGCAGGTCACTACCTAACTGAGCTTCTTCAGCTGATTGGCTGACTGTGACTGCCCAGGGTACGGCACGATTGCTGAGGTGGGGCAGCTATGGGGCATCATGGCAAAGGACCTTCTTCGACATTCCTTGGCATCAGAGGAATTGGCTTTGAACCAGAACCTGACCTGTCATGACCAATTTGCCCAGTCCACCAGATCATCAGCCAGGGCCTGTGGCTCTATATTCTGCAGCACTACCCAAGGGAGTTAGGCCCTCAGAGAGGGAACAGAGAAGAGGCCAGGGAAGCAGCCCAGGGCTGGGGGTTGAGAGGCCTGTGGGTCTTGGAGGTAGGACACACATAGAGAAGCCAAGGCTCAAGGAGGAGACTGCAGTAAGCAAACTTAGGCCATCATAGGCTGGTGGAGAAAGGCCCACCAGGGAACTGTAGTACCCACGTTTCAGGATGGGGGAACCCTAATCTGCTTAATAGACATAAGTAGCTAAGGTCAATGGGTGAGAAGCCAGGATCAAGAGATAGCTGCCTCATCAGCCCTTGCTAGCTCCCTTCCTTGTCCTGAGACTTGCTACTTACTACCTGGGGTTCAGCTTGGACTCAACCAGGGCTCTCTCACCCTCCACACAGATGCCCACCTGAGGCCTCTCTAGGTCTGCATCCTCCCAGAATGACTCTCCCAGGGCTGCCAAGTTCCGTTTGGATGATGCCAGTCTCCTCTGACATGCTCGTTTCCCTCTGCCATCCTCATTCAGCCAGCAACTCCCCGCCCCTAAAAAAGGCAGGCCAAACTCAGCAACTCTCCACCCCCCAAAAAGACAGGGAATCTGGAGGACCACAGAGGGCTCACAGGGGAGGAAATGTGAAGAGACAGCAAGAAGGAAGGGGACCTTCCGAGTGCTTCCAGGAAGGCAATCTGTCTGGACATTAAGGCGCACCTCACTATTGGTGAGGACACCCAGTGTCTCTTGGCCCTGTGCATGTGCATACACACACATTGTCTAAATGGCACTGACATCAGTACTACCTAAGTGATCTTCAGATTCTATACAACCCCTGTAAAAATATCAATGACCCATTCTTAGAAAAACAATCTGAGAATCCTAAATTTGCTATGAAATGGCAGAAGATCCTGAAAACCCAGAGCAAACCAGTAAAAAGCACAAAGCTGGAGGCATCACACTGCCTAACTTCATGATCTACTACAAAGCTTTACGTACCAAAATAGAATAGCACTGGCAGAAAAGGGAAGACTCGAGCTTATGAGAAACAATAGGAGCCCAGAACTAAGTCACTGCATTTGCAGCTCACAGCCTTTTCCCAAAGAAGCAAGAATACCCAGTGCAAAATCAAGTATCTTCTATAAACTAGGCTGGGGAAAACCTGAGTATCCACATAAAGCATTTTACAAGTGGATTATTTCTCACCAAACTCCAATGTCAGACTTGAAACGATAAAAATACTAGGAGAAATCACAAGGAAGAAGCTCCACGGCAACCCTGTGGGCAATGATGGTCTCAAAGTGACTGCGAGAGCACAGTAAACACCATCAAAAATAGAGAACGGAATCATATCAAACTAAAGTGCTTCCACACACCACAGAAAACTAAACAGACAGGGACATCCTACAGGATGGGAGGAATGATTGGATCACCATGCATCTGCTAACTGGTGAATATTCACAGTACATAAGGAACTCCCAACAAATCAATAGCATGAAAACCAATGGGCTAAGGCTGTGAATACTCATTTGTAAAACGAAGACATACAGTTGCCCAGAAGACACACTAAAAAGTCCTAATCCTTCAGGAAAATGCAAATCAAAAACAGAGTGAGATTTCTTCTCATTTCAGTCAGAATGCCTATTATCCAAAAGACAAAACAAACAAACAAACAAACAAAAATGCTCATTTCTAGTGAGGATGCAGAGAAAAGGAAATCATTGCTCACTTTTGGTGAGAATGTAAAGTAGTGCAGGCATTACAAGAAGCTTTATGGCTTTTATTTAAGTATAAACAGTATTCAGAAATCTACAAGTAGAACCACCCACCATATGATCCAGCAAATCAGAATTCTGGGGCACACCCACAAATACACATATCAGTATGTTGAAGCGGTGCATGCACCGATGCAATTATTGCTGCACTCTTTACATTTTTGCTATAGCCAAAATACAGAAGCAACCTGAGAGTCCCTCGATTGATGAGTGGATTAAAAAAATGGGGCAAAAACACATATGCACAACAGAAAAATGCACTGCAGTAATAAAAAAGGAAATCCTGCCAGTTGTGACAATGTGTGTGAATATGCTGAATGTGTGCATGCCATTTTGTTAAGTGACATAAGCCATGTATCAGAAAGGCAAATAGCACATGACCTCATCCTTATATGAAATATAAAAAGCAGACCTCACAGAGGTAGTGACTCCAATGGTTGGGGTGAAGAGGGTGCACTGAGGAGATGCTGTATCAAAAATACATATTTCTAGTTAGAAAGGAGGAATAGGTTAAAAACATTTTCTTCAGCATGCTGACTATAACTAGGGATAATATATTCTTTCTCTAAAAAATTCGAAGACAGTGCTTGTCAGTTTTTTCACAACAAAAATGACAAGTATGTGAGGTCATGCTTATGTTGATTAGCTGAATGCATCCACTGCATAATGTATATGACCTTTGGAACATCACCCCGTAAGTTATAAACATGTATCTTTTCATACGCCATTTTAAAAAATAAACAATTTTTAAAATTCCTCAAGAGAATAAATGTCAATAAAGTATTTTATTATAAAGCAGTGCTTTTCTTTTCTATCAAAGTCTTTTTCATGATACAGGAAAGAATGCGACGTCGTTTGGTAAGTTAAGAAAAAAATATATGTGTACATGTATATACATATATATGAAAATCCCAGTGAAGGCCGATGATGAGTTGAAAGATAGAAATTACAGGCGCGGAGACTATAGTCCATGAATTGAAACCTTCACTGCATGTTTCAATAGAAGACGTGAGGAGGAGGAATAAAAAGCAAAAAACACAAAGCCATGGCCGGGCCATGGGTCACACCTGTAATCCCAGCATTTTGAGAGGCTGAGGTGGGAGGATTGCCTGCACTCAGGAGTTCCAGATGAGCCTGGGGCAACATGGGCCCACATCCAAAAAGTAATTAATTAATTAATTAATTAATTAATACATAGCTGGGAGGGGTGGCATGCACCTGTACTGCCAGGTGTGTGAGAGTCTAAGTTGAGAGGATCACATAGGTGTGTGGTGTCTGGGCTACAGTGGGCAGAGATCATGGGGCTGCTCTTCAACCTAGGAGACAGAGTAAGACCCATTCTAAGGAAATGAACACAAAAAGCGTCACATTAGGTAAATTAAAACTATGTAGTGTGAGGAGAATCAAAATAAATGAAATATCAGTAGACCTTATGCAATCCTAGGAAACAGCTTTCACATAATAACAGCCCCAGATGGGGAGAATAATGAAAAAAGGTAGAGAGAACACTGTAAATAATAACACACCAAACTCCCCAAATGAGTTAAAAGACATAAATGTCAAAGAGTGCTTCTTTTGGATTCATAGCCCTTAATAACAAGTGCAAGTTTCTTTCTGAATCCCTGACATACATTCATCTAGCCTGAACCTCTTGGTGAAGTTCTCAGATCATGATTTGTCCTTTCTATATGCCCTCATTTTGTTATTTCCTATCACTTATCTGTAGCAGGTCATAACGAATCATGATGCTTTGACATTCTTTGACACAATGAAGAACTCATGTATGAGTTCATTAAACAATAGTTTATGACATGTCATGAAGAAATTATGTATGTATAATATTTGTTAAAAAGATAAAATAACATTAAAACAGAGGGAGAAGAACATTTTATTGGTTTCATCATTGTGCTTGTGTTTACACAGCATGTATCTACGAACTACAGCTGCCTCCTGGAAAATGATCTGACACAATCACTTGAAAGTTCTCATTCTGCTTTGGAGACCACAGGAATCACCCACTTTTTCACTTTTCCACCTTTTGGATACACTGAGTGGGATGAGTGGAATCCGTGTGATTTTTGGCTTTCCTGTCATGCCCAGTATTTTTTTTAACAGTCATTGCTAGATCGGCCAGAAATAAACCCTTCATTGTGGCTCAAAAAAAGAACTCATATCCTTCAGCTGAGAGTCTTTGAAAGAGGAATTTCATCCAGACATTAAAATGATAATCTGATGCCACTGATAACAGATTCAGAATTACAAACTGAATTTAGATAGAGAATAAAAAGACAGATGATACAGATGGAAAGCGTGTGGTGGGGAAGGAAGAAAGGAGGGGTGTAAAGGAAAGAAAGGAAAAAAAGGAAGGGACAGAGAGTGATCGATGTTCAAAGACACAGATACAAAGTCCAGCACGGTTGTAGAGATAGGCATGTAAAATTACTACAAGTAGTGTGGAAACCTATTGGGTAGACAGAGACATAGGTGGAGTCAGAGAAAACATATAAACCCACACAGAAAAATAAACATACACAACTACAAACACACACGTGGTAGTTTAAACATGAAAAAACACCAAGACCCTGACACTAGAAATAACACAGGTGTTTCAGAGTTACTGAGGCAGAATACAAATTTGTCAGTGACCTTAGTATCTGCGGCCCATGTGCATGAACATGCAGTGGAAGAATCATTAGACAGCCTGTATAATTCAGCACCATCTCTGATAATACCAAAAGAAGGGTTCTCATGTGAAATCACTAGACTGAATTGTATGTAGGAATGGAGGAAGAAGCCCAGTCTGCTGCATTCACTTACTGGGGTGTCAATATGGCTGAGCCAGCAACTCATGGCATGCCCATCCATTGTAGACAGTTCCTGGTTTGCTGCCTGCCTTGGAAAAAGTGCTTCCCGTACCACTTTAAAACAGTCTAGCTCCAAAACTAGCCCTGGCATCTATTTACGGTATTTTTCTTTTCTATTTACCTCCTAGAAAAATAATTGCAAGACCCTTTCCTCAACTTTTTCCTATGCATTAAATTTGGGGCAAGACCTTTTCAGACGACCTCATTATAGGCAAGTCCCCAGATGTTTCCTAATCTGAGTTGCCCTGAGTGCACACACCAATCTGTTGCCCCATTCCACTATAGGGGTACTGTACTGGACCACAGTGCCTTTGACCAGCACACAGTAAGATAATGGCAGCTTGCGGGGGCCAAAGGGTTCCAACTGTTTTCATAATAATTTGCTGAGGAAACCCGTTTCTCCTGTGTTTGTGGGACATGGGGACAGTAGTCAGAGGAGGACAAGACTCCTGCTGGAGAGCCTCAGCTCTTTGCATAGGAGCAGGGGCAAAACTGGGCTATAGATTTTCAAAGCTCAACTGCTGATACCGAGCAGGAGGTGTGGAATGCTTTTTGAAGGCAGCACAACAGATTCATGAACTTTGACTGTCAAACACCCTTCCCTGAAACAACACAGCTCTTCTCTCAGGAGCTGTGCTGACCAGAGTCTGTAGAGGACAGGAATGTTAGCACTCTATTAGTGTGTGGCCAACATGGATGCTCATGTTGGAACTGTTTTATCTGGGAACAGGGAAGAAAGTTCTGTGCCCAACAATGAAATCCTCCTCCCCCTTCTATGATAGAGGCAACCCCTTATCTTGTGCATAGACACAGGTGTCCCTGGGAAGCAGCCACCCACTCGAGAATGAACACTGTATGTTTTGTCCTCCTGTGTGAGGCTTGCAACACATACTCTGCAACTATATTCTCTTTATATTATTAATCTTAGGCAAAGTATGCTGAAAAGGCCAAAGAAAATAAAAGGGTCCTGGCTCTAGAAATAATCTGCAGTGCCCATCACTAGGGAGAATAGAGCCTCACTAGAATGTGCAAGAGCACAAAATGCACTCATAATGTTGTTAGCTACATACATTATTGGCTCCTCACTTAACATAGAATCTTGGAGAAAAGCTTAAAACAACTAAAGATATAAACATCAACAAGAGTGTCCATATCCTGGTCATCAAGTGACAAGAGAGTCCATGTGTGGATCCTCCAGCAATCTTATATTCCACAAATCCTCCCCCTTTTCCCTCACTTCTGTAAGTTTGCATTTTCCCTTAGTCATCTATGCCAGTATCCTGAATGCCTTCCCACATGCCTCTGTCACCTTTCCCACAGTGCCTCCATACAGGTTACATGCCCATTTCTTCTCAAGTTGATGTCTGAGAAGTCCTGAGAGGCTGATTGTCCCAGAAAAGGATTATGCATTCACCTTTAAAAGGAGAACATGTGAATTCAACACGAAATTGAACTTTAAGATTTCTATCATCCTGTGCTATCTATTGGGTATGATGATACCAAAATGAAGGATTTTGGAGGTCCCAGCAAACTGGGCCCTGGAAACCTTAGTGCCTATTGACCCCTTTCCTTGAACTACCTCTGCTTCCATAGGACGAAGTAAGCCTCCAACTAAGCTGTCTTTTGCTTTTACCTCCCCAACTCTGTCCTGTAGGAAGAATCTCAACACATTCCACACCTATTCACTCTACAACTTTAGAGGCCCAGCTCCAACACAGACTGGTTATTTCCATGAAGAGAATAATGCACATGGATTGATCAATTCATTATGACACCCGGATCCAGGGGATAAATATACACACACATACACACACCCAAACAGAGAAACACACACAAACACAGAGTCACATATCCTTGAGAATGTTTATTTTTCATTCCATACAATCCAAGTTTACCCCCTCTTCCTGTCTGATTTTCTGTGACTCGATCTGTTTTTCCTTTAGTTCCTGTGCATAAGACCATGCTGAATACTGACATCCTGCATACTGTAGTAACTTTTTAGGAGTTCTGCTGCTTTCGGTAAAGTGTGATGCTCCATCATACTCAACTCAACATCGGGGAGAGACTCAACTCAACATCTGGGAGTACCCTGGAGAAACACAAACACATGTCAAAATGCATTTTCTCTGAGCCATACTTTGAAATATTTCAATTGTAGGGCCCGCTGAGAAAAGGATATCCCTTCCCCATTTGTGATCCCTTAAACTTCCTCCTACCACGTGTTACAAACTGTTCTGTGCAATCCCTGCCCCATTCCCAGTATTCTCTGTGAGGGGAGTCAGCTAACAAGATGCACTGTACCCTAAAAGCACACAGAAATCTGATGGGGCAATAGCTTAAGGAAATCCATCAATGTAAACAGTCCTTTGTGGTTTGGGGCAAGGAGGACCAGGACGCACATTCAGGGAGCCCAATCTTATGGGGTTGGTAGGATGACTGCCGGTGGGGTTGACAGCCATGGAATCAAGTGCCACAGACTGAAGTGAAGGATTTTTAGCTTTTCTTCTCAGTGATTCTGGAAATGGATGATGCTTCGCTGGGCTTAAGACTTCACAGCTATAACGTGCTTTGCAGTGCAGTCTCTAATGTGCCTTTTTCAGCCCAATGCCATGAATGTCCTGGATTCTGTCACACTCTGTCTTCCTCTCAAGGAATTTCTACATGTATGAAAGGAGGCTCAATTTCTACATTTCTGAAATGAGCCTCCAGGCTCCCTGAATAGGCAGGTGTGTCAACCTCCTTATCCTGGGGATCAAAAAGCTTCAGTTCCAACTGAACAGCTCACCTGAAATCTCTGTTCCCTCTTCAGGTGGCTTCATCCTCTTGTAGGATTGCAGGGGATTGCACCACAGGTCCTTACATAGGATCTGTCAGGGGAATCCATCGGGAAAGGCCTCATCAGGACTCAGAATGGTGACCCAAGCAGCTGGGAACACATGGGGTCATTCCTCATGTTTCCCAGTGAGGACTCACCTCAGCAATCCTGTTAGATCCTGCGAAGTTGTGGTCAGAGAACCAGTTGAAGAATTCAGGCTCCTGTTGTGGTGGTTGCGGCGATAGGCCTCCACTTCATAATCTGGATACCAATCAATTGGAGTGGAATGAGAAGCCCTGTATTCTACAGAGACAGGAATTTTTGCGGGAAGGGGATTGGATCACATTGGCAATGATCCACCCACCATCTTCCTTCCACCACCCATCCTGGGAGCCACCTGTCACCTGTGATGTTCACCAGATATTCCTTGGTAATCACTTTATTCTGGAAGTAAGGGTTACTCTGAAACAACAACATGATCTTGCACAGGTGAACTGGATGCTTCACTTCTTCCACCTGTCAGGGCAAGGTGGAGAAAGCTTAAATACCTTTTCGGGTGAGATGCCTGCTGTTGCTTACAGGAATGAATTATTTCCCTTACCCTCCCCCACTAAACCCTCTAGCCTCAGTCTTCCTGGCCTTACCTCCAGGTGGATCATGTAGCTCAGCATGTCTTCATCTTGGTCAGTGATCAGGGCTGACATCTGGGGGTGGTGTGCAATCTGATTTAGGTCAAAGAGACTTTACACACGATGGAAGGGAAAGCGAGGAGCAACAGGGAAGAAGGCCTAAGAGCACCCAGAGGCTGGGGTAGGGGATTTCTCAGATCTGCTTCCATGTATGACCTCCTTTCGCCTCCCCCTCCCCGTAAACTAAGGCCTCCTGTGTTCACGGAGGGTGTATAATTCTGAGGCTGACTGCACTGACATGGGGAGGCGTGATGTGCGGAGAGTTGCTGGTGTCTGAGGAGTGGCAGAATCTGCTTATAGTCGAAGACGCCCAGTCGCAGATCGGACTAGCAAGTGGCAGCAATCACACTCCCTTAAAAATACCTTGATTCACTGAAAAACGTCTTCTGCTCTGAACTCGCTTCTGCTCTTCAAAAAGATGCCCCAAACGTCTGCTGCTCGGCATCACCAAGGGTTTCTCTGCCGCATGCAGGACAATAGTACCCACGCCTGCTCCGGCTTTCCACAGCCACATTTGTCCGTGGCAACTCCCCTTTGTTCCCCAAAGAGTCACATCGAAGCCGAGCTGCCCATCAGTTACTTACACTTTCCCGAGAGCACCTCTCCACTAGAAAGGCCGAAGAAACACTGAGAAGGATACAACATTGGCCCAGAAGCCAGGGACGCTCTGGATGATGGCGCCTCTGCGGTCTAGGTGGGGCTTGCGCCTCCGCTCCATCTTTTCCCGCTGCCGAGAAAAGGCCTTCCTGGCTTGGGCATTAACCGGCTCCAGCTCCACCTGAACGGCCAGCAGCTCCTCCAGTGCAGACTCTGGGGTCATGGGCCCAGGGCCAGGCTGTGCCCGCTGGGCCTCCACCTGCCCCTCCACGAGGGCCTCCTCCTGGGCCACCACCTCCACCTCCGCCATTATGTCATCTGCCACCAGCACTGCCTCCAACTCCCAAAGCCGCCTGCTCACTCTCCACCCCGGCCGCCCCTCCTGTACAGCCTCCATCCTGAAGGCAGTGCCCTCCTCGGCACCGCACACACCAAGGCCTGTGCTGCTCCACCCACGCCATAGGAACCCTGTCGCAGATGGGCACCCGGTGGGTCAGCGGGCCCTCAGGGCCGCATGCGCCGGGTTTCCAGGAGACCCCTAAGGGACTGCGCGCTAAGGGCCAAGGGGCCGCACCCAGGCCGACTTCCTTCCCTCATGGCCAATCAATGGGAGGGCGGCGGGCGTCTCCCTGGGCTGCACAGCCACGGGCGCGCCTGCATCTCCAGCCCACTCACCCCACGCCTTCCGTCCCCGAGCCTCCTCCGAGAAGCCCTTGGAGCTTGTGCCGGGTAGCTCAGAGTCCAGGCACACGCGGGCTGCGTGGTCTTTGGAATTGTGGGCATGGTAGCCCTGTGCCCTGACATCCTGAGTGTGGCAAGCCATGATCATCTCTATGTGTCATGAACACACAAAACATCTCTCTTCGTTAGGCAGGCCAGGTAGATGGTACGGAAGTAATACTGCGGATCCAGAGAAGTCTGGTTGCTGGGGCTAGGGCGGCAGGGTTGGACTAGGGGAAGTGAGTCGGGGCGGGCACGTGGGAGGAAAGTCGCCTGCCGGTGCTGAGGTGGAATTGATCTGCTGTAGAGGCCAGAGCCCCGGCACACACTCTCACAGGTCGAGGCAAATAGAGGCTCCGAGTACCATGCTTCCTCCCTGAGGATGCTGTACTCCAAGGAGCATTCCAAAGGGCCTCTTGTCCTATGCCCTGGGCACACCAGAGGCCAGCCGCCAGGGTTGGCCATTGTCGGCCTGCGCGCACGCTGTTGTGCGCTGCCTTGACGATCCAGAAGCTCCCGCACCCGCAGCAGCGGCTGCGGTGCCTGCTGGTGGGGCTCTGCAAGCCCAGGGCCTGGGCCTCTGGCTCCCAAGCTCCTGTCCGCATTTGAGCCTGCTGGGGACCGGAGGCCTTTGACCAGTGCCAGATCTGCGGGTCCAGCGGAGCTCCTCAGGAAACCTGGGTCCACGTAGGTGTGGGACTAGGTTCTCAGCAGGGCGACGCCCGTGGGTCTTTCAAGGAGTGGGTCTGTTGGAGCCCGGGCCCCCAGAGCCTAGGGGTGCAGGACATGGGCTGGGCTAGGCTGCGCAGGCCCGGGGGCTGTGGGAGCACCCAGGAGAGCACTGTGTTCAGGCTGGAGGCAATGCTGGAGAGGACGGCCGGTGTACAGAGCAAGGAGGCGGCCTTGGAAGAGGAGGCGGTGCTGAAGGTGGAAGACATCATGGCTGAGGTGGAGGTGGTGGTTGAGGTGGAGCCCGACGTGGGGTGGCAGAAGGAGGGCCAGCGGGCACAGCCTGGCCCTGGACCGAGCACACCCGGGCCGTCAATGGACTCGCTGGAAGTCCTTCACTTGGAGGTGGGCTCCGTGAATGCCCCAGGCCACAGAGCATCTCCGCCTTGTGGGCCAGAGCCATACTTTGCAGCTGCCGATTCGGGATGGCTGGCAGCAAGGGATAGTCATTGGGCTTCAGGGGGGCATTGGGGCTGGTTGCGGGGAGGAGCCAGGTGGGAGGCACGTGGGGTCAGCCAGGAGGCAGGGTATGGGGGACAGGGTGGGAGCCGAAGCCACGTTGCTGCAGCTGTGAGGGCAGCTTCTTGTAGCACCCCTGGGAGCACGTGGTAGGGAAGGGGAGCCAAGCACAGCACTCACAAGGGAGAATCGCGGCGCCAAGTTCCCTTGCCGCACAGCACAAAGTCGAAGGGGACATTTCCCTGGGAACGTACCTGGAGGACGGTGAATTTGTATGCCATTGCCAGCCATTGAACCACCCCTGCTCTCGGTGCCTGTTTCCAGCAGGCTCACCCCAGAAACACAAGGTGCTTAAAACGAGTTCATGGTGCATGGGGTTGCCGACCACCTCAGGGCAGGTACCAGCTCCCCAGATATGCTTTCTTCCCCCTGCGGGCGCTGCACCCAAAGGTGTGTAGGCCTTGAGCCTATATAACTTCCTTTGCACCCACCCAATTCCCATGGAGAGCGCCAGGCACGACCCTGCTGTCGCTTCTAACTACAGGGCTTCCGTCAAGTGGACAGGCCCACCCCTCAGGGAGACTAGGATAAGAGGACACCACACACCCGGACATCAGCGGAGCATGTCCAGCACCCAGCACACAAAGGCCTCCTGCATCTCAGAAACCCAGAGAAGCAGCCGCCTCACACCACCCCCGGCCCCTCCCGTCCCTCAGCTGCAACCACCTGCCCACTTTTTCTGCCTCCCGTCTCTGGTCAGCCCAGGCCGTCTTGGCCAGGGTCCACCCACTCCAAAAACCACCACAGTTGTGGCGTTGCCTCCTCGCCAGACAGAGATAGAGGGCCAACAATGAAGGGTGACTGGCCAAATGTCTGGGAGATGGCCCTGTTCCACATTGTCTGTGTTCTTGCGAAATTGCAAGGCGTCACGAGGCTTGCCCACCCAATCCTCTGGAGAGTTCTTGCGCAGAGGTAGATTGTTTGGCACACGAGATGTCGGCGTGGGTCGGAAAGCATGCGGAAGTCCTGCTTTGCTACGTGATGGATTTGCAGGTCAGGCTGGGGAGCCTGGGTCTGTGGGAGGAGTCCAGTGTCTGAGTCAGTTTGAGGTCCCCCTGGGGACCAGGGTTGTCTCAGTGGGAGAGCTGGGAAGGGGAAACTCATGGTTCACTACAGCTAGTAGGCCACCTCAGCCCAGCTAGTTGAGATGGTCCCATTGAATCCCTCCTCTTTCTCCTTGATCAGGCAGGTGGAGGAACTCAGCCATCCCAGTTACTGGTGGCAGGATGATTTCCTTTCATCCCAACCTTTATTTCCACAGTGAAATCATCATGAAGGAGCACTGTGTTGGCATCCTCGGTAAGGAATGCCTCCCAGCATGGTAGGGAAGCTGGAGTGTGGGAGGGTAGGACTGGCATGAACCTTCCTGACTCCTCTCCCTTAAGGCTACAGGGTGTCTCATTCCACTGCAGTCCAGCGGTTCTGGGATCATGAAGGTCAAGCCTCCAGATGCAGGCAGTACACCTCCTACCTGAGCTTATTCAGCTGTTTGGCTGAACATGACTGCCTTGGTTTTGGTAGGATTGCTGAGGTGGGGTTCGCCGTGGGGCATCATGGGAAAGGACCTAGCTGGTCATTCCTTGGTCTCTGGGGAATTGGCTTTAAACTGTCACCTGAACTGTCCTGGACCCACTTCTGCAGTCCCCTAGATCATCAGCCAGGCCCTATGGCTCAATCTATTGCAGTTCTATCCCATGGAGAGAGGGTCAGCCCTAGAGGCGGAACAGAGAGGAGGCCAGGCGAGCAGCCTAGGGCTTGGAAGGGCTGGGAACTGAGAGGCCTTTTGACCTGGATCTGGGCCCCACATGGAGAACCCAAGGATCCTGGAGGAGACTGCAGTGAGCAATCCCAGGCAATCCGTGGGTTGGGGGAGAGAGGCCCATCAGGGACATGTAACACCCACATTTCAGGATTGGGGCACCTTAAGCCACTATGATGCATATGTGGCTAAAGTCAGTGGGTGACAAGCAGGGCTTAAGGGATAGCTGTCTCATCATCACTCACCAGCTCCCTGCCCTGCAGTAAGACCTGCGACCACCTGGGGCTCATTTTGAGATCAACCAGGGCCCCCTTTTTCTCCACGAGGATGTTCCTCTGAGGCCCACCTAGGTCTATGTCCTTTCACAGTGTTTCTCCCAGGCCAGTCATGTTTTGTTTCCATGATCCCAGCTGCCTTGACATGTGTTATCCTCTCTGCCATCCTCACTCCCACTGCCCTGCCTTCCCATATAAGTTAGTCCACCTCACACGGAATCTGGAGGACCACACTGGGCTCCAGTGTGAGGCAATGTTTTATTTTCTTCAGGTACATGTATTTTAGGACTACCTCCAGGGCTGGGAATGTGAAGAGATTGCCAAATGGCTGGGGACCTTCAGTGTGTGTCCAGGGAGGGAACCTGGCTGGGAATTAAGGCCCACTTGAGTAATGGTATGGACATCCAGTGTCAGTTATCTTGATAAAGACCTGCTTTCTTACATCACCTACTATTAATATAAAAGTTGATTTCTTAGAATATTGAAAAAACAAATTTAAGTATGAAGAAATATAATTTGTTCATAATTGTATGGAAAAAGCTGCCGACTGATCCATTTCCCATTACAATTCTTATGGGAGACTTGAAGTGTTTAGCAAGATTTAGGATGCATTTTTATTCTTCTACTCCTGCCAGTTTTAATGATCATTTTGTATCACAAGGACATGGTCTCTAGAAAGTTTTTGAGGGACTTTCAGCTTCTTTTAGGGTAGATAGTTGTAAATTTTGAATTGTTTTCCCCTGTGGTTCTTTTCAGGTTGCTCTTTCTACTTTATATGGGGGGGTGTTAAATTTGTTTTCTTATTTGCCCCTTGTGGAACTTTCGTTTTCAAGGAATTTTGTGTGTGTGTGTGTTAGATATGGGAGTTAGCCTGTGAGCATGTTTTCGAATACGGATTTTTTTTTATTCATCAGTTTTTGGGGTGTATGTGTGTGTGCGTGTGTGTGTTTTCAGATGGAGTCTCACTGTGTCATCCAGGCTGGAGTGAAGGGGAAAAGTCTCGGCTCACTGCAACCTCTCCCTCCAGCTTCACAGGATTCCCACGCCTTAGCCTTCCAAGGAGCTGGGATTACAGGCACATGCCACTATGTCCTGCTAATTTTTGTATTTTTAGTCGAGACTGGTTTCACCATATTTGCCAGGCTGGTCTGGTACTCCTGTGATCCGCCTGCACTGACCTCCCAAAATGTTGGGCATCCAAGTGTGAGCCGCCATGCCAGCCTCATTTGTTTGTTTATGTATTTTAATCATTGTTTTATTTTCTTCATGTAAACGTATTTTAGAATTATTGAACTAAATATATTTTATTTAGTTACTCCATACTTTAATAGGCTTTTGAAACTAATTATTCATTAACTAAATACAGTATTATGTATAGGTAAAACTTGTATAGTATTGCCATCCTGTCTTTCATAAATTATTCAAGAACTCTGATGCTGTTTTTGCCCCACATGAGGAGAAAATGCAGACAGTTATAAAAAATTCTGTTCCTGGGTAGGTACGAAAATATAATTTGAAAAAATGGTATATTTCACAAATACAGTTTCACATTTGTATTTTGCATCGTTTTGAAAATTGTAGTTGCTGATACATGAAATTATGTATTCACTTTCATGTTAAATGTACACTTTTGAATCAATTTCAACTATGAAAACAATTGAAGGCCAAGCATTAGTTCAGGAAGCTGAACGCAGTTGTGTTGTAAAAAAAAAACATATTTATTGAAAGTGTATTTAGAGAGATTTTAGAAGGCTTCAGTCAATATTTTTGTTTCTGTTGCTCTGGTGTTTTATCATACAGGGACCAGATGTAGCATCAGTAGCTATAGTTACAAGGCTACCAAAGACTCAGTGCTATAGAAATTATTATTGTGGAAATTGGCAGCCTGGCTGTCTGTTTGAGGAGACTAGAGGACTTAGGAGTTTCCACCCAAAGTACAAGGGCCTGGTTTAGTGGGTGGCCTTCTTTTGCTGAAGTAGATAAGATCCAGGAGAAGGGTGGATTCACTGTAGTAGCCAGGGCTTTGAGACTGGTAAAGCTTATTTGTCCCCTAGTGCCATTGCCAGATATTGGTCTGCGCATAATGGCACTTCCTGGACTCACTGACTCCTATAAATTCAAATGTAGAATTTAGATTTAAATCCCTATTCGAAATTCTTAAACTTACATCTAATCAGTGGGTAATAAAATATGTATTCAAAAGAAAGGGAGATATCAGATAAGTATATAAGCAAATCATCCTGGTCAAATATCTTCAAAAATATTACTACAAAATATTACTAAAGATTAAACCTTAAAATAGTTATTTGAATTGGAGAAACAGAAAAAGGTTGGAGTCGTTTTAAACCCTGAGGTGTAAAGGCACTATAATTAGATTACAGGAATTATATACAATGAATAATTTGTATAACTTATACAAAGAAGTTCAGTTTATTTTATCATGATTAACATTTTACATCCCAAATTTATGTATTTTATTATATTTCCAGTGACTGTTTTGTTTTGTTTTGTTTTGTTTTCAAATTTACTTCCACTCTGTCAGTCTGGAATGCAGTGGCTTCATCTCAGGTCACTGCAACCTCCGTCTCTTGGGTTCAAGGATTTAAAAAATTAGTAAAGAATTTTCAATTAGCCCAAGTTAAAATAAAAGTAAGTGGAAATTGAACAACAAAATTATAACCACTATTTCTTAGCAATTCATGGATTATCATACTAGGAATTGAAATGTACTTAGAACTTAATGATACTGCCAACATTAAAAATTAAGTTTGTGAGTAGCAAGAAAAGTGATATTACAATAGGAGTTTACAGAAAAATATTTCTCTAATAACTTGAAAATTAATGTACTAGATATTTCAAAAAAAGAATTAGAAGAGAAACAACAGAATCAATTCTGAAAAACTGAAGGGTGGGAATAATGATGGAGAGAAAATTAGTAAAACATACAAAGCTAAACTTTGGTTGTTGGAGAAATATAATAAATGATGCAACCCTCAGTCAAGTTTAGAAAAAAAGGGAGAAAGCACAGATAAAACTAAGAATTTAAAAGATACACAACCATAGATACAGCATAGATTAAGAAGCTAATAAGGAAATATCATTAACACCTTAACTTACAAATTTGAAAACTTAGATCAAATAGACAGATTTTTATAATGTGTCTACATATATAGACATATATATAGCTTTCTATATATATTTCATATTTATTTATATTTTTTATATTTATATCTTATATTTATATAAGATTATATATGATATAAATATAAGCTATGTATATAGCTTAGTAAAATTAACACAAGAAGACATATCTAATCTGAATGGTCTTGTAAATGTTCAAGGAAATAAAGGATTCTTCCTAGAGATAAAACAACAGGCTCAGATTTTTTCCCCAGGCAGAGCATTTCAATATATATGAAGAATTCTATAGAATAAAAAAGGGAAATTCCTAAACTCCTTGTGTAAGGCAAGCAGAACTTTCATGCCAACAAGACATAAACTGAGTGTAGAAAAAGATATGAAAACTAAAGTCCATTCTCATTGATGAAACAAATGGTAAAATCCCAAATGTAACAAGATTTATGTGAATTGTTTGAGGGTTAGAAGGAAATTTCCTTCTGCCAGATCCTGCTACTCTGGGACAACACACACACAAATTTATGTTTTGAGATTTTCTGTAATACCCATGCAATATGGAACTGGCTTGACAATCTGTGTGATAGCCAGCCTGTGGCCATGACTTCTCAGGGACACAAATTGTTTCTGTTTGCCTCCTTGTTCTGCTCAGCTCCAAGAGAACTTTGACCAAAGTTCCTTGAGCTTGGAAATAGGAATGGGTTTACTTATGTTTCACCCTTACTGTGAAGATACAGTCCGGTGGAATCCAGATCCACTGGGAGAGTCGGCTATTAAACTCTTTTCATGAGTAGTCCCTAGGCCTTGACTAGAGTCTTTCTTGAGATATGAGGCTAATAGTTCCTTCTTGGTCCGCCACTTTTTGATATAATTAATGCTTCTTCTATTGGGAATTTTTAATTGTTTGGGAAGTGATATGGTTTGGTGCGTCTCCATTCGAATCTCAGCTTCATTTGTATCTCCCAGAATTCCCTCGTGTTGCGGGTGGGACCCAGGGGGAGGTAATTGAATCATGGGGGTCGGTCTTTCTCATGCTATTCTTGTGACAGTGAAGAAGTCTCACGAGATCTGATGGGTTTTTCAGGGGTTTCTGCCTCAGGTTCTTCCTCATTCTCTCTTGGCATTGCCATGTAAGAAGTGCCTTTATTCGTATACCATGATTCTGAGGCCTCCACAGCCATGTGGAACTGTCAGTCCAATTAAACTTCCTTTTATTCCCAGTTTCAGGTATGTCTTCTTCAGCAGCGTGAAAATGAACTAAGACAGGAGGTTTGGTCCAAATAACCTTGGCTTCCATGATAGAAGCTAGAAGTTGGCGAAATGTTTAATCTATTCTGTGGCAAACTTTTGCAGTGGGTCTTATTTTTCTAATTTTCTTTCTTGTTCTCTTCACCTTTGTTTCTCACAGGGTACTCTCGCTCTGTAGCCCAGGCTGGAGTGCAGTGGCAGGATCTGAGCTGAACACATCCTCCGCCTCCCAGGTTCAGCCTCTGCAGTAGCTGCGATTACAAGCATGCATCACCACGCTCAGCTAATGTTTTGTATTTTTAGTAGAAGCCAGGCTTCACCATGTTGGCCAGGCTGCTCTCCTACTACAGATCTCAGGTGACCCGCCCGACTCAGCTTCCCAAAATCCAAAGTGCTGGGAATACAGGTGTGAGCCACCGAGCCCAGCCAACTCCAGTATTTTTTACCTAAGCCAGTGGACGAGTGGAGTTGCCTTCATTTTTTTTTCTTTTTTCAGTCATGATCTCGCTGTGTCATCCAGGATGGAGTGCAGTAGTCTGATCTTGGCTTACTATACAATCTCTGCCACCCATGTTCAGGCGGTTCTCCTACCTCAGCCTCCCAAGTAGCTGGGACCACAGGAAAGTGCCACTAAGTCTGGTAATTTTTGTATTTTTGGTAGAGACAAGTTTTTGCCATGTTGCCCATGCTGGTCTCCAACTCCTGACCTCAAGTGACCCACCAACCTCAGCCTCCCAAAATGTAGAAATTATAACAAGAGCCATGAAGCCTGGGCTGGAGTTGCGGCTTTTTGACATAAGAAATCTGTGGAGGAAAAAGCTTGGTTTGTGGGAGCACCTGAGATCAGTTTGGCTCAAAGGTTTGGGATACCTATTATTGAGTGGCAGTGACGGTATGTTGTTAATGTACAATATGTTCCTGTATATAGCATATGTCTATGCTCATCAGATATTTTCAGGTAAAAAAAGATAGTCATTCCAGTAGTTTGAGCCATTATAGCAATTTCCACCAGGGGATTTCACAGTCCAATTCCAGTTGTGGGCAACAGTGATTAACATAATGGTAATTAATGAGAAGAGATTTTGAGACGTCCAGCCACGTTTCCATGTCAGTGCCTTGTTTGCAGTATTATGAAGAAAGAGTGCATTGGACTAGATACTAAGAAAAACATTGAATTATTTTTCTTGCCTCTATAACATCAAAGGACAATTAGAGATATAGAAACTATGGAACATTTCACAGCATGGCTTGACATTTCACTGAACTTTTAGCCTTTTAACCGTGTACAAAGTTTGTTACCTATGCAAAGGTAGGACTGCAAAAGGAAGACAGAGGTGGAGTCAGAGGTCACAATCCACAGCAAGGTGACACTCTTGTTGATCGCACCTTGAAAGCTAAATTAGAGTGAGAATTAACTTTCCGGTTGCCGTAAGAGAACAAGGAGAATGAAGCTACCAGCAGTTAATGGTATTGGATTAATTGAAATAAAGGTTGACATATTTTTTTGGCTTTCCATCAAATTGAGTAAAGAAAAGGTAACCGCTTATCTAATTTCACGCATATACAATTGTGGATTAATTAAAACATTATACAACCCATATATTATGGGTTTCTCATATAAGTGTATATGTACATGGGCAAACTCACAGTGTGCTAATATGTGTCTATATCCAAGTATATACAAATCCAGTGACCAACAGTTAACAAGAGAGAAATTCTCTTCCATTTCACCATTCCCTTTCCTAGAATTTTTTCATAAATATAATTTTTCATATATTTGAAGCCTACTCTCTGGAGGCATGTAATGCATGCATGCAGTAAACCTGTGCGATCTCACAATGTTGGTGTCAGAGAAAACAAAAACACCAATGTTATAAAAGATTAATTGTGAGGAGAAAGTTATACTTCCCGTTACTACAAATACACAAGTATGATTTCATCCAAAGCTGAAATCAGTCAATATAATTTGTTTTTAATGTTTTATTTAAAATACTTAATTTCAATAGGATTACTGAAGGAAATTAACGGTATTCATAATAAATAATGTTGACGAATTCCCTTTAATTGTTGATTATTTAAAACGTAAGTAAAATACTAAATGGCACTGTATAATGTAGTTTCATGAAGCATTGTTTATGGTTTTCATAAAATTGATAGTCTCCATGGAATATTTTGAGACTGAGAAAATTCCATATATCATTTTATTGTACTTTAACTTTACTACTTGCTTACATGTCATAACTGATGGAAATAAAACTATGTATATTTACACATATGCAAAGGATGGATTTTTGTTTATGTTTATGTTTTCTAGTGAGACAAAGTTACCAATAATTTTATCTATATAGGAAAATTTTTAAAACTATATTTTTAAATTTTTACAAACTATATTTACAAATTTTTACAAAAGAAAGTTCTTAACTTTCTTTTCTTTTGAAGTTGCATATTTCAGTCTAAGTATGAAATGGTATTGGCTGTGATCATTCTTTGTTTTCACTGTTATTTGTGAGTTTCTGATACGCTGTTAGGAATGTACAGATTTTAAAGCTTGCTTTCTTCTTCTTCATCTCCCTTTGGACATTTATATGTGATTTCTGCAGTAATGTGCAGTGCTATCTGACATACAGTTGCTGAAAGATACAAGCATATATAGAATTCTTCGTTTCAGTGAATCTTTAGGAACAGAACAGTAACCTGAAAGATAATTATGGTATGAATCTAAGCAAGCAGTTTATCACAGAGGTACAATAAGGGTGAAAATAAATTTAAAAATACATGCCTCATCAGAAACATGAGGTAGTCAAAATGAAAAATTTAAGTTGGCATAAAGCACACTTTAAAAGTCCTGATTCTTTCTGGTGAGAGAAAGTAGCTCAGAAAACATGAGAAATTCCTTCAAAGCTGCATGTTGGGTTTGCAGGTCAGGATGGAAAGCCTGGGTCTGGGGGAGGGTGCTAAGGTCCTGGTCAGGTTGAGGTCCTTCTGGGGCTCAGGTGTGTCTCAGTGGGAAAGCTGGGAAGGGGAAACGCATGCTTCACCCCGGCTAGAATGCCACCTCAGCCAACCTAGATGAAATTGCCCCTTCACAGCCCTGTTTCTCCTTCTTGGACAGGCAGGTGGAGGAACTCGGCCACCCTGAATACAAGGGGTAGGAAGAAGTTTCCCTTTCATCACAACATTTACTTCGGAAACAAAGTGATGACTAAGGAGTATTGCGTTGGCATCCTCCCTGAGGAGTAGAGGGGGTAGTACCTCGGGAGCTGGGCCTGGCGTGCGCCTTCCTGACTCGTCTCCCTCCAGGATACAGGGCGACTGGCTCCACTGCAGTCCAGTGGTTCTAGGGTCATGCAGGTGAAAGCCCGAGTTTCCCGCAGGTCACTGCCTGAGCTTCTTCAGCTGGTTGTCTGACTGTGAGGGCCCAGGTTACGGCACGATTGCTGAGGTGGGGCAGCTATGGGGCATCATGGCAAAGGACCTTCTTCGACATTCCTTGGCATCGGAGGAATTGGCTTTGAACCAGAACCTGACCTGTCACGACCAATTTGCCCAGTCCACCAGATCATCAGCCAGGGCCTGTGGCTCTATATTCTGCAGCACTACCCAAGGGAGTTAGGCCCTCAGAGAGGGAACAGAGAAGAGGCCAGGGAAGCAGCCCAGGGCTGGGGGTTGACAGGCCTGTGGGTCCTGGAGTTAGGACACACATAGAGAAGCCAAGGCTCAGGGAGGAGACTGCAGTAAGGAAACTCAGGCCATCATGGGCTGGTGGAGAAATGCCCATCAGGGAACTGTGGTACCCACATTTCACGATGGGGGAACCGTAATCTGCTTAATAGGCATAAGTAGCTAAGGTCAATGGGTGGGAAGCCAGGGTCAAGAGATAGCTGCCTCATCATCCCTTGCTAGCTACTTCCCTGTCCTGAGGCTTGCTTCTACCTGGGGTTCAGTTTGGGCTCAACCAGGGATCTCTCACCCTCCACACAGATGCCCACCTGAGGCCTCTCTAGGTCTGCGTCCTCCCAGAATGACTCTCCCAGGCCTGCTAAGTACCGTTTGGATGACACCACGCTCCACTGACATACTTGGTTCCCTCCGCCATCCTCATTCACCCAGCAACTCCCCACCCCAAAAAAGGCAGGCCACCGCACAGGGAATCTGGAGGACCACACAGGGCTCACAGGGGAGGAAATGTGAAGAGATGGCAAAACAGAACAGGACATTCCGTGTGTTTCCAGAAGGCAATCTGGCTGGATATTAAGGCCCACCTCAGTATTGGTGAGGACACCCAGTGTCTCTTGGCCCTGAGCATGTGCACACAAACACGCACATTGTCTAAACGGCATTGACATCACTACTACCTGAGTCATCCTCAGATTCTATACAACCCCTGTAAAAATATCAATGACACATTCTTCTTAGAAAACAATCTGGGAATCCCAAATTTGCTATGAAATGGCAGAAGATCCTGAAAACCCAGAGCAATCCAGTAAAAAGCACAAAGCTGGAGCCACCCCACTACCTAACTTCATGATATACTACTACAAAACTTTTTGTACCAAAATACAATAGCGCTGGCAGAAAAGCAGAGACTAGAGCTTAGGAAAAACAACAGGAGCCCAGAACTAAGTCACTGCATTTGCAGCTCACAGCCTTTTCCCAAAGAAGCAAGAACGCCCAATGCAAAATCAAGTATCTTCTATAAACTAGGTTGGGGAAATCTGAATAGCCACACAAAGGATTTTACAAGTGGATTATTTATCACCAAACTCCAGTGTCAGATGTGAAACGATAAAAATAGCAGAAGAGATCACAAGGAAGCAGCTCCATGGCGTCCGTGTGTGCAATGATGGTCTCAAAGTGACTGCAAGAACACAGTAAACACCATCAAAAATAGAGAATGGAATCATATCAAACTAAAGTGCTTCACCACACCATAGAAAACTCAACATACAGAAGGGGCATCCTACAGGATGGGAGCAATGATTGGATCACCATACATCTGTTCATGGGGGAATAGTCACAGTACATAAGGAACTCCCAACAACTCAATAGCATGAAAACAAATGGGCGAAGGCTGCGAAGACTCATTTGTGAAACTGAGACATACAGTTGCCCAGAAGACACACTAAAAATTCCTCATTATCCCCAATCCATCACGAAAATGCAAATCAAAAACACAATGAGATTTCTTCTCACTTCAGTCAGAATGCATATTATCCGAAAGACAAACAAACAAAAAAAAAAAAAGAAAGAAAAGAAAACCCTAATCTCTGGTGAGGAGGCAGAGAAAACGAATTCCCTGCTCACTTTTGGGGAGAATGTAAATTAGTGCTGGCATTAAAGAAGCTTTATTGCTCTTATTTAAGTATAAACAGCCTTCAGAAATCTACAATTAGAACCACCCACTATATGATCCAGCAAATCAGAATACCCGGGCACGCCCGCCAGTACACAGATCAGTATGTTGAAGCGGTGCGCGCACCCATGCAATTATTGCTGCACTCATTACATTTTTGCTGTAGCCAAAATGCGGAAGCAACCTGAGTGTCCCTCCATTGATAAGTGGATTAAAAAATGGGGCAAAAACGCATATGCGCAACGGAAATATGCGCTGCAATAAGAAATCAGGAAATCCTGCCAGTTGTGAGAATGTGTGGGAATCTGCTGAATGTGTGCATGCCATTCTGTTAAGTGACATAAGCCAGGTATCAGAAATGAAAATAGCACATGATCTCATTCTTATATGAAATCAAAAAAGCGGACTTCACAGAAGTAGTGACTCCAATGACTGCGGTGAAGAGGGTGCACTGACGAGATGCTGGATGAAGAACTCATACTTCTAGTTATAAAGGAGGAATAGGTTAAAAATATTTTCTTCAGCATGCTCACTATAACTAGTGGTAACATATTCTTTCTCTAAAAATATTCGAATACAGTGCAAGTCAAGTTTTTTCACAACAAAAATGACAACTATGTGAGGTCACACATATGTTGATTGGCTGGATGTATCCAATGCATAATGTATATGACCTGTTGAACATCACGCCTTAAGTTGTAAATATGTATCATTTCATATGACATTTTTTAAACAAACATACAATTTTTAAAATGCCTTAACAAAATAAATGCAAATAAAATATTTTATTATAAAGCAGTGCTTTTCTTTTCTAGCAAAGTCTTTTTCATGACACAGGAAAGAATGCAAGCCGTTTCGTAACTTGAGAAATAAATACATATGTGTACATGTATATATATACGTATATACATGTATATACGTATATAAATGTGCATATATACGTATATACATGTATATACATATATATGTGTGTACATAGGTATTCTTATATACATATATATATATATATATATATATATATATATATATATATATATGAAAATCCCAATGAATGCTGATGATGAGTTGAAAGATAGAAATTCCAGGCACAGAGACTACAGTCCATGAATTGAAACCTTCAGTGCATGTTTCAAAACAAGACGTGAGGAGGAGGAAGAAAAAAGCAAAAAACACAAAGCCATGGCAGGGCCATGGGTCACACCTGTCATCCCAGCACTTTGATAAGCTGAGGTGGGAGGATTGCCTGCACTCAGGAGTTCCAGATGAGCCTGGGGCAACATGGACCCACATTCAAAAAGTAAGTATTTAGTTAATTAATACATAGCTTGGAGGGGTGGCATGCACCTGTACTGCCAGGTGTGTGAGAGTCTGAGTTGACAGGATCACATGGGTGTGTGGTGCCTGGGCTGCAGTGGGCTGAGATCGTGGGGCTGCTGTCCAACCTAGAAGACAGAGTAAGACCCATTCTCGGAAAACAAACAAAAAAACAGTCACATTAGGTAAATTAAAACTATGTAGTGTGAGGAGAATCAAAATAAACGAAACATCATTAGAGCCTACGCGATGTGATGAAGGAAACCAGCTTTCACATAATAACAGCCCCGGCTGGGGAGAACAATGAGAAAGGGCAGAGAGAACCCTGTAAATAATACCACGCCAAATTCCCCAAATGAGTTAAAACACATAAAAGTACGAAGAGTGCTTCTTTTCAATTCAATGCCCTTGAATTCAGAATTAGAAAGTAAACCCAGATAGAGAATAGAAAGATAGACGATACAGATGGAGAGAGTGTGGTGGGGAAGCAAGGGAAGGATGAAAGGGGTGTAAAGGAAGGAAAAGAAAAAAGGAAGGGAGAGAGAGTGACAGATGTTCAAAGACACAGATACAAAGTCTACAATGGTTGTAGAGATAGGCATGTGCAAATTGTCGCAGGGAGTGTGGAAAAATATCGGAACCACGGAGACACAGGTGGAGTCAGAGAAAATATACAAACCCGCACAGAGAAATAAACATACGCAACCACAAACACACACGTGCTACTTTAAACACGAAAAGACACCAAGTCCCTGTCGGTACAAATCACAGATGTGCTTCCGAGTTACTGAGGCACGGTGCAAATTTGTCAGTGCCCTTAGCATCTGTGGCCCACGTGCACGGATATTCAGTGGAAGAAGCATTACACAGCCTGTATAATTCAGCACGATCTGTGATAATACCAGAAGAAGGGATCTCATGTGAAATCACTAGACTGAATTGCACGTAGGATTCAAGGAAGAAGCCCAGTCTGCTGCATTCACTCGGTGGGGTGGCAATATGGCTGAGCCACCAACCCGTGGCACACCCATCCATCGTAGACAGTTCCTGGTTTGCTACCTGCCTTGGAAAAAGCTCCTCCCCTACCACCACTTTAAAACAGGCTAGCTCCAAAACTAGCCCTGGCATCTATTTACGGTCATTTTCTTATCTATTTACCTCCTAGAAAAATCATTGCAAGACCCTTTCCTCAACATTTTCCTATGCCTTAAATTTGGGGCAACACGTTTTAAGACGACCTCGTTATAGGCAAGTCCCCAGACGTTTCCTAATCTGAGTTGCCCAGAGTGCACACACCAATCTGTTGCCCCATTGCCGCTATAGGGATACCGTACTGGACCACAGTGTCTTTGACATGCACACAGTAGGATAGAGGGCAGCTTGAGGGGGCCAAAGTGTTCCGACTGTTTTCAGAATAATTTGCTTAGAACACCTGTTTCTCCTGTGTTTGTGGGTCAGGGGGACGGTAGTCAGAGGAGGACAAGACTCCCGCTCCAGAGCTTCAGAGGTCTGCATAGGAGCAGGGACAAAACCAGGCGATAGATTTTCAAAGCTCAACTGCTTTGACACCGAGCAGGAGGTGTAGAATGCATATTGCAGGCACCACAACAGATTCAGGAACTTTGACTGTCAAACCCTCTTCCCTGAAACAACATGCTCTTCTCACAGAAGCTGTGCTGACGAGAGTCTATACGGGACAGCAATGTTAGCACTCTAGTAGCGTGTGGTCAACATGGATGCTCGTGTTGGAACTGTTTCATCTGGGAACAGGAAAGAAAGTTCTGCCTCCGACACTGAAATCCTCCTGCCCCATCCTTGACAGAGGCAACCCCTTGTCTTGTGCAGACACACGTGTTCCTGGGAAGCAGCCTCCCACTCGCGAATGAAAGCTGTATGTTTTGTCCTCCTGTGTGAGGCTTGCAAAACATATTCCGCAACTATATTCGCTTTACGTTCTAAACCTTAGGCAAACTATGCTGAAGAGGCCACAGAAAATTTAGGGGCCCTGGGCTCCAGATACAATCTGCAGTGCCAATCACGAGGGAGAATAGAGCCTCACTAGACTTTGCAAGAGCACAAAATGCACTCGTACTGTTGTTAGCTACATACGTTATTGGCTCCTCACCTAACACAGAATCTTGGAGAAAAGCTTAAAACAACTAAAGATGTAAACATCAACAAGAGTGTCCATATCCTGGGTCATCAAGTGACAAGAGAGTCCATGGATGGATTCTCCAACAATCTTATATTCCACTAATCCACCCCCTTTCCCCTCACTTCTGTAAGTTTCTGTTTTCCCTTAGTCATCTATGCCAAAAGCGTATCCTGAATGCCTTCCCACATGCCTCTGTCACCTTTCCCACAGTCCCTCCATACACCTTACATGCCCATTTCTTCTCACGTTGATGTTTCAGAAGTCCTGAGAGGCTGATTGTCCCAGAAAAGGATCATGCATTCACCTTTAAAAGAACATGTGGATTCAACACGAAAGCGAACTTTAAGATTTCCATCATCCTGTGCTTAGCTACTGTGTATGATGATACCCAAAATGAAGGATTTTGGAGGTCCCAGCAAACTGGGCCCTGGAAACCCAGTAACCCCTTTCCTTGAACTATCTCTGCTTCCACAGGACGAAGTCAGCCTCCAACTAAGCTGTCTTTTGCTTTTACCTCTCCCACTCTGTCCTGTAGGAAGAATCCCAACACATCCCACACCCATTCACTCTACAACTTTAGAGGCCCAGCTCCAACGCAGACTGGTTATTTCCATGAAGAGAATAAAGCACGTGGATTGATCAATTCATTATGACACCCGAATAAAGTGGATAAACATACACACACACACACACACAAACACAAAGACACACACACACACACACAGACACAGAGTCACACATCCTTGAGAATGTTTATTTTTCATTCCATACAATCCACATTTACCCCCTCTTCCTGAATTTTTGTGACTCGATCTGTTTTTCCTTTAGTTCCTGTGCATAAGACCATGCTGAGTACTGCCGTCCTGCATATGGCTGTAACTTTTTAGGAGTTCTGCTGTATTAGGTAAAATCTGATGCTCCATCATATTCAACTCAACAACTGGGAGTCCCCTAGAGAAACACAAACTCATGTTAAAACGCATTTTCTCTGAGCCATACTTTGAAATGTTTCAATTGTGGGGCCCGCTGAGAAAAGGATATCCCTTCCCCATTTGTGATCCCTTAAACTTCCTCCTACCACGTGTTACAAACTGTTCTGCGCAATCCCTGCCCCATTCCCAGTATTGTCTGTGAGGGGAGTCAGCTAACAAGATGCACTGGGCCCTAAAAGCACACACAAGTCTGATGGGGCAACAGCTTAAGGAAATCCATCAATCTAAACAGTCCTTTGTGGTTTGGGGCAAGGATGACCAGGACGCACATTCAGGGAGCCCAATCTCATGGGGTTGGCGGGATGACTGCCGGTGGGGTTGACAGCCGTGGAATCAAGTGCCACAGACTGAACTGAATGATTTTCAGCTTTACTTCTCATTGATTCTGGAAATGGACGATTCTTCACTGGGCTTAAGACTCCACAGCTATCACCCGCTTTGCAGTGCAGTCTCTAACGTGCCTT
Organism: Homo sapiens; assembly: GCF_000001405.40. Classification (NCBI taxonomy): domain Eukaryota; kingdom Metazoa; phylum Chordata; class Mammalia; order Primates; family Hominidae; genus Homo; species Homo sapiens. Next base: position 9,529,960 of record NC_000024.10, on the reverse strand, counting down.
TTCAGCCCAATGCCATGAACGTCCTGGATTCTGTCACTCTCTGTCTTCCTCTCAAGGAATTTCTACATGTACGAAAGGAGCCTCAATTTCTACATTTCTGAAATGAGCACCCAGGCTCCCTGAATAGGCAGGTGTGTCAACCCCCTTATACTGGGCATCAAACAGCTCCAGTGCCAACTAACGGCTCACCTGACGTCTCTGTTCCCTCTTCAGGTGGCTTCATCCTCTTGTAGTATTGCAGGGGATTGCGCCACAGGTCCTTACATAGGATCTGTCAGGGGACTCAATCGGGAAAGGCCTCATCAGGGCTCAGAAAGGTGACCCAAGCAGCTGGGAACACACGGGGTCATTCCTCATGTTTCCCAGTGAGGACTCACCTCAGCAATCTTGTTAGATCCTGCGAAGTTGTGGTCAGAGAACCAGTTGAAGAAGTTAAGGCTGCTGTTGTGGTGTCTGCGGCGATAGGCCTCCACTTCATAATCCGGATACCACTCAATTGGAGTGGAATGAGAAGCCCTGTATTCTACAGAGACAGGAGTTTTTGTGGGAAGGGGGCTGGATCCCGTTGGCAATGATCCACCCACCATCTTCCTTCCACTACCCATCCTGGGAGCCACCTGTCACCTGTGATGTTCACCAGATATTCCTTGGTAATCACTTTATTCTGGAAGTAGGGGTTACTCCGAAAGAACAACATGATCTTGCAGAGATGAACAGGATGCTTCTCTTCTTCCACCTGTCAGGACAAGGTGGAGAAAGCTTAGATAGGTTTTCGGGTGAGGTGCTCACTCTTGCTTACAGGAATGAATTATTTCCCTTACCCTCCCCCGCTAAACCCTCTAGCCCCAGTCTTCCTGGCCTCACCTCCAGGCTGACCATGTAGCTCAGCATGTCTTCATCTTCGTCAGTGATCAGGGCTGACATCTGGGGGTGGTTTGCAATCTGATTTAGGTCAAAGAGACTTTACACACGATGGAAGGGAAAGCGAGGAGCAACAGGGAAGAAGGCCTAAGAGCACCCAGAGGCTGGGGTAGGGGATTTCTCAGATCTGCTTCCACGTATGATCTCCTTTCGCCTCCCCCTCCCCGTAAACTAAGGCCTCCTGTGTTCACAGAGGGTGTATGATTCTGAGGCTGACTGCACTGACATGGGGAGGCGCGATTTGCAGAGACTTGCTGGTGTCTGAGGAGTGGCAGAATCTGCTTATAGCCGAAGACGCCCAGTCCCAGATCGGACTAGCAAGGGGCAGCAATCACACTCCCTTAAAAATAGCTTCATTCACTGAAAAACCTCTTCCGCTCTGAACTCGCTTCTGCTCTTCAAAAAGATGCCCCAAACGTCTGCTGCTCGGCATCACCAAGGGTTTCTCTGCCGCATGCAGGACAATAGTACCCACGCCTGCTCCGGCTTTCCACAGCCACACTGGTCCGTGGCAACTCCCCTTTGTTCCCCAAAGAGTCACATCGACGCCGAGCTGCCCATCGGTCACTTACACTTCCCCGAGAGCACCTCTCCACTAGAAAGGCCGAAGAAACACTGAGAAGGATACAACATTGGCCCAGAAGCCAGGGACGCTCTGGATGACGGCGCCTCTGCGGTCTAGGTGGGGCTTGCGCCTCCGCTCCATCTTTTCCCGCTGCCGAGAAAAGGCCTTCCTGGCTTGGGCATTAACCGGCTCCAGCTCCACCTGAACGGCCAGCAGCTCCTCCAGTGCAGACTCTGGGGTCATGGGCCCAGGGCCAGGCACAGCCTGCTGTGCCCGCTGGGCCTCCTCCCGCCGCTCCACGAGGCCCTCCTCCTCCGCCACCACCTCCACCTCCGCCATTATGTCATCCAACAGCAGCACCGCCTCCTCCCCCAAAGCCGCCTGCTCACTCTCCACCCCGGCCGCCCCCTCCTGTACAGCCTCCATCCTGAAGGCGGTGCCCTCCTTGGCACTCGCACACACCAAGGCCTGTGCTGCCCGACCCACGCCACAGAAACCCTGCCGCAGCCTCTCTGGCACCCGGTAGGTCAGCGAGCCCTCAGGGCGCATGCGCCGGGCTTCCAGGCGCCCCCTAAGGGACTGCGCGCGAAGGGCCGGGGGGCCGCACCCAGGCCGACTTCCTCCCGTCGTGGCCAGTCAATGGGAGGGCGGTGGGCGTCTCCCTGGGCGGCACAGCCACTGGCGGGCCTGCATCTCCAGCCCCCCCACCCCCCGCCTTCCCTGCCCAAGCCTCCTCCGAGAAGCCCTTGGAGCTTGTGCCGGGTAGCTAGGCATCCGGGCACACGCGGGCTGCGTGGCCTTTGGAATTGTGGGCATGGCAGCCCTGTGCCCTGACATCCTCAGTGTGGCAAGCCATGAACATCTCTATGTGTCATGAACACAGGAAACATCTCTCTTCGTTAGGCAGGCCAGGTAGATGGTACGGAGGTAATACAGCAGATGCAGAGAACTCTCTCTGGTTGCTGGGGCAAGGGCGGCAGGGGTGTCCTGGGGGAAGTGATCGGGGCGGGCACGTGGGAGGAAAGTCGCCTGCCGGTGCTGAGGTGGAATTGATCTGCTGTAGAGGCCAGAGCCCCGGCACACACTCTCACAGGTCGAGGCAAATAGAGGCTCCGAGTACCATGCTTCCTCCCTGAGGATGCTGTACTCCAAGGAGCATTCCAAAGGGCCTCTTGTCCTATGCCCTGGGCACACCAGAGGCCAGCCGCCAGGGTTGGCCATTGTCGGCCTGCGCGCACGCTGTTGTGCGCTGCCTTGACGACCCAGAGGCTCCCGCACCCGCAGCAGCGGTTGCGGTGCCTGTTGGTGGGGCTCTGCAAGCCCAGGGCCGGGGCCTCTGGCTCCCGAGCTCCTGTGCGCAGTTGAGCCTGCTGGGGACCGGAGCCCTTTGGCCAGTGCGGGATCTGCGGGTCCAGCGGAGCTCCTCAGGAAACCTGGGTCCACGTAGGTGTGGGACCAGGTTCTCAGCAGGGCGACGCCCGTGGGTCTTGCAGGGAGCGGGTCTGCTGGGGAGCGGGCCCCCAGAGCCTACGGGTGCGGGGCATGGGCTGGGCTGGGCTGGGCTGCGCAGGCCCAGGGTCTGTGGGAGCACCCAGGAGAAAACCGTGTTCAGGCTGGAGGCAATGCTGGAGAGGACGGCCGGGGTACAGAGCAAGGAGGCGGCCTTGGAAGAGGAGGCGGTGCTGAAGGTGGAAGACATCATGGCTGAGGTGGAGGTGGTGGTTGAGGTGGAGCCCGACGTGGGGTGGCAGAAGGAGGGCCAGCGGGCACAGCCTGGCCCTGGACCGAGCACACCGGGGCCGTCAATGGACTCGCTGGAGGTCCTTCACTTGGAGCTGGGCTCCGTGAATGCCCCAGGCCACAGAGCATCTCCGCCTTGTGAGCCAGAGCCATATCCTTGCGGCTGCCGATTTGGGATGGCGGGCAGCAGGGGATAGTCATCGGGCCTCGGGGGGTATAGGGGCTGTTTGGGGGGAGGAGCCAGGTGGGAGGCACGTGGGGTCAGCCAGGAGGCAGGGGATGGGGGACAGCGTGGGAGCCGAGGCCACGTTCCCGCAGCTGTGAGGGCAGCTCGCTTGTAGCAGCCCTGGGAGCACGTGGTAGGGAAGGGGAGCCAGGGCCAGCACTGACAAGGGAGAATCGCGGCGCCAAGGTCCCTTTGCGCACAGCCCAAATTCGAAGGACGCGTTTCCCTGGGAACGTCCCTGGAGGACGGGGAATCTGTATGCCATTACCAGCCATTGAACCACCCCTGCTCTCGGTGCCTGTTTCCAGCAGGCTCACCCCAGAAACACAAGGTGCTTAAGACGGGTTCGCGGCGCATGGGGCTGCCGACCACCTGACGGCGGGCACCAGCTCCGCAGATGCGCATTCATCCAACTGCAGGCGCTGCACTCAAAGGCGTGTAGGCCCTGAGCCTGTATAACTTCCTCTGGACCCACGCAATTCCCTTGGAGAGCGCCAGGCACGACCCTGCTGTGGCTTCTAACTACAAGGCTTCCCTCAGGTGGACAGGCCCACCCCTCAGGGAGACTAGGATAAGAGGACACCACACACCCGGACATCAGCGGAGCATGTCCAGCACCCAGCACACAAAGGCCTCCTGCATCTCAGAAACCCAGAGAAGCAGCCGCCTCACACCACCCCCGGTCCCTCCCGTCCCTCAGCTGCAACCACCTGCCCACTTTTTCTGCCTCCCGTCTCTGGTCAGCCCAGGCCGTCTTGGCCGGGGTCCACCCACTCCAAAAACCACCACAGTTGTGCGTTGCCTCCTCGCCAGACAGAGATAGAGGGCCAACAATGAAGGGTGACTGGCCAAATGTCTGGGAGATGGCCCTGTTCCACATTGTCTGTGTTCTTGCGAAATTGCAAGGCGTCACGAGGCTTGCCCACCCAATCCTCTGGAGAGTTCTTGCGCAGAGGTAGATTGTTTGGCACACGAGATGTCGGCGTGGGTCGGAAAGCATGCGGAAGTCCTGCTTTGCTACGTGATGGATTTGCAGGTCAGGCTGGGGAGCCTGGGTCTGTGGGAGGAGTCCAGTGTCTGAGTCAGTTTGAGGTCCCCCTGGGGACCAGGGTTGTCTCAGTGGGAGAGCTGGGAAGGGGAAACTCATGGTTCACTACAGCTAGTAGGCCACCTCAGCCCGGCTAGTTGAGATGGTCCCATTGAATCCATCCTCTTTCTCCTTGATCCGGCAGGTGGAGGAACTCAGCCATCCCGGTTACCGGTGGCAGGATGATTTCCTTTCATCCCAACCTTTATTTCCACAGTGAAATCATCATGAAGGAGCACTGTGTTGGCATCCTCGGTAAGGAATGCCTCCCAGCATGGTAGGGGAGCTGGTGTGTGGGAGGGTGGGACTGGCATGAACCTTCCTGACTCCTCTCCCTGCAGGCTACAGGGTGTCTCATTCCACTGCAGTCCAGCGGTTCTGGGATCACGAAGGTCAAGCCTCCAGCTGCAGGCAGTACACCTCCTACCTGAGCTCATTCAGCTGTTTGGCTGAACATGACTGCCCGGGTTTTGGCAGGATTGCTGAGGTGGGGTTCGCCGTGGGGCATCATGGGAAAGGACCTAGCTGGTCATTCCTTGGTCTCTGGGGAATTGGCTTTGAACTGTCACCTGAACTGTCCTGGACCCACTTCTGCAGTCCCCTAGATCATCAGCCAGGGCCTATGGCTCAATCCATTGCAGTTCTATCCCATGGAGAGAGGGTCAGCCCTAGAGGCGGAACAGAGAGGAGGCCAGGCGAGCAGCCTAGGGCTGGGAAGGGCTGGGAACTGAGAGGCCTTTTGACCTGGATCTGGGCCCCACATGGAGAACCCAAGGATCCGGGAGGAGACTGCAGTGAGCAATCCCAGGCAATCCGTGGGTTGGGGGAGAGAGGCCCATCAGGGACATGTAACACCCACATTTCAGGATCGGGGCACCTTAAGCCACTATGATGCATATGTGGCTAAAGTCAGTGGGTGACAAGCAGGGCTTAAGGGATAGCTGTCTCATCATTACTCGCCAGCTCCCTGCCCTGCGGTAAGACCTGCTACCACCTGGGGCTCATTTTGAGATCAACCAGGGCCCCCTTTTTCTCCACGAGGATGTCCACCTGAGGCCCACCTAGGTGTATGTCCTTTCACAGTGTTTCTCCCAGGCCAGTCATGTTTTGTTTCCATGACCCCGGCTGCCTTGACATGTGTAATCCTCTCTGCCATCCTCACTCCCGCTGCCCTGCCTTCCCATATAAGTTAGTCCACCTCACACGGAATCTGGAGGACCACACTGGGCTCCAGTGTGAGGCAATGTTTTATTTTCTTCAGGTACATGTATTTTAGGGCTACCTCCAGGGCTGGGAATGTGAAGAGATTGCCAAATGGCTGGGGACCTTCAGTGTGTGTCCAGGGAGGGAACCCGGCTGGGAATTAAGGCCCACCTGAGTAATGGTATGGACATCCAGTGTCAGTTATCTTGATAAAGGCCTGCTTTCTTACATCACCTACTATTAATATAAAAGTTAATTCCTTAGAATATTGAAAAAACAAATCTATGTGTGAAGAAATATAATTTGTTCATAATTGTATGGAAAAAGCTGCCGACCGATCCATTTTCCATTACAATTCTTATGGGAGACTTGAAGGGTTTAGCAAGTTTTAAGATGCATTTCTATTCGTCTACTCCTGCCAGTTTTTATGATCATTTTTGTAATACAAGGACATGGCCTCTGGAAAGTTTTTGAGGGACTTTCAGCTTCTTTTAGGGTAGATACTTGTAAATTTTGAATTGTTTTCCCCTGCGGTTCTTTTGAGGTTACTCTTTGTACTTTCTTTGGGGGGTGTTAAATTTGTTTTCTTCTTTTGCCCTTGTGGAACTTTCGTTTTCAAGGAATTGTGTGTGTTTGTGTGTGTGTGTGTGTGTGTGTGTCTGTGTGTTAGATATGGGAGATAGCCTGTGAGCATGTTTTCGAATATGGATTTTTTTTTTACTTATCAATTTTGGGGGTGTGTGTGTGTGTGTGTGTGTGTGTGTGTGTGTTTGTTTCTTTTCAGTTGGAGTCTCACTGTGTCATCCAGGCTGCAGTCAAGTGGCAAACTCTCAGATCACTGCAACCTCTCCCTCCAGCTTCAAAGGATTCCTCTGCCTGCTGATGCTGCTTTTCCCCCACATGAGGAGAACATGCAGACAGTTATAAAAAATTCTGTGCCTGGGTAGGTATGAAAATATAATTTCAATGAATGGTAAATTTCACAAATACAGTTTCACATTTGTATTTTGCAACATTTTGAAAATTTTAGTTGCTGACACATGAAATTCTGTGTTGACTTTCATGTTAAAGGTACACTTTTGAATCAATTTCAACAGTGACAACTAGCGAAGGCCAAGCGTTAGTTCAGGAAGCTGAAAGCAGTCGTTCTGTAAAAAAAACCATATTTATTGAAGGTATATTTAGAGAGATTTTAGAAGGCTTCAGTCAATATTTTTGTTTCTGTTGCTCTGGTGTTTTATCATACAGGGACCAGACTGTAGCATCAGTAGCTATAGTTACAAGGCTACCAAAGACTCAGTGCTATAGAAATTATTATTGTGGAAATTGGCAGCCTGGCTGTCTGTTTGAGGAGACTAGAGGACTTAGGAGTTTCCACCCAAAGTACAAGGGCCTGGTTTAGTGGGTGGCCTTCTTTTGCTGAAGTAGATAAGATCCAGGAGAAGGGTGGATTCACTGTAGTAGCCAGGGCTTTGAGACTGGTAAAGCTTATTTGTCTCCTAGTGCCATTGCCAGATATTGGTCTGTGCATAAAGGCACTTCCCGGACTCGCTGACTCCTGTAAATTCAAATGTAGAATTTAGATTTAAATCCCTATTCCAACTTCTTAAACTTAGATCTAATAGGTGGGTAATAAAATATGTATTCAGAAGAAAGGGAGACGTCAGGTAGGTATATAAGCAAATCATCCTGGTCAAATACCTTCAAAAATATTACTACAAAAAATTACTGAAGATTAAACCTTAAAAAAGTTATTTTAATTGGAGAAACAGAAAAAGGTTGGAGTCATTTTAAACCCTGAGGTGTAAAGGTACTGTTATTAGATTACAGGAATTATATACAATGAATAATTTGTGGGAAGAGCAGCATACTATCTCTTTAGTATGGCTAGAGATTCATAAGCCGTGTAAGAAAACTCAGAGATTGAGAAGAAAATGTTTTCAGGGATTTTGTTCTGTTATGAAAGACTTTTAAAATGGTTTCCTACTGATCAATGATTCACTTATATTTATCACTGAGGCATATGCTATATACCCTTCTATATAGGGATGAAGTTATAGTTTCTATCATGTAGATACAAAAACATGTGACTCTGTACCACATTTGCATTAGAGCCTTTGGCATGATTAATGAAGCAAACGGTGGAACTGTCTACGTCAGGTTACAGGTGGGCACAGCTGGAAGCTTCCGTCCCTTGCACTTTAACATTTCTGCATTCTCATCTGTCTCTCCTGGAAAGAAAACGGACTATAACTATCCTAAAGGACATATGTTACATGAAGACACTAAGTATTGAGATAAGACCATGAGTTGTCTTATCAGTGTCTTGGCATTACATTTATATGTATAACTTATACAAAAAATCCAGTTTATTTTATCACGATTACATATTACATCCCACATTTATGTATTTTATTATCTTTCCAGTGACTGTTTTGTTTTGTTTTGTTTTGTTTTGTTTTGAAATCTCGTTCCACTCTGTCACTCAGTCTGGAATGCAGTGGCCTGATCTCAGCTCACTGCAACCTCCATCTCTTGGGTTCAAGGATTTTAAAAATTAGTAAAGAATTTTCAATTGAGTTAGCAGAAGTAAAAATAAACTTAAGTGGAAATAGAACAACAAAATTGTAAACACTATTTCTCAGCAATTCATAGATTATCATACTAGGAATTGAAATGTACTTAGAACTCAATGATACCGCCAATATTAAAGATTAAATCTGTGAGTAGCAAGAAAAGTGATATTACAATAGGAGTTTACAGACAAATATTTCTCTAATAACTTGAAAATTAATGTACTAGATATTTCAATAAAGAATTAGAAAAGAAACAACAGAATCAATTCTGAAAAACTAAAGTGTGGGAATAATGATGTAGACAAAATTAGTAAAACATACAAAGCTAACCTTTGCTTGTTGGAGAAATATAATAAATGATGCAACCGTCAGTCAAGTTTAGAAAAAAAGGGAGAAAACATAGATAAAACTAAGAATTTAAAAGGTACACAACCATAGATACAGCATAGATTAAGAAGCTAATAAGGAAATATCATTAACACCTTAACCTACAAATTTGAAAACTTAGATCAAATAGACAGATATTTATAATCTGTCTATATATATAGACATATATATCGCTTTCTATATATATTTTCATATTTATACATAATTTTTATATTTGTATCTTACATTTATATATATAATATATAAACATAAGCTATGTATATAGCTTAGTAAAATTGATACAAGAAGACATATATAATCTGTATAGTCTCATAAATGTTCAAGGAAATAAAGGATTCTTCCTAGAGATAAAACGCTAGGCTCAGATTTTTTTCCCCAGGCAGAGCATTTCAATATATATGAAGAATTCTATAGAATAAAAAAGGGAAAATCCTAAACTCATTGTGTGAAGCAAGCAGAACTTTGACGCCAACAAGCCATAAACTGAGTGTAGAAAAAGATATGAAAATTAAGGCCATTCTCATTCCTGAAGCAAATCGTAAAATCCCAAATGTAACAAGATTTATGTGGATTCTTTGAGGGTTAGAAGGAAATTTCCTTCTGCCAGATCCTGCTACTCTGGGACAACCCACACACAAATTTATGTTTTGAGATTTTCTGTAATACCCATGCAATATGGAACTGGCTTGACAATCTGTGTGATAGCCAGCCTGTGGCCATGACTTCTCAGGGACACAAATCTTTTCTGTTTGCCTCCTTGTTCTGCTCAGCTCCAAGAGAACTTTGACCAAAGTTCCTTGAGCTTGGAAATAGGAATGGGTTTGCTTCTGTTTCACCCTTACTGTGAAGATACAGTCCGGTGGAATCCAGATCCACTGGGAGAGAGTCGGCTATTAAACTCTTTTCATGAGTAGTCCCTAGGCCTTGACTGGAGTCTTTCTTGAGATATGAGGCTAATAGTTCCTTCTTGGTCCACCACTTTTTGATATAATTAATGCTTCTTCTATTGGGAATTTTTAATTGTTTGGGAAGTGACATGGTTTGGTGTGTCTCCATTCAAATCTCAGCTTCAATTGTATCTCCCAGAATTCCCTCGTGTTGCGGGTGGGACCCAGGGGGAGGTAATTGAATCATGGGGGTCGGTCTTTCTCATGCTATTCTTGTGACAGTGAAGAAGTCTCACGGGATCTGATGGGTTTTTCAGGGGTTTCTGCCTCAGGTTCTTCCTCATTCTCTCTTGGCATTGCCATGTAAGAAGTGCCTTTATTCGTATACCATGATTCTGAGGCCTCCACAGCCATGTGGAACTGTCAGTCCAATTAAACCTCCTTTTATTCCCAGTTTCAGGTATCTCTTCTTCAGCAGCGTGAAAATGAACTAAGACAGGAGGTTTGGTCCAAATAACCTTGGCTTCCATGACAGAAGATAGAAGTTGCTGAAATGTTTAATCTTTTCTGTGGCAACCTTTTGCAGTGGGTCTTATTTTTCTCATTTTTTTTTTCTTGTTCTCTTCACCTTTGTTTCTCACAGGGTACTCTCGCTCTGTAGACCAGGCTGGAGCGCAGTGGCAGGATCTCAGCTCAACACATCCTCCGCCTCCCAGGTTCAGCCTCTGCAGTAGCTGGGATTACAAGCATGCATCACCACGCTCAGCTAATGTTTTGTAGTTTTAGTAGAAGCCAGGCTTCACCATGTTGGCCAGGCTGCTCTCCTACTACAGATCTCAGGTGACCCGCCCGACTCAGCTTCCCAAAATCCAAAGTGCTGGGAATACAGGTGTGAGCCACCGAGCCCAGCCAACTCCAGTACTTTTTACCTAAGCCAGTGGACGAGTGGAGTTGCCTTTATTTTTTTTTTTCTTTTTTCAGTCATGGTCTCGCTGTGTCATCCAGGCTGGAGTGCAGTAGTCTGATCTTGGCTTACTATACAATCTCTGCCACCCATGTTCAGGTGGTTCTCCTGCCTCAGCCTCCCAAGTAGCTGGGACCACAGGAAAGTGCCACTAGGTCTGGCTAATTTTTGTATTTTTGGTAGAGACAGCTTTTTGCCATGTTGCCCATGCTGGTCTCCAACTCCTGACCTCAAGTGACCCACCAACCTCGGCCTCCCAAAATGTAGAAATTACAACAAGAGCCACGAAGCCTGGCCTGGAGTTGTGGCTTTTTGACATAAGAAATCTGTGGAGGGAAAAGCTTGCTTTGTGGGAGCACCCGAGCTCAGTTTGGCTCAAAGGTTTGGGATACCTATTATTGAGTGGCAGTGATGGTATGTTGTTAATGTACAATATGTTCCTGTATATAGCATACGTCTATGCTCATCAGATATTTTCAGGTAAAAAAAAGATAGTCTTTCCAGTAGTTTGAGCCATTATAGCAATTTCCACCAGGGGATTTCAAAGTCCAATTCCAGTTGTGGGCAACAGTGATTAACATAATGGTAATTAATGAGAAGAGATTTTGAGACGTCCAGCCACGTTTCCATGTCAGTGCCTTGTTTGCAGTATTATGAAGAAAGAGTGCATTGGACTAGATACTAAGAAAAACATTGAATTATTTTTCTTGCCTCTATAACATCAAAGGACAATTAGAGATATAGAAACTATGGAACATTTCACAGCATGGCTTGACATTTCACTGAACTTTTATCCTTTTAACCATGTACAAAGTTTGTTACCTATGCAAAGGTAGGACTGCAAAAGGAAGACAGAGGTGGAGTCAGAGGTCACAATCCACAGCAAGGTGACACTCTTGTTGATCGCACCTTGAAAGCCAAATTAGAGCGAGAATTAACTTTCCGGTTGCCGTAAGAGAACAAGGAGAATGAAGCTACCAGCAGTTAACAGTATTGGATTAATTGAAATGAAGGTGGACAGAGTTTTTTGGCTTTCCATCAAGTTGAGTAAAGAAAAGGTAACCGCTTATCTAATTTCACACACATACAATTATGGATTAATTAAAAGATTACACAACCCATATATTATGGGTTTCTCATATAAGTGTATATATACATGGGCAAACTCACAGTGTGCCAGTATGTGTCTATATCCAAATATATACAAATCCATGTCCAACAGTTAGCAAGTGAGAAATTCTCTTCCATTTCACCATTCCCTTTCCTAGAATTTTTTCATAAATATAATTTTTCCATATATTTGAAGCCTACTCTCTGGAGGCATGTAATGCATGCATGCAGTAAACCTGTGCGATATCACAATGTTGGTGTCAGAGAAAACTATAACACCGATGTTATAAAAGATTAATTGTGAGGAGAAAGTTATGCTTCGCATTACTACAAATACACAAGTATGATTTCATCCAAAGCTGAAATCAGTCAATATAATTTGTTTTTAATGTTTTATTTAAAATCCTTAATTTCAACAGGATTACTCAAGAAAAATAACGTTATTGGTATTAAATAATGTTGATGTATTCCCTTTAATTGTTGATTATTTAAAATGTCAGTAAAATAGTAAATGGCACTGTACAATGTAGTTTCATGAAGCATTCTTTATAGTTTTCATAAAATTGATAGTCTCCATGGAATATTTTAAGACTGAGGAAGTTCCATATATCATTTGATTGTACTTTCACTTTATTACTTGCTTGCATGTCATAACTGATGGAAATAAAACTATGTATATTTACAAATATGAAAAACATGGACTTTTGTTTACGTTTTCTAGTGAGACACAGTTACCAATAATTTTATCTATATAGGAAAATTTTTACAAACCCAAAGTTCTAATGTTTCTTTTCTTTGAAGTTTCGTATTTCAGTCTAGGTATGTAATGGAATTGGCTGTGATCATTCTTTGATTTCACTGTTATTTGTGAGTTTCTGATATGCTTTTAGGAATGAATAGAGTTTAACGCTTGCTTTCTTCTTCTTCCTCTACCTTTGGACCTGTATATGCGATGTCTGCAGTAATGTGCAGTGCTATCTGACATACGGTTGCTGAAAGATACAAGCATATATAGAATTCTTCGTTTCAGTGAATCTTTAGGAACAGACAAGTAACCTGAGAGATAATTACGGTATGAATGTAAGCAAGCAGTTTATCATAGAGGTACAATAAGGGTGAAAATAAATTTAAAAATACATGCCTCATCCAAAACATGAGGTAGTAAAAATGAAAAATTTAAGTTGGCATAAAGAACACTTTAAAAGTTCTGATTCTTTCTGGTGAGAGCAAGGAGCTCAGAAACCATGAGAAAGTCCTTCAAAGCTGCATGTTGGATTTGCAGGTCAGGATGGAAAGCCTGGGTCTGGGGGAGGGTGCTAAGGTCCTGGTCAGGTTGAGGTCCTTCTGGGGCTCAGGTGTGTCTCAGCGGGAAAGCTGGGAAGGGGAAACGCATGCTTCACCCCGGCTAGAGTGCCACCTCAGCCCACCTAGATGAAATTGCCCCTTCACAGCCCTGTTTCTCCTTCTTGGACAGGCAGGTGGAGGAACTCGGCCACCCTGAATACAAGGGGTAGGAAGAAGTTTGCCTTTCATCACAACATTTACTTCGGAAACAAAGTGATGACTAAGGAGTATTGCGTTGGCATCCTCCCTGAGGAGTAGAGGGGGTAGTACCTCGGGAGCTGGGCCTGGCGTGCGCCTTCCTGACTCGTCTCCCTCCAGGATACAGGGCGACTGGCTCCACTGCAGTCCAGTGGTTCTAGGGTCATGCAGGTGAAAGCCCGAGTTTCCCGCAGGTCACTGCCTGAGCTTCTTCAGCTGGTTGTCTGACTGTGAGGGCCCAGGTTACGGCACGATTGCTGAGGTGGGACAGCTATGGGACATCATGGCAAAGGACCTTCTTCGACATTCCTTGGCATCGGAGGAATTGGCTTTGAACCAGAACCTGACCTGTCACGACCAATTTGCCCAGTCCACCAGATCATCAGCCAGGGCCTGTGGCTCTATATTCTGCAGCACTACCCAAGGGAGTTAGGCCCTCAGAGAGGGAACAGAGAAGAGGCCAGGGAAGCAGCCCAGGGCTGGGGGTTGACAGGCCTGTGGGTCCTGGAGTTAGGACACACATAGAGAAGCCAAGGCTCAGGGAGGAGACTGCAGTAAGGAAACTCAGGCCATCATGGGCTGGTGGAGAAATGCCCATCAGGGAACTGTGGTACCCACATTTCACGATGGGGGAACCGTAATCTGCTTAATAGGCATAAGTAGCTAAGGTCAATGGGTGGGAAGCCAGGGTCAAGAGATAGCTGCCTCATCATCCCTTGCTAGCTACTTCCCTGTCCTGAGGCTTGCTTCTACCTGGGGTTCAGTTTGGGCTCAACCAGGGATCTCTCACCCTCCACACAGATGCCCACCTGAGGCCTCTCTAGGTCTGCGTCCTCCCAGAATGACTCTCCCAGGCCTGCTAAGTACCGTTTGGATGACACCACGCTCCACTGACATGCTTGGTTCCCTCCGCCATCCTCATTCACCCAGCAACTCCCCACCCCAAAAAAGGCAGGCCACCGCACAGGGAATCTGGAGGACCACACAGGGCTCACAGGGGAGGAAATGTGAAGAGATGGCAAAACAGAACAGGACATTCCGTGTGTTTCCAGAAGGCAATCTGGCTGGATATTAAGGCCCACCTCAGTATTGGTGAGGACACCCAGTGTCTCTTGGCCCTGAGCATGTGCACACAAACACGCACATTGTCTAAACGGCATTGACATCACTACTACCTGAGTCATCCTCAGATTCTATACAACCCCTTTAAAAATATCAATGACACATTCTTCTTAGAAAACAATCTGGGAATCCCAAATTTGCTATGAAATGGCAGAAGATCCTGAAAACCCAGAGCAATCCAGTAAAAAGCACAAAGCTGGAGCCACCCCACTACCTAACTTCATGATATACTACTACAAAACTTTTTGTACCAAAATACAATAGCACTGGCAGAAAAGCAGAGACTAGAGCTTAGGAAAAACAACAGGAGCCCAGAACTAAGTCACTGCATTTGCAGCTCACAGCCTTTTCCCAAAGAAGCAAGAACGCCCAATGCAAAATCAAGTATCTTCTATAAACTAGGTTGGGGAAATCTGAATAGCCACACAAAGGATTTTACAAGTGGATTATTTATCACCAAACTCCAGTGTCAGATGTGAAACGATAAAAATAGCAGAAGAGATCACAAGGAAGAAGCTCCATGGCGTCCGTGTGTGCAATGATGGTCTCAAAGTGACTGCAAGAACACAGTAAACACCATCAAAAATAGAGAATGGAATCATATCAAACTAAAGTGCTTCACCACACCATAGAAAACTCAACATACAGAAGGGGCATCCTACAGGATGGGAGCAATGATTGGATCACCATACATCTGTTCATGGGGGAATAGTCACAGTACATAAGGAACTCCCAACAACTCAATAGCATGAAAACAAATGGGCGAAGGCTGCGAAGACTCATTTGTGAAACTGAGACATACAGTTGCCCAGAAGACACACTAAAAATTCCTCATTATCCCCAATCCATCACGAAAATGCAAATCAAAAACACAATGAGATTTCTTCTCACTTCAGTCAGAATGCATATTATCCGAAAGACAAACAAACAAAAAAAAAAAAAGAAAGAAAAGAAAACCCTAATCTCTGGTGAGGAGGCAGAGAAAACGAATTCCCTGCTCACTTTTGGGGAGAATGTAAATTAGTGCTGGCATTAAAGAAGCTTTATGGCTCTTATTTAAGTATAAACAGCCTTCAGAAATCTACAAGTAGAACCACCCACTATATGATCCAGCAAATCAGAATACCCGGGCACGCCCGCCAGTACACAGATCAGTATGTTGAAGCGGTGCGCGCACCCATGCAATTATTGCTGCACTCATTACATTTTTGCTGTAGCCAAAATGCGGAAGCAACCTGAGAGTCCCTCCATTGATAAGTGGATTAAAAAATGGGGCAAAAACGCATATGCGCAACGGAAATATGCGCTGCAATAAGAAATCAGGAAATCCTGCCAGTTGTGAGAATGTGTGGGAATCTGCTGAATGTGTGCATGCCATTCTGTTAAGTGACATAAGCCAGGTATCAGAAAGGAAAGTAGCACATGATCTCATTCTTATATGAAATCAAAAAAGCGGACTTCACAGAAGTAGTGACTCCAATGACTGCGGTGAAGAGGGTGCACTGACGAGATGCTGGATGAAGAACTCATACTTCTAGTTATAAAGGAGGAATAGGTTAAAAATATTTTCTTCAGCATGCTCACTATAACTAGTGGTAACATATTCTTTCTCTAAAAATATTCGAATACAGTGCAGGTCAAGTTTTTTCACAACAAAAATGACAACTATGTGAGGTCACACATATGTTGATTGGCTGGATGTATCCAATGCATAATGTATATGACCTGTTGAACATCACGCCTTAAGTTGTAAATATGTATCATTTCATATGACATTTTTTAAACAAACATACAATTTTTAAAATGCCTTAACAAAATAAATGCAAATAAAATATTTTATTATAAAGCAGTGCTTTTCTTTTCTAGCAAAGTCTTTTTCATGACACAGGAAAGAATGCAAGCCGTTTCGTAACTTGAGAAATAAATACATATGTGTACATGTATATATATACGTATATACATGTATATACGTATATAAATGTGCATATATACGTATATACATGTATATACGTATATATGTGTGTACATAGGTATTCTTATATAGGTATATATATATATATATATATATATATATATATATATATATATGAAAATCCCAATGAATGCTGATGATGAGTTGAAAGATAGAAATTCCAGGCACAGAGACTATAGTCCATGAATTGAAACCTTCAGTGCATGTTTCAAAACAAGACGTGAGGAGGAGGAAGAAAAAAGCAAAAAACACAAAGCCATGGCAGGGCCATGGGTCACACCTGTCATCCCAGCACTTTGATAAGCTGAGGTGGGAGGATTGCCTGCACTCAGGAGTTCCAGATGAGCCTGGGGCAACATGGACCCACATTCAAAAAGTAAGTATTTAGTTAATTAATACATAGCTTGGAGGGGTGGCATGCACCTGTACTGCCAGGTGTGTGAGAGTCTGAGTTGACAGGATCACATGGGTGTGTGGTGCCTGGGCTGCAGTGGGCTGAGATCGTGGGGCTGCTGTCCAACCTAGAAGACAGAGTAAGACCCATTCTCGGAAAACAAACAAAAAAACAGTCACATTAGGTAAATTAAAACTATGTAGTGTGAGGAGAATCAAAATAAACGAAACATCATTAGAGCCTACGCGATGTGATGAAGGAAACCAGCTTTCACATAATAACAGCCCCGGCTGGGGAGAACAATGAGAAAGGGCAGAGAGAACCCTGTAAATAATACCACGCCAAATTCCCCAAATGAGTTAAAACACATAAAAGTACGAAGAGTGCTTCTTTTCAATTCAATGCCCTTGAATTCAGAATTAGAAAGTAAACCCAGATAGAGAATAGAAAGATAGACGATACAGATGGAGAGAGTGTGGTGGGGAAGCAAGGGAAGGATGAAAGGAGGGGTGTAAAGGAAGGAAAAGAAAAAAGGAAGGGAGAGAGAGTGACAGATGTTCAAAGACACAGATACAAAGTCTACAATGGTTGTAGAGATAGGCATGTGCAAATTGTCGCAGGGAGTGTGGAAAAATATCGGAACCACGGAGACACAGGTGGAGTCAGAGAAAATATACAAACCCGCACAGAGAAATAAACATATGCAACCACAAACACACACGTGCTACTTTAAACACGAAAAGACACCAAGTCCCTGTCGGTACAAATCACAGATGTGCTTCCGAGTTACTGAGGCACGGTGCAAATTTGTCAGTGCCCTTAGCATCTGTGGCCCACGTGCACGGATATTCAGTGGAAGAAGCATTACACAGCCTGTATAATTCAGCACGATCTGTGATAATACCAGAAGAAGGGATCTCATGTGAAATCACTAGACTGAATTGCACGTAGGATTCAAGCAAGAAGCCCAGTCTGCTGCATTCACTCGGTGGGGTGGCAATATGGCTGAGCACCAACCCGTGGCACGCCCATCCATCGTAGACAGTTCCTGGTTTGCTACCTGCCTTGGAAAAAGCTCCTCCCCTACCACCACTTTAAAACAGGCTAGCTCCAAAACTAGCCCTGGCATCTATTTACGGTCATTTTCTTATCTATTTACCTCCTAGAAAAAATCATTGCAAGACCCTTTCCTCAACATTTTCCTATGCCTTAAATTTGGGGCAACACGTTTTAAGACGACCTCGTTATAGGCAAGTCCCCAGACGTTTCCTAATCTGAGTTGCCCAGAGTGCACACACCAATCTGTTGCCCCATTGCCGCTATAGGGATACCGTACTGGACCACAGTGTCTTTGACATGCACACAGTAGGATAGAGGGCAGCTTGAGGGGGCCAAAGTGTTCCGACTGTTTTCAGAATAATTTGCTTAGAACACCTGTTTCTCCTGTGTTTGTGGGTCAGGGGGACGGTAGTCAGAGGAGGACAAGACTCCCGCTCCAGAGCTTCAGAGGTCTGCATAGGAGCAGGGACAAAACCGGGCGATAGATTTTCAAAGCTCAACTGCTTTGACACCGAGCAGGAGGGGTAGAATGCATATTGCAAGCACCACAACAGATTCAGGAACTTTGACTGTCAAACCCTCTTCCCTGAAACAACATAGCTCTTCTCACAGAAGCTGTGCTGACCAGAGTCTATACGGGACAGCAATGTTAGCACTCTAGTAGCGTGTGGTCAACATGGATGCTCGTGTTGGAACTGTTTCATCTGGGAACAGGAAAGAAAGTTCTGCCTCCGACACTGAAATCCTCCTGCCCCATCCTTGACAGAGGCAACCCCTTGTCTTGTGCAGACACACGTGTTCCTGGGAAGCAGCCTCCCACTCGCGAATGAAAGCTGTATGTTTTGTCCTCCTGTGTGAGGCTTGCAAAACATATTCCGCAACTATATTCGCTTTACGTTCTAAACCTTAGGCAAACTATGCTGAAGAGGCCACAGAAAATTTAGGGGCCCTGGGTCCAGATACAATCTGCAGTGCCAATCACGAGGGAGAATAGAGCCTCACTAGACTTTGCAAGAGCACAAAATGCACTCGTACTGTTGTTAGCTACATACGTTATTGGCTCCTCACCTAACACAGAATCTTGGAGAAAAGCTTAAAACAACTAAAGATGTAAACATCAACAAGAGTGTCCATATCCTGGGTCATCAAGTGACAAGAGAGTCCATGGATGGATTCTCCAACAATCTTATATTCCACTAATCCACCCCCTTTCCCCTCACTTCTGTAAGTTTCTGTTTTCCCTTAGTCATCTCTGCCAAAAGCGTATCCTGAATGCCTTCCCACATGCCTCTGTCACCTTTCCCACAGTCCCTCCATACACCTTACATGCCCATTTCTTCTCACGTTGATGTTTCAGAAGTCCTGAGAGGCTGATTGTCCCAGAAAAGGATCATGCATTCACCTTTAAAAGAACATGTGGATTCAACACGAAAGCGAACTTTAAGATTTCCATCATCCTGTGCTTAGCTACTGTGTATGATGATACCCAAAATGAAGGATTTTGGAGGTCCCAGCAAACTGGGCCCTGGAAACCCAGTAACCCCTTTCCTTGAACTATCTCTGCTTCCATAGGACGAAGTCAGCCTCCAACTAAGCTGTCTTTTGCTTTTACCTCTCCCACTCTGTCCTGTAGGAAGAATCCCAACACATCCCACACCCATTCACTCTACAACTTTAGAGGCCCAGCTCCAACGCAGACTGGTTATTTCCATGAAGAGAATAAAGCACGTGGATTGATCAATTCATTATGACACCCGAATAAAGTGGATAAACATACACACACAGACACACACACACACAAACACAAAGACACACACACACACACAGACACAGAGTCACACATCCTTGAGAATGTTTATTTTTCATTCCATACAATCCACATTTACCCCCTCTTCCTGAATTTTTGTGACTCGATCTCTTTTTCCTTTAGTTCCTGTGCATAAGACCATGCTGAGTACTGCCGTCCTGCATATGGCTGTAACTTTTTAGGAGTTCTGCTGTATTAGGTAAAATCTGATGCTCCATCATATTCAACTCAACAACTGGGAGTCCCCTAGAGAAACACAAACTCATGTTAAAACGCATTTTCTCTGAGCCATACTTTGAAATGTTTCAATTGTGGGGCCCGCTGAGAAAAGGATATCCCTTCCCCATTTGTGATCCCTTAAACTTCCTCCTACCACGTGTTACAAACTGTTCTGCGCAATCCCTGCCCCATTCCCAGTATTGTCTGTGAGGGGAGTCAGCTAACAAGATGCACTGGGCCCTAAAAGCACACACAAGTCTGATGGGGCAACAGCTTAAGGAAATCCATCAATCTAAACAGTCCTTTGTGGTTTGGGGCAAGGATGACCAGGACGCACATTCAGGGAGCCCAATCTCATGGGGTTGGTGGGATGACTGCCGGTGGGGTTGACAGCCGTGGAATCAAGTGCCACAGACTGAACTGAATGATTTTCAGCTTTACTTCTCATTGATTCTGGAAATGGACGATTCTTCACTGGGCTTAAGACTCCACAGCTATCACCCGCTTTGCAGTGCAGTCTCTAACGTGCCTTTTCAGCCCAATGCCATGAACGTCCTGGATTCTGTCACTCTCTGTCTTCCTCTCAAGGAATTTCTACATGTACGAAAGGAGCCTCAATTTCTACATTTCTGAAATGAGCACCCAGGCTCCCTGAATAGGCAGGTGTGTCAACCCCCTTATACTGGGCATCAAACAGCTCCAGTGCCAACTAACGGCTCACCTGACGTCTCTGTTCCCTCTTCAGGTGGCTTCATCCTCTTGTAGTATTGCAGGGGATTGCGCCACAGGTCCTTACATAGGATCTGTCAGGGGACTCAATCGGGAAAGGCCTCATCAGGGCTCAGAAAGGTGACCCAAGCAGCTGGGAACACACGGGGTCATTCCTCATGTTTCCCAGTGAGGACTCACCTCAGCAATCTTGTTAGATCCTGCGAAGTTGTGGTCAGAGAACCAGTTGAAGAAGTTAAGGCTGCTGTTGTGGTGTCTGCGGCGATAGGCCTCCACTTCATAATCCGGATACCACTCAATTGGAGTGGAATGAGAAGCCCTGTATTCTACAGAGACAGGAGTTTTTGTGGGAAGGGGGCTGGATCCCGTTGGCAATGATCCACCCACCATCTTCCTTCCACTACCCATCCTGGGAGCCACCTGTCACCTGTGATGTTCACCAGATATTCCTTGGTAATCACTTTATTCTGGAAGTAGGGGTTACTCCGAAAGAACAACATGATCTTGCAGAGATGAACAGGATGCTTCTCTTCTTCCACCTGTCAGGACAAGGTGGAGAAAGCTTAGATAGGTTTTCGGGTGAGGTGCTCACTCTTGCTTACAGGAATGAATTATTTCCCTTACCCTCCCCCGCTAAACCCTCTAGCCCCAGTCTTCCTGGCCTCACCTCCAGGCTGACCATGTAGCTCAGCATGTCTTCATCTTCGTCAGTGATCAGGGCTGACATCTGGGGGTGGTTTGCAATCTGATTTAGGTCAAAGAGACTTTACACACGATGGAAGGGAAAGCGAGGAGCAACAGGGAAGAAGGCCTAAGAGCACCCAGAGGCTGGGGTAGGGGATTTCTCAGATCTGCTTCCATGTATGATCTCCTTTCGCCTCCCCGTCCCCGTAAACTAAGGCCTCCTGTGTTCACAGAGGGTGTATGATTCTGAGGCTGACTGCACTGACATGGGGAGGCGCGATTTGCAGAGACTTGCTGGTGTCTGAGGAGTGGCAGAATCTGCTTATAGCCGAAGACGCCCAGTCCCAGATCGGACTAGCAAGGGGCAGCAATCACACTCCCTTAAAAATAGCTTCATTCACTGAAAAACCTCTTCCGCTCTGAACTCGCTTCTGCTCTTCAAAAAGATGCCCCAAACGTCTGCTGCTCGGCATCACCAAGGGTTTCTCTGCCGCATGCAGGACAATAGTACCCACGCCTGCTCCGGCTTTCCACAGCCACACTGGTCCGTGGCAACTCCCCTTTGTTCCCCAAAGAGTCACATCGACGCCGAGCTGCCCATCGGTCACTTACACTTCCCCGAGAGCACCTCTCCACTAGAAAGGCCGAAGAAACACTGAGAAGGATACAACATTGGCCCAGAAGCCAGGGACGCTCTGGATGACGGCGCCTCTGCGGTCTAGCTGGGGCTTGCGCCTCCGCTCCATCTTTTCCCGCTGCCGAGAAAAGGCCTTCCTGGCTTGGGCATTAACCGGCTCCAGCTCCACCTGAACGGCCAGCAGCTCCTCCAGTGCAGACTCTGGGGTCATGGGCCCAGGGCCAGGCACAGCCTGCTGTCGCGCTGGGCCTCCTCCCGCCGCTCCACGAGGCCCTCCTCCTCCGCCACCACCTCCACCTCCGCCACCACCTCCACCTCCGCCATTATGTCATCCAACAGCAGCACCGCCTCCTCCCCCAAAGCCGCCTGCTCACTCTCCACCCCGGCCGCCCCCTCCTGTACAGCCTCCATCCTGAAGGCGGTGCCCTCCTTGGCACTCGCACACACCAAGGCCTGTGCTGCCCGACCCACGCCACAGAAACCCTGCCGCAGCCTCTCTGGCACCCGGTAGGTCAGCGAGCCCTCAGGGCGCATGCGCCGGGCTTCCAGGCGCCCCCTAAGGGACTGCGCGCGAAGGGCCGGGGGGCCGCACCCAGGCCGACTTCCTCCCGTCGTGGCCAGTCAATGGGAGGGCGGTGGGCGTCTCCCTGGGCGGCACAGCCACTGGCGGGCCTGCATCTCCAGCCCCCCCACCCCCCGCCTTCCCTGCCCAAGCCTCCTCCGAGAAGCCCTTGGAGCTTGTGCCGGGTAGCTAGGCATCCGGGCACACGCGGGCTGCGTGGCCTTTGGAATTGTGGGCATGGCAGCCCTGTGCCCTGAAATCCTCAGTGTGGCAAGCCATGAACATCTCTATGTGTCATGAACACAGGAAACATCTCTCTTCGTTAGGCAGGCCAGGTAGATGGTACGGAGGTAATACAGCAGATGCAGAGAACTCTCTCTGGTTGCTGGGGCTAGGGCGGCAGGGGTGTCCTGGGGGAAGTGATCGGGGCGGGCACGTGGGAGGAAAGTCGCCTGCCGGTGCTGAGGTGGAATTGATCTGCTGTAGAGGCCAGAGCCCCGGCACACACTCTCACAGGTCGAGGCAAATAGAGGCTCCGAGTACCATGCTTCCTCCCTGAGGATGCTGTACTCCAAGGAGCATTCCAAAGGGCCTCTTGCCCTATGCCCTGGGCACACCAGAGGCCAGCCGCCAGGGTTGGCCATTGTCGGCCTGCGCGCACGCTGTTGTGCGCTGCCTTGACGACCCAGAGGCTCCCGCACCCGCAGCAGCGGTTGCGGTGCCTGTTGGTGGGGCTCTGCAAGCCCAGGGCCGGGGCCTCTGGCTCCCGAGCTCCTGTGCGCAGTTGGGCCTGCTGGGGACCGGAGCCCTTTGGCCAGTGCGGGATCTGCGGGTCCAGCGGAGCTCCTCAGGAAACCTGGGTCCACGTAGGTGTGGGACCAGGTTCACAGCAGGGCGACGCCCGTGGGTCTTGCAGGGAGCGGGTCTGCTGGGGAGCGGGCCCCCAGAGCCTACGGGTGCGGGGCATGGGCTGGGCTGGGCTGGGCTGCGCAGGCCCAGGGTCTGTGGGAGCACCCAGGAGAAAACCGTGTTCAGGCTGGAGGCAATGCTGGAGAGGACGGCCGGGGTACAGAGCAAGGAGGCGGCCTTGGAAGAGGAGGCGGTGCTGAAGGTGGAAGACATCATGGCTGAGGTGGAGGTGGTGGTTGAGGTGGAGCCCGACGTGGGGTGGCAGAAGGAGGGCCAGCGGCACAGCCTGGCCCTGGACCGAGCACACCGGGGCCGTCAATGGACTCGCTGGAGGTCCTTCACTTGGAGCTGGGCTCCGTGAATGCCCCAGGCCACAGAGCATCTCCGCCTTGTGAGCCAGAGCCATATCCTTGCGGCTGCCGATTTGGGATGGCGGGCAGCAGGGGATAGTCATCGGGCCTCGGGGGGTATGGGGGCTGTTTGGGGGGAGGAGCCAGGTGGGAGGCACGTGGGGTCAGCCAGGAGGCAGGGGATGGGGGACAGCGTGGGAGCCGAGGCCACGTTCCCGCAGCTGTGAGGGCAGCTCGCTTGTAGCAGCCCTGGGAGCACGTGGTAGGGAAGGGGAGCCAGGGCCAGCACTGACAAGGGAGAATCGCGGCGCCAAGGTCCCTTTGCGCACAGCCCAAATTCGAAGGACGCGTTTCCCTGGGAACGTCCCTGGAGGACGGGGAATCTGTATGCCATTACCAGCCATTGAACCACCCCTGCTCTCGGTGCCTGTTTCCAGCAGGCTCACCCCAGAAACACAAGGTGCTTAAGACGGGTTCGCGGCGCATGGGGCTGCCGACCACCTGACGGCGGGCACCAGCTCCGCAGATGCGCATTCATCCAACTGCAGGCGCTGCACTCAAAGGCGTGTAGGCCCTGAGCCTGTATAACTTCCTCTGGACCCACGCAATTCCCTTGGAGAGCGCCAGGCACGACCCTGCTGTGGCTTCTAACTACAAGGCTTCCCTCAGGTGGACAGGCCCACCCCTCAGGGAGACTAGGATAAGAGGACACCACACACCCGGACATCAGCGGAGCATGTCCAGCACCCAGCACACAAAGGCCTCCTGCATCTCAGAAACTCAGAGAAGCAGCCGCCTCACACCACCCCCGGTCCCTCCCGTCCCTCAGCTGCAACCACCTGCCCACTTTTTCTGCCTCCCGTCTCTGGTCAGCCCAGGCCGTCTTGGCCGGGGTCCACCCACTCCAAAAACCACCACAGTTGTGGCGTTGCTCCTCGCCAGACAGAGATAGAGGGCCAACAATGAAGGGTGACTGGCCAAATGTCTGGGAGATGGCCCTGTTCCACATTGTCTGTGTTCTTGCGAAATTGCAAGGCGTCACGAGGCTTGCCACCCAATCCTCTGGAGAGTTCTTGCGCAGAGGTAGATTGTTTGGCACACGAGATGTCGGCGTGGGTCGGAAAGCATGCGGAAGTCCTGCTTTGCTACGTGATGGATTTGCAGGTCAGGCTGGGGAGCTGGGTCTGTGGGAGGAGTCCAGTGTCTGAGTCAGTTTGAGGTCCCCCTGGGGACCAGGGTTGTCTCAGTGGGAGAGCTGGGAAGGGGAAACTCATGGTTCACTACAGCTAGTAGGCCACCTCAGCCCAGCTAGTTGAGATGGTCCCATTGAATCCATCCTCTTTCTCCTTGATCCGGCAGGTGGAGGAACTCAGCCATCCCGGTTACCGGTGGCAGGATGATTTCCTTTCATCCCAACCTTTATTTCCACAGTGAAATCATCATGAAGGAGCACTGTGTTGGCATCCTCGGTAAGGAATGCCTCCCAGCATGGTAGGGGAGCTGGTGTGTGGGAGGGTGGGACTGGCATGAACCTTCCTGACTCCTCTCCCTGCAGGCTACAGGGTGTCTCATTCCACTGCAGTCCAGCGGTTCTGGGATCACGAAGGTCAAGCCTCCAGCTGCAGGCAGTACACCTCCTACCTGAGCTCATTCAGCTGTTTGGCTGAACATGACTGCCCGGGTTTTGGCAGGATTGCTGAGGTGGGGTTCGCCATGGGGCATCATGGGAAAGGACCTAGCTGGTCATTCCTTGGTCTCTGGGGAATTGGCTTTGAACTGTCACCTGAACTGTCCTGGACCCACTTCTGCAGTCCCCTAGATCATCAGCCAGGGCCTATGGCTCAATCCATTGCAGTTCTATCCCATGGAGAGAGGGTCAGCCCTAGAGGCGGAACAGAGAGGAGGCCAGGCGAGCAGCCTAGGGCTGGGAAGGGCTGGGAACTGAGAGGCCTTTTGACCTGGATCTGGGCCCCACATGGAGAACCCAAGGATCCGGGAGGAGACTGCAGTGAGCAATCCCAGGCAATCCGTGGGTTGGGGGAGAGAGGCCCATCAGGGACATGTAACACCCACATTTCAGGATCGGGGCACCTTAAGCCACTATGATGCATATGTGGCTAAAGTCAGTGGGTGACAAGCAGGGCTTAAGGGATAGCTGTCTCATCATTACTCGCCAGCTCCCTGCCCTGCGGTAAGACCTGCTACCACCTGGGGCTCATTTTGAGATCAACCAGGGCCCCCTTTTTCTCCACGAGGATGTCCACCTGAGGCCCACCTAGGTCTGTGTCCTTTCACAGTGTTTCTCCCAGGCCAGTCATGTTTTGTTTCCATGACCCCGGCTGCCTTGACATGTGTAATCCTCTCTGCCATCCTCACTCCCGCTGCCCTGCCTTCCCATATAAGTTAGTCCACCTCACACGGAATCTGGAGGACCACACTGGGCTCCAGTGTGAGGCAATGTTTTATTTTCTTCAGGTACATGTATTTTAGGGCTACCTCCAGGGCTGGGAATGTGAAGAGATTGCCAAATGGCTGGGGACCTTCAGTGTGTGTCCAGGGAGGGAACCTGGCTGGGAATTAAGGCCCACCTGAGTAATGGTATGGACATCCAGTGTCAGTTATCTTGATAAAGGCCTGCTTTCTTACATCACCTACTATTAATATAAAAGTTAATTCCTTAGAATATTGAAAAAACAAATCTATGTATGAAGAAATATAATTTGTTCATAATTGTATGGAAAAAACTGCCGACTGATCCATTTTCCATTACAATTCTTATGGGAGACTTGAAGTGTTCAGCAAGTTTTAAGATGCATTTCTATTCGTCTACTCCTGCCAGTTTTTATGATCATTTTTGTAATACAAGGACATGGCCTCTGGAAAGTTTTTGAGGGACTTTCAGCTTCTTTTAGGGTAGATACTTGTAAATTTTGAATTGTTTTCCCCTGCGGTTCTTTTGAGGTTACTCTTCGTACTTTCTTTGGGGGGTGTTAAATTTGTTTTCTTGTTTCGCCCTTGTGGAACTTTCGTTTTCAAGGAATTGTGTGTGTGTGTGTGTGTGTGTGTGTGTGTGTGTGTGTGTGTGTTAGATATGGGAGTTAGCCTGTGAGCATGTTTTCGAATACGGATTTTTTTTTTACTTATCAATTTTGGGGGTGTGTGTGTGTGTGTGTGTGTGTGTGTGTTTGTTTCTTTTCAGTTGGAGTCTCACTGTGTCATCCAGGCTGCAGTCAAGTGGCAAACTCTCAGATCACTGCAACCTCTCCCTCCAGCTTCAAAGGATTCCTCTGCCTGCTGATGCTGTTTTTCCCCCACATGAGGAGAACATGCAGACAGTTATAAAAAATTCTGTGCCTGGGTAGGTATGAAAATATAATTTCAATGAATGGTAAATTTCACAAATACAGTTTCACATTTGTATTTTGCAACATTTTGAAAATTTTAGTTGCTGACACATGAAATTCTGTGTTGACTTTCATGTTAAATGTACACTTTTGAATCAATTTCAACAGTGACAACTAGCGAAGGCCAAGCGTTCGTTCAGGAAGCTGAAAGCAGTCGTTCTGTAAAAAAAAACGATATTTATTGAAGGTATATTTAGAGAGATTTTAGAAGGCTTCAGTCAATATTTTTGTTTCTGTTGCTCTGGTGTTTTATCATACAGGGACCAGACTGTAGCATCAGTAGCTATAGTTACAAGGCTACCAAAGGCTCAGTGCTATAGAAATTATTATTGTGGAAATTGGCAGCCTGGCTGTCTGTTTGAGGAGACTAGAGGACTTAGGAGTTTCCACCCAAAGTACAAGGGCCTGGTTTAGTGGGTGGCCTTCTTTTGCTGAAGTAGATAAGATCCAGGAGAAGGGTGGATTCACTGTAGTAGCCAGGGCTTTGAGACTGGTAAAGCTTATTTGTCTCCTAGTGCCATTGCCAGATATTGGTCTGTGCATAAAGGCACTTCCCGGACTCGCTGACTCCTGTAAATTCAAATGTAGAATTTAGATTTAAATCCCTATTCCAACTTCTTAAACTTAGATCTAATAGGTGGGTAATAAAATATGTATTCAGAAGAAAGGGAGACGTCAGGTAGGTATATAAGCAAATCATCCTGGTCAAATACCTTCAAAAATATTACTACAAAAAATTACTGAAGATTAAACCTTAAAAAAGTTATTTTAATTGGAGAAACAGAAAAAGGTTGGAGTCATTTTAAACCCTGAGGTGTAAAGGTACTGTTATTAGATTACAGGAATTATATACAATGAATAATTTGTGGGAAGAGCAGCATACTATCTCTTTAGTATGGCTAGAGATTCATAAGCCGTGTAAGAAAACTCAGAGATTGAGAAGAAAATGTTTTCAGGGATTTTGTTCTGTTATGAAAGACTTTTAAAATGGTTTCCTACTGATCAATGATTCACTTATATTTATCACTGAGGCATATGCTATATACCCTTCTATATAGGGATGAAGTTATAGTTTCTATCATGTAGATACAAAAACATGTGACTCTGTACCACATTTGCATTAGAGCCTTTGGCATGATTAATGAAGCAAACGGTGGAACTGTCTACGTCAGGTTACAGGTGGGCACAGCTGGAAGCTTCCGTCCCTTGCACTTTAACATTTCTGCATTCTCATCTGTCTCTCCTGGAAAGAAAACGGACTATAACTATCCTAAAGGACATATGTTACATGAAGACACTAAGTATTGAGATAAGACCATGAGTTGTCTTATCAGTGTCTTGGCATTACATTTATATGTATAACTTATACAAAAAATCCAGTTTATTTTATCACGATTACATATTACATCCCACATTTATGTATTTTATTATCTTTCCAGTGACTGTTTTGTTTTGTTTTGTTTTGTTTTGTTTTGAAATCTCGTTCCACTCTGTCACTCAGTCTGGAATGCAGTGGCCTGATCTCAGCTCACTGCAACCTCCATCTCTTGGGTTCAAGGATTTTAAAAATTAGTAAAGAATTTTCAATTGAGTTAGCAGAAGTAAAAATAAACTTAAGTGGAAATAGAACAACAAAATTGTAAACACTATTTCTCAGCAATTCATAGATTATCATACTAGGAATTGAAATGTACTTAGAACTCAATGATACCGCCAATATTAAAGATTAAATCTGTGAGTAGCAAGAAAAGTGATATTACAATAGGAGTTTACAGACAAATATTTCTCTAATAACTTGAAAATTAATGTACTAGATATTTCAATAAAGAATTAGAAAAGAAACAACAGAATCAATTCTGAAAAACTAAAGTGTGGGAATAATGATGTAGACAAAATTAGTAAAACATACAAAGCTAACCTTTGCTTGTTGGAGAAATATAATAAATGATGCAACCGTCAGTCAAGTTTAGAAAAAAAGGGAGAAAACATAGATAAAACTAAGAATTTAAAAGGTACACAACCATAGATACAGCATAGATTAAGAAGCTAATAAGGAAATATCATTAACACCTTAACCTACAAATTTGAAAACTTAGATCAAATAGACAGATATTTATAATCTGTCTCTATATATAGACATATATATCGCTTTCTATATATATTTTCATATTTATACATAATTTTTATATTTGTATCTTACATTTATATATATAATATATAAACATAAGCTATGTATATAGCTTAGTAAAATTGATACAAGAAGACATATATAATCTGTATAGTCTCATAAATGTCCAAGGAAATAAAGGATTCTTCCTAGAGATAAAACGCTAGGCTCAGATTTTTTTCCCCAGGCAGAGCATTTCAATATATATGAAGAATTCTATAGAATAAAAAAGGGAAAATCCTAAACTCATTGTGTGAAGCAAGCAGAACTTTGACGCCAACAAGACATAAACTGAGTGTAGAAAAAGATATGAAAATTAAGGCCATTCTCATTCCTGAAGCAAATCGTAAAATCCCAAATGTAACAAGATTTATGTGGATTCTTTGAGGGTTAGAAGGAAATTTCCTTCTGCCAGATCCTGCTACTCTGGGACAACCCACACACAAATTTATGTTTTGAGATTTTCTGTAATACCCATGCAATATGGAACTGGCTTGACAATCTGTGTGATAGCCAGCCTGTGGCCATGACTTCTCAGGGACACAAATCTTTTCTGTTTGCCTCCTTGTTCTGCTCAGCTCCAAGAGAACTTTGACCAAAGTTCCTTGAGCTTGGAAATAGGAATGGGTTTGCTTCTGTTTCACCCTTACTGTGAAGATACAGTCCGGTGGAATCCAGATCCACTGGGAGAGAGTCGGCTATTAAACTCTTTTCATGAGTAGTCCCTAGGCCTTGACTGGAGTCTTTCTTGAGATATGAGGCTAATAGTTCCTTCTTGGTCCACCACTTTTTGATATAATTAATGCTTCTTCTATTGGGAATTTTTAATTGTTTGGGAAGTGACATGGTTTGGTGTGTCTCCATTCAAATCTCAGCTTCAATTGTATCTCCCAGAATTCCCTCGTGTTGCGGGTGGGACCCAGGGGGAGGTAATTGAATCATGGGGGTCGGTCTTTCTCATGCTATTCTTGTGACAGTGAAGAAGTCTCACGGGATCTGATGGGTTTTTCAGGGGTTTCTGCCTCAGGTTCTTCCTCATTCTCTCTTGGCATTGCCATGTAAGAAGTGCCTTTATTCGTATACCATGATTCTGAGGCCTCCACAGCCATGTGGAACTGTCAGTCCAATTAAACCTCCTTTTATTCCCAGTTTCAGGTATCTCTTCTTCAGCAGCGTGAAAATGAACTAAGACAGGAGGTTTGGTCCAAATAACCTTGGCTTCCATGATAGAAGATAGAAGTTGCTGAAATGTTTAATCTTTTCTGTGGCAACCTTTTGCAGTGGGTCTTATTTTTCTCATTTTTTTTTCTTGTTCTCTTCACCTTTGTTTCTCACAGGGTACTCTCGCTCTGTAGACCAGGCTGGAGCGCAGTGGCAGGATCTCAGCTCAACACATCCTCCGCCTCCCAGGTTCAGCCTCTGCAGTAGCTGGGATTACAAGCATGCATCACCACGCTCAGCTAATGTTTTGTATTTTTAGTAGAAGCCAGGCTTCACCATGTTGGCCAGGCTGCTCTCCTACTACAGATCTCAGGTGACCCGCCCGACTCAGCTTCCCAAAATCCAAAGTGCTGGGAATACAGGTGTGAGCCACCGAGCCCAGCCAACTCCAGTATTTTTTACCTAAGCCAGTGGACGAGTGGAGTTGCCTTTATTTTTTTTTTCATGGTCTCGCTGTGTCATCCAGGCTGGAGTGCAGTAGTCTGATCTCGGCTTACTATACAATCTCTGCCACCCATGTTCAGGTGGTTCTCCTACCTCAGCCTCCCAAGTAGCTGGGACCACAGGAAAGTGCCACTAGGTCTGGCTAATTTTTGTATTTTTGGTAGAGACAGCTTTTTGCCATGTTGCCCATGCTGGTCTCCAACTCCTGACCTCAAGTGACCCACCAACCTCGGCCTCCCAAAATGTAGAAATTACAACAAGAGCCACGAAGCCTGGCCTGGAGTTGTGGCTTTTTGACATAAGAAATCTGTGGAGGGAAAAGCTTGGTTTGTGGGAGCACCTGAGCTCAGTTTGGCTCAAAGGTTTGGGATACCTATTATTGAGTGGCAGTGATGGTATGTTGTTAATGTACAATATCTTCCTGTATATAGCATACGTCTATGCTCATCAGATATTTTCAGGTAAAAAAAGATAGTCTTTCCAGTAGTTTGAGCCATTATAGCAATTTCCACCAGGGGATTTCAAAGTCCAATTCCAGTTGTGGGCAACAGTGATTAACATAATGGTAATTAATGAGAAGAGATTTTGAGACGTCCAGCCACGTTTCCATGTCAGTGCCTTGTTTGCAGTATTATGAAGAAAGAGTGCATTGGACTAGATACTAAGAAAAACATTGAATTATTTTTCTTGCCTCTATAACATCAAAGGACAATTAGAGATATAGAAACTATGGAACATTTCACAGCATGGCTTGACATTTCACTGAACTTTTATCCTTTTAACCATGTACAAAGTTTGTTACCTATGCAAAGGTAGGACTGCAAAAGGAAGACAGAGGTGGAGTCAGAGGTCACAATCCACAGCAAGGTGACACTCTTGTTGATCGCACCTTGAAAGCCAAATTAGAGCGAGAATTAACTTTCCGGTTGCCGTAAGAGAACAAGGAGAATGAAGCTACCAGCAGTTAACAGTATTGGATTAATTGAAATGAAGGTGGACAGAGTTTTTTGGCTTTCCATCAAATTGAGTAAAGAAAAGGTAACCGCTTATCTAATTTCACACACATACAATTATGGATTAATTAAAAGATTACACAACCCATATATTATGGGTTTCTCATATAAGTGTATATATACATGGGCAAACTCACAGTGTGCCAGTATGTGTCTATATCCAAATATATACAAATCCATGTCCAACAGTTAGCAAGTGAGAAATTCTCTTCCATTTCACCATTCCCTTTCCTAGAATTTTTTCATAAATATAATTTTTCCATATATTTGAAGCCTACTCTCTGGAGGCATGTAATGCATGCATGCAGTAAACCTGTGCGATATCACAATGTTGGTGTCAGAGAAAACTATAACACCGATGTTATAAAAGATTAATTGTGAGGAGAAAGTTATGCTTCGCATTACTACAAATACACAAGTATGATTTCATCCAAAGCTGAAATCAGTCAATATAATTTGTTTTTAATGTTTTATTTAAAATCCTTAATTTCAACAGGATTACTCAAGAAAAATAACGTTATTGGTATTAAATAATGTTGACGTATTCCCTTTAATTGTTGATTATTTAAAATGTCAGTAAAATAGTAAATGGCACTGTACAATGTAGTTTCATGAAGCATTCTTTATAGTTTTCATAAAATTGATAGTCTCCATGGAATATTTTAAGACTGAGGAAGTTCCATATATCATTTGATTGTACTTTCACTTTATTACTTGCTTGCATGTCATAACTGATGGAAATAAAACTATGTATATTTACAAATATGAAAAACATGGACTTTTGTTTACGTTTTCTAGTGAGACACAGTTACCAATAATTTTATCTATATAGGAAAATTTTTACAAACCCAAAGTTCTAATGTTTCTTTTCTTTGAAGTTTCGTATTTCAGTCTAGGTATGTAATGGAATTGGCTGTGATCATTCTTTGATTTCACTGTTATTTGTGAGTTTCTGATATGCTTTTAGGAATGTATAGAGCTTAACGCTTGCTTTCTTCTTCTTCCTCTACCTTTGGACCTGTATATGCGATGTCTGCAGTAATGTGCAGTGCTATCTGACATACGGTTGCTGAAAGATACAAGCATATATAGAATTCTTCGTTTCAGTGAATCTTTAGGAACAGACAAGTAACCTGAGAGATAATTACGGTATGAATGTAAGCAAGCAGTTTATCATAGAGGTACAATAAGGGTGAAAATAAATTTAAAAATACATGCCTCATCCAAAACATGAGGTAGTAAAAATGAAAAATTTAAGTTGGCATAAAGAACACTTTAAAAGTTCTGATTCTTTCTGGTGAGAGCAAGGAGCTCAGAAACCATGAGAAAGTCCTTCAAAGCTGCATGTTGGATTTGCAGGTCAGGATGGAAAGCCTGGGTCTGGGGGAGGGTGCTAAGGTCCTGGTCAGGTTGAGGTCCTTCTGGGGCTCAGGTGTGTCTCAGCGGGAAAGCTGGGAAGGGGAAACGCATGCTTCACCCCGGCTAGAATGCCACCTCAGCCCACCTAGATGAAATTGCCCCTTCACAGCCCTGTTTCTCCTTCTTGGACAGGCAGGTGGAGGAACTCGGCCACCCTGAATACAAGGGGTAGGAAGAAGTTTGCCTTTCATCACAACATTTACTTCGGAAACAAAGTGACGACTAAGGAGTATTGCGTTGGCATCCTCCCTGAGGAGTAGAGGGGGTAGTACCTCGGGAGCTGGGCCTGGCGTGCGCCTTCCTGACTCGTCTCCCTCCAGGATACAGGGCGACTGGCTCCACTGCAGTCCAGTGGTTCTAGGGTCATGCAGGTGAAAGCCCGAGTTTCCCGCAGGTCACTGCCTGAGCTTCTTCAGCTGGTTGTCTGACTGTGAGGGCCCAGGTTACGGCACGATTGCTGAGGTGGGGCAGCTATGGGGCATCATGGCAAAGGACCTTCTTCGACATTCCTTGGCATCGGAGGAATTGGCTTTGAACCAGAACCTGACCTGTCACGACCAATTTGCCCAGTCCACCAGATCATCAGCCAGGGCCTGTGGCTCTATATTCTGCAGCACTACCCAAGGGAGTTAGGCCCTCAGAGAGGGAACAGAGAAGAGGCCAGGGAAGCAGCCCAGGGCTGGGGGTTGACAGGCCTGTGGGTCCTGGAGTTAGGACACACATAGAGAAGCCAAGGCTCAGGGAGGAGACTGCAGTAAGGAAACTCAGGCCATCATGGGCTGGTGGAGAAATGCCCATCAGGGAACTGTGGTACCCACATTTCACGATGGGGGAACCGTAATCTGCTTAATAGGCACAAGTAGCTAAGGTCAATGGGTGGGAAGCCAGGGTCAAGAGATAGCTCCCTCATCATCCCTTGCTAGCTACTTCCCTGTCCTGAGGCTTGCTTCTACCTGGGGTTCAGTTTGGGCTCAACCAGGGATCTCTCACCCTCCACACAGATGCCCACCTGAGGCCTCTCTAGGTCTGCGTCCTCCCAGAATGACTCTCCCAGGCCTGCTAAGTACCGTTTGGATGACACCACGCTCCACTGACATACTTGGTTCCCTCCGCCATCCTCATTCACCCAGCAACTCCCCACCCCAAAAAAGGCAGGCCACCGCACAGGGAATCTGGAGGACCACACAGGGCTCACAGGGGAGGAAATGTGAAGAGATGGCAAAACAGAACAGGACATTCCGTGTGTTTCCAGAAGGCAATCTGGCTGGATATTAAGGCCCACCTCAGTATTGGTGAGGACACCCAGTGTCTCTTGGCCCTGAGCTTGTGCACACAAACACGCACATTGTCTAAACGGCATTGACATCACTACTACCTGAGTCATCCTCAGATTCTATACAACCCCTGTAAAAATATCAATGACACATTCTTCTTAGAAAAACAATCTGGGAATCCCAAATTTGCTATGAAATGGCAGAAGATCCTGAAAACCCAGAGCAATCCAGTAAAAAGCACAAAGCTGGAGCCACCACACTACCTAACTTCATGATATACTACTACAAAACTTTTTGTACCAAAATACAATAGCACTGGCAGAAAAGCAGAGACTAGAGCTTAGGAAAAACAACAGGAGCCCAGAACTAAGTCACTGCATTTGCAGCTCACAGCCTTTTCCCAAAGAAGCAAGAACGCCCAATGCAAAATCAAGTATCTTCTATAAACTAGGTTGGGGAAATCTGAATAGCCACACAAAGGATTTTACAAGTGGATTATTTATCACCAAACTCCAGTGTCAGATGTGAAACGATAAAAATAGCAGAAGAGATCACAAGGAAGAAGCTCCATGGCGTCCGTGTGTGCAATGATGGTCTCAAAGTGACTGCAAGAACACAGTAAACACCATCAAAAATAGAGAATGGAATCATATCAAACTAAAGTGCTTCACCACACCATAGAAAACTCAACATACAGAAGGGGCATCCTACAGGATGGGAGCAATGATTGGATCACCATACATCTGTTCATGGGGGAATAGTCACAGTACATAAGGAACTCCCAACAACTCAATAGCATGAAAACAAATGGGCGAAGGCTGCGAAGACTCATTTGTGAAACTGAGACATACAGTTGCCCAGAAGACACACTAAAAATTCCTCATTATCCCCAATCCATCACGAAAATGCAAATCAAAAACACAATGAGATTTCTTCTCACTTCAGTCAGAATGCATATTATCCGAAAGACAAACAAACAAAAAAAAAAAAGAAAGAAAAGAAAACCCTAATCTCTGGTGAGGAGGCAGAGAAAACGAATTCCCTGCTCACTTTTGGGGAGAATGTAAATTAGTGCTGGCATTAAAGAAGCTTTATGGCTCTTATTTAAGTATAAACAGCCTTCAGAAATCTACAAGTAGAACCACCCACTATATGATCCAGCAAATCAGAATACCCGGGCACGCCCGCCAGTACACAGATCAGTATGTTGAAGCGGTGCGCGCACCCATGCAATTATTGCTGCACTCATTACATTTTTGCTGTAGCCAAAATGCGGAAGCAACCTGAGTGTCCCTCCATTGATAAGTGGATTAAAAAATGGGGCAAAAACGCATATGCGCAACGGAAATATGCGCTGCAATGAGAAATCAGGAAATCCTGCCAGTTGTGAGAATGTGTGGGAATCTGCTGAATGTGTGCATGCCATTCTGTTAAGTGACATAAGCCAGGTATCAGAAAGGAAAATAGCACATGATCTCATTCTTATATGAAATCAAAAAAGCGGACTTCACAGAAGTAGTGACTCCAATGACTGCGGTGAAGAGGGTGCACTGACGAGATGCTGGATGAAGAACTCATACTTCTAGTTATAAAGGAGGAATAGGTTAAAAATATTTTCTTCAGCATGCTCACTATAACTAGTGGTAACATATTCTTTCTCTAAAAATATTCGAATACAGTGCAGGTCAAGTTTTTTCACAACAAAAATGACAACTATGTGAGGTCACACATATGTTGATTGGCTGGATGTATCCAATGCATAATGTATATGACCTGTTGAACATCACGCCTTAAGTTGTAAATATGTATCATTTCATATGACATTTTTTAAACAAACATACAATTTTTAAAATGCCTTAACAAAATAAATGCAAATAAAATATTTTATTATAAAGCAGTGCTTTTCTTTTCTAGCAAAGTCTTTTTCATGACACAGGAAAGAATGCAAGCCGTTTCGTAACTTGAGAAATAAATACATATGTGTACATGTATATATATACGTATATACATGTATATACGTATATAAATGTGCATATATACGTATATACATGTATATACGTATATATGTGTGTACATAGGTATTCTTATATAGGTGTATATATATATGAAAATCCCAATGAATGCTGATGATGAGTTGAAAGATAGAAATTCCAGGCACAGAGGCTATAGTCCATGAATTGAAACCTTCAGTGCATGTTTCAAAACAAGACGTGAGGAGGAGGAAGAAAAAAGCAAAAAACACAAAGCCATGGCAGGGCCATGGTCACACCTGTCATCCCAGCACTTTGATAAGCTGAGGTGGGAGGATTGCCTGCACTCAGGAGTTCCAGATGAGCCTGGGGCAACATGGACCCACATTCAAAAAGTAAGTATTTAGTTAATTAATACATAGCTTGGAGGGGTGGCATGCACCTGTACTGCCAGGTGTGTGAGAGTCTGAGTTGACAGGATCACATGGGTGTGTGGTGCCTGGGCTGCAGTGGGCTGAGATCGTGGGGCTGCTGTCCAACCTAGAAGACAGAGTAAGACCCATTCTCGGAAAACAAACAAAAAAACAGTCACATTAGGTAAATTAAAACTATGTAGTGTGAGGAGAATCAAAATAAACGAAACATCATTAGAGCCTACGCGATGTGATGAAGGAAACCAGCTTTCACATAATAACAGCCCCGGCTGGGGAGAACAATGAGAAAGGGCAGAGAGAACCCTGTAAATAATACCACGCCAAATTCCCCAAATGAGTTAAAACACATAAAAGTACGAAGAGTGCTTCTTTTCAATTCAATGCCCTTGAATTCAGAATTAGAAAGTAAACCCAGATAGAGAATAGAAACATAGACGATACAGATGGAGAGAGTGTGGTGGGGAAGCAAGGGAAGGATGAAAGGAGGGGTGTAAAGGAAGGAAAAGAAAAAAGGAAGGGAGAGAGAGTGACAGATGTTCAAAGACACAGATACAAAGTCTACAATGGTTGTAGAGATAGGCATGTGCAAATTGTCGCAGGGAGTGTGGAAAAATATCGGAACCACGGAGACATAGGTGGAGTCAGAGAAAATATACAAACCCGCACAGAGAAATAAACATACGCAACCACAAACACACACGTGCTACTGTAAACACGAAAAGACACCAAGTCCCTGTCGGTACAAATCACAGATGTGCTTCCGAGTTACTGAGGCACGGTGCAAATTTGTCAGTGCCCTTAGCATCTGTGGCCCACGTGCACGGATATTCAGTGGAAGAAGCATTACACAGCCTGTATAATTCAGCACGATCTGTGATAATACCAGAAGAAGGGATCTCATGTGAAATCACTAGACTGAATTGCACGTAGGATTCAAGCAAGAAGCCCAGTCTGCTGCATCGACTCCGTGGGGTGGCAATATGGCTGAGCCACCAACCCATGGCACGCCCATCCATCGTAGACAGTTCCTGGTTTGCTACCTGCCTTGGAAAAACCTCCTCCCCTACCACCACTTTAAAAAAGGCTAGCTCCAAAACTAGCCCTGGCATCTATTTACGGTCATTTTCTTATCTATTTACCTCCTAGAAAAATCATTGCAAGACCCTTTCCTCAACATTTTCCTATGCCTTAAATTTGGGGCAACACGTTTTAAGACGACCTCGTTATAGGCAAGTCCCCAGACGTTTCCTAATCTGAGTTGCCCAGAGTGCACACACCAATCTGTTGCCCCATTGCCGCTATAGGGATACCGTACTGGACCACAGTGTCTTTGACATGCACACAGTAGGATAGAGGGCAGCTTGAGGGGGCCAAAGTGTTCCGACTGTTTTCAGAATAATTTGCTTAGAACACCTGTTTCTCCTGTGTTTGTGGGTCAGGGGGACGGTAGTCAGAGGAGGACAAGACTCCCGCTCCAGAGCTTCAGAGGTCTGCATAGGAGCAGGGACAAAACCAGGCGATAGATTTTCAAAGCTCAACTGCTTTGACACCGAGCAGGAGGGGTAGAATGCATATTGCAGGCACCACAACAGATTCAGGAACTTTGACTGTCAAACCCTCTTCCCTGAAACAACATAGCTCTTCTCACAGAAGCTGTGCTGACCAGAGTCTATACGGGACAGCAATGTTAGCACTCTAGTAGCGTGTGGTCAACATGGATGCTCGTGTTGGAACTGTTTCATCTGGGAACAGGAAAGAAAGTTCTGCCTCCGACACTGAAATCCTCCTGCCCCATCCTTGACAGAGGCAACCCCTTGTCTTGTGCAGACACACGTGTTCCTGGGAAGCAGCCTCCCACTCGCGAATGAAAGCTGTATGTTTTGTCCTCCTGTGTGAGGCTTGCAAAACATATTCCGCAACTATATTCGCTTTACGTTCTAAACCTTAGGCAAACTATGCTGAAGAGGCCACAGAAAATTTAGGGGCCCTGGGCACCAGATACAATCTGCAGTGCCAATCACGAGGGAGAATAGAGCCTCACTAGACTTTGCAAGAGCACAAAATGCACTCGTACTGTTGTTAGCTACATACGTTATTGGCTCCTCACCTAACACAGAATCTTGGAGAAAAGCTTAAAACAACTAAAGATGTAAACATCAACAAGAGTGTCCATATCCTGGGTCATCAAGTGACAAGAGAGTCCATGGATGGATTCTCCAACAATCTTATATTCCACTAATCCACCCCCTTTCCCCTCACTTCTGTAAGTTTCTGTTTTCCCTTAGTCATCTATGCCAAAAGCGTATCCTGAATGCCTTCCCACATGCCTCTGTCACCTTTCCCACAGTCCCTCCATACACCTTACATGCCCATTTCTTCTCACGTTGATGTTTCAGAAGTCCTGAGAGGCTGATTGTCCCAGAAAAGGATCATGCATTCACCTTTAAAAGAACATGTGGATTCAACACGAAAGCGAACTTTAAGATTTCCATCATCCTGTGCTTAGCTACTGTGTATGATGATACCCAAAATGAAGGATTTTGGAGGTCCCAGCAAACTGGGCCCTGGAAACCCAGTAACCCCTTTCCTTGAACTATCTCTGCTTCCATAGGACGAAGTCAGCCTCCAACTAAGCTGTCTTTTGCTTTTACCTCTCCCAGTCTGTCCTGTAGGAAGAATCCCAACACATCCCACACCCATTCACTCTACAACTTTAGAGGCCCAGCTCCAACGCAGACTGGTTATTTCCATGAAGAGAATAAAGCACGTGGATTGATCAATTCATTATGACACCCGAATAAAGTGGATAAACATACACACACACACACACACACACACAAACACAAAGACACACACACACACACAGACACAGAGTCACACATCCTTGAGAATGTTTATTTTTCATTCCATACAATCCACATTTACCCCCTCTTCCTGAATTTTTGTGACTCGATCTCTTTTTCCTTTAGTTCCTGTGCATAAGACCATGCTGAGTACTGCCGTCCTGCATATGGCTGTAACTTTTTAGGAGTTCTGCTGTATTAGGTAAAATCTGATGCTCCATCATATTCAACTCAACAACTGGGAGTCCCCTAGAGAAACACAAACTCATGTTAAAACGCATTTTCTCTGAGCCATACTTTGAAATGTTTCAATTGTGGGGCCCGCTGAGAAAAGGATATCCCTTCCCCATTTGTGATCCCTTAAACTTCCTCCTACCACGTGTTACAAACTGTTCTGCGCAATCCCTGCCCCATTCCCAGTATTGTCTGTGAGGGGAGTCAGCTAACAAGATGCACTGGGCCCTAAAAGCACACACAAGTCTGATGGGGCAACAGCTTAAGGAAATCCATCAATCTAAACAGTCCTTTGTGGTTTGGGGCAAGGATGACCAGGACGCACATTCAGGGAGCCCAATCTCATGGGGTTGGTGGGATGACTGCCGGTGGGGTTGACAGCCGTGGAATCAAGTGCCACAGACTGAACTGAATGATTTTCAGCTTTACTTCTCATTGATTCTGGAAATGGACGATTCTTCACTGGGCTTAAGACTCCACAGCTATCACCCGCTTTGCAGTGCAGTCTCTAACGTGCCTTTTCAGCCCAATGCCATGAACGTCCTGGATTCTGTCACTCTCTGTCTTCCTCTCAAGGAATTTCTACATGTACGAAAGGAGCCTCAATTTCTACATTTCTGAAATGAGCACCCAGGCTCCCTGAATAGGCAGGTGTGTCAACCCCCTTATACTGGGCATCAAACAGCTCCAGTGCCAACTAACGGCTCACCTGACGTCTCTGTTCCCTCTTCAGGTGGCTTCATCCTCTTGTAGTATTGCAGGGGATTGCGCCACAGGTCCTTACATAGGATCTGTCAGGGGACTCAATCGGGAAAGGCCTCATCAGGGCTCAGAAAGGTGACCCAAGCAGCTGGGAACACATGGGGTCATTCCTCATGTTTCCCAGTGAGGACTCACCTCAGCAATCTTGTTAGATCCTGCGAAGTTGTGGTCAGAGAACCAGTTGAAGAAGTTAAGGCTGCTGTTGTGGTGTCTGCGGCGATAGGCCTCCACTTCATAATCCGGATACCACTCAATTGGAGTGGAATGAGAAGCCCTGTATTCTACAGAGACAGGAGTTTTTGTGGGAAGGGGGCTGGATCCCGTTGGCAATGATCCACCCACCATCTTCCTTCCACTACCCATCCTGGGAGCCACCTGTCACCTGTGATGTTCACCAGATATTCCTTGGTAATCACTTTATTCTGGAAGTAGGGGTTACTCCGAAAGAACAACATGATCTTGCAGAGATGAACAGGATGCTTCTCTTCTTCCACCTGTCAGGACAAGGTGGAGAAAGCTTAGATAGGTTTTCGGGTGAGGTGCTCACTCTTGCTTACAGGAATGAATTATTTCCCTTACCCTCCCCCGCTAAACCCTCTAGCCCCAGTCTTCCTGGCCTCACCTCCAGGCTGACCATGTAGCTCAGCATGTCTTCATCTTCGTCAGTGATCAGGGCTGACATCTGGGGGTGGTTTGCAATCTGATTTAGGTCAAAGAGACTTTACACACGATGGAAGGGAAAGCGAGGAGCAACAGGGAAGAAGGCCTAAGAGCACCCAGAGGCTGGGGTAGGGGATTTCTCAGATCTGCTTCCATGTATGATCTCCTTTCGCCTCCCCCTCCCCTTAAACTAAGGCCTCCTGTGTTCACAGAGGGTGTATGATTCTGAGGCTGACTGCACTGACATGGGGAGGCGCGATTTGCAGAGACTTGCTGGTGTCTGAGGAGTGGCAGAATCTGCTTATAGCCGAAGACGCCCAGTCCCAGATCGGACTAGCAAGGGGCAGCAATCACACTCCCTTAAAAATAGCTTCATTCACTGAAAAACCTCTTCCGCTCTGAACTCGCTTCTGCTCTTCAAAAAGATGCCCCAAACGTCTGCTGCTCGGCATCACCAAGGGTTTCTCTGCCGCATGCAGGACAATAGTACCCACGCCTGCTCCGGCTTTCCACAGCCACACTGGTCCGTGGCAACTCCCCTTTGTTCCCCAAAGAGTCACATCGACGCCGAGCTGCCCATCGGTCACTTACACTTCCCCGAGAGCACCTCTCCACTAGAAAGGCCGAAGAAACACTGAGAAGGATACAACATTGGCCCAGAAGCCAGGGACGCTCTGGATGACGGCGCCTCTGCGGTCTAGCTGGGGCTTGCGCCTCCGCTCCATCTTTTCCCGCTGCCGAGAAAAGGCCTTCCTGGCTTGGGCATTAACCGGCTCCAGCTCCACCTGAACGGCCAGCAGCTCCTCCAGTGCAGACTCTGGGGTCATGGGCCCAGGGCCAGGCACAGCCTGCTGTGCCCGCTGGGCCTCCTCCCGCCGCTCCACGAGGCCCTCCTCCTCCGCCACCACCTCCACCTCCGCCACCACCTCCACCTCCGCCATTATGTCATCCAACAGCAGCACCGCCTCCTCCCCCAAAGCCGCCTGCTCACTCTCCACCCCGGCCGCCCCCTCCTGTACAGCCTCCATCCTGAAGGCGGTGCCCTCCTTGGCACTCGCACACACCAAGGCCTGTGCTGCCCGACCCACGCCACAGAAACCCTGCCGCAGCCTCTCTGGCACCCGGTAGGTCAGCGAGCCCTCAGGGCGCATGCGCCGGGCTTCCAGGCGCCCCCTAAGGGACTGCGCGCGAAGGGCCGGGGGGCCGCACCCAGGCCGACTTCCTCCCGTCGTGGCCAGTCAATGGGAGGGCGGTGGGCGTCTCCCTGGGCGGCACAGCCACTGGCGGGCCTGCATCTCCAGCCCCCCCACCCCCCGCCTTCCCTGCCCAAGCCTCCTCCGAGAAGCCCTTGGAGCTTGTGCCGGGTAGCTAGGCATCCGGGCACACGCGGGCTGCGTGGCCTTTGGAATTGTGGGCATGGCAGCCCTGTGCCCTGACATCCTCAGTGTGGCAAGCCATGAACATCTCTATGTGTCATGAACACAGGAAACATCTCTCTTCGTTAGGCAGGCCAGGTAGATGGTACGGAGGTAATACAGCAGATGCAGAGAACTCTCTCTGGTTGCTGGGGCTAGGGCGGCAGGGGTGTCCTGGGGGAAGTGATCGGGGCGGGCACGTGGGAGGAAAGTCGCCTGCCGGTGCTGAGGTGGAATTGATCTGCTGTAGAGGCCAGAGCCCCGGCACACACTCTCACAGGTCGAGGCAAATAGAGGCTCCGAGTACCATGCTTCCTCCCTGAGGATGCTGTACTCCAAGGAGCATTCCAAAGGGCCTCTTGTCCTATGCCCTGGGCACACCAGAGGCCAGCCGCCAGGGTTGGCCATTGTCGGCCTGCGCGCACGCTGTTGTGCGCTGCCTTGACGACCCAGAGGCTCCCGCACCCGCAGCAGCGGTTGCGGTGCCTGTTGGTGGGGCTCTGCAAGCCCAGGGCCGGGGCCTCTGGCTCCCGAGCTCCTGTGCGCAGTTGAGCCTGCTGGGGACCGGAGCCCTTTGGCCAGTGCGGGATCTGCGGGTCCAGCGGAGCTCCTCAGGAAACCTGGGTCCACGTAGGTGTGGGACCAGGTTCACAGCAGGGCGACG
Organism: Homo sapiens; assembly: GCF_000001405.40. NCBI lineage: Eukaryota > Metazoa > Chordata > Mammalia > Primates > Hominidae > Homo > Homo sapiens. Next base: position 9,486,384 of record NC_000024.10, on the reverse strand, counting down.
CCCGTGGGTCTTGCAGGGAGCGGGTCTGCTGGGGAGCGGGCCCCCAGAGCCTACGGGTGCGGGGCATGGGCTGGGCTGGGCTGGGCTGCGCAGGCCCAGGGTCTGTGGGAGCACCCAGGAGAAAACCGTGTTCAGGCTGGAGGCAATGCTGGAGAGGACGGCCGGGGTACAGAGCAAGGAGGCGGCCTTGGAAGAGGAGGCGGTGCTGAAGGTGGAAGACATCATGGCTGAGGTGGAGGTGGTGGTTGAGGTGGAGCCCGACGTGGGGTGGCAGAAGGAGGGCCAGCGGGCACAGCCTGGCCCTGGACCGAGCACACCGGGGCCGTCAATGGACTCGCTGGAGGTCCTTCACTTGGAGCTGGGCTCCGTGAATGCCCCAGGCCACAGAGCATCTCCGCCTTGTGAGCCAGAGCCATATCCTTGCGGCTGCCGATTTGGGATGGCGGGCAGCAGGGGATAGTCATCGGGCCTCGGGGGGTATGGGGGCTGTTTGCGGGGAGGAGCCAGGTGGGAGGCACGTGGGGTCAGCCAGGAGGCAGGGGATGGGGGACAGCGTGGGAGCCGAGGCCACGTTCCCGCAGCTGTGAGGGCAGCTCGCTTGTAGCAGCCCTGGGAGCACGTGGTAGGGAAGGGGAGCCAGGGCCAGCACTGACAAGGGAGAATCGCGGCGCCAAGGTCCCTTTGCGCACAGCCCAAATTCGAAGGACGCGTTTCCCTGGGAACGTCCCTGGAGGACGGGGAATCTGTATGCCATTACCAGCCATTGAACCACCCCTGCTCTCGGTGCCTGTTTCCAGCAGGCTCACCCCAGAAACACAAGGTGCTTAAGACGGGTTCGCGGCGCATGGGGCTGCCGACCACCTGACGGCGGGCACCAGCTCCGCAGATGCGCATTCATCCAACTGCAGGCGCTGCACTCAAAGGCGTGTAGGCCCTGAGCCTGTATAACTTCCTCTGGACCCACGCAATTCCCTTGGAGAGCGCCAGGCACGACCCTGCTGTGGCTTCTAACTACAAGGCTTCCCTCAGGTGGACAGGCCCACCCCTCAGGGAGACTAGGATAAGAGGACACCACACACCCGGACATCAGCGGAGCATGTCCAGCACCCAGCACACAAAGGCCTCCTGCATCTCAGAAACTCAGAGAAGCAGCCGCCTCACACCACCCCCGGCCCCTCCCGTCCCTCAGCTGCAACCACCTGCCCACTTTTTCTGCCTCCCGTCTCTGGTCAGCCCAGGCCGTCTTGGCCGGGGTCCACCCACTCCAAAAACCACCACAGTTGTGGCGTTGCCTCCTCGCCAGACAGAGATAGAGGGCCAACAATGAAGGGTGACTGGCCAAATGTCTGGGAGATGGCCCTGTTCCACATTGTCTGTGTTCTTGCGAAATTGCAAGGCGTCACGAGGCTTGCCCACCCAATCCTCTGGAGAGTTCTTGCGCAGAGGTAGATTGTTTGGCACACGAGATGTCGGCGTGGGTCGGAAAGCATGCGGAAGTCCTGCTTTGCTACGTGATGGATTTGCAGGTCAGGCTGGGGAGCCTGGGTCTGTGGGAGGAGTCCAGTGTCTGAGTCAGTTTGAGGTCCCCCTGGGGACCAGGGTTGTCTCAGTGGGAGAGCTGGGAAGGGGAAACTCATGGTTCACTACAGCTAGTAGGCCACCTCAGCCCGGCTAGTTGAGATGGTCCCATTGAATCCATCCTCTTTCTCCTTGATCCGGCAGGTGGAGGAACTCAGCCATCCCGGTTACCGGTGGCAGGATGATTTCCTTTCATCCCAACCTTTATTTCCACAGTGAAATCATCATGAAGGAGCACTGTGTTGGCATCCTCGGTAAGGAATGCCTCCCAGCATGGTAGGGGAGCTGGTGTGTGGGAGGGTGGGACTGGCATGAACCTTCCTGACTCCTCTCCCTGCAGGCTACAGGGTGTCTCATTCCACTGCAGTCCAGCGGTTCTGGGATCACGAAGGTCAAGCCTCCAGCTGCAGGCAGTACACCTCCTACCTGAGCTCATTCAGCTGTTTGGCTGAACATGACTGCCCGGGTTTTGGCAGGATTGCTGAGGTGGGGTTCGCCGTGGGGCATCATGGGAAAGGACCTAGCTGGTCATTCCTTGGTCTCTGGGGAATTGGCTTTGAACTGTCACCTGAACTGTCCTGGACCCACTTCTGCAGTCACCTAGATCATCACCCAGGGCCTATGGCTCAATCCATTGCAGTTCTATCCCATGGAGAGAGGGTCAGCCCTAGAGGCGGAACAGAGAGGAGGCCAGGCGAGCAGCCTAGGGCTGGGAAGGGCTGGGAACTGAGAGGCCTTTTGACCTGGATCTGGGCCCCACATGGAGAACCCAAGGATCCGGGAGGAGACTGCAGTGAGCAATCCCAGGCAATCCGTGGGTTGGGGGAGAGAGGCCCATCAGGGACATGTAACACCCACATTTCAGGATCGGGGCACCTTAAGCCACTATGATGCATATGTGGCTAAAGTCAGTGGGTGACAAGCAGGGCTTAAGGGATAGCTGTCTCATCATTACTCGCCAGCTCCCTGCCCTGCGGTAAGACCTGCTACCACCTGGGGCTCATTTTGAGATCAACCAGGGCCCCCTTTTTCTCCACGAGGATGTCCACCTAAGGCCCACCTAGGTGTATGTCCTTTCATAGTGTTTCTCCCAGGCCAGTCATGTTTTGTTTCCATGACCCCGGCTGCCTTGACATGTGTAATCCTCTCTGCCATCCTCACTCCCGCTGCCCTGCCTTCCCATATAAGTTAGTCCACCTCACACGGAATCTGGAGGACCACACTGGGCTCCAGTGTGAGGCAATGTTTTATTTTCTTCAGGTACATGTATTTTAGGGCTACCTCCAGGGCTGGGAATGTGAAGAGATTGCCAAATGGCTGGGGACCTTCAGTGTGTGTCCAGGGAGGGAACCCGGCTGGGAATTAAGGCCCACCTGAGTAATGGTATGGACATCCAGTGTCAGTTATCTTGATAAAGGCCTGCTTTCTTACATCACCTACTATTAATATAAAAGTTAATTCCTTAGAATATTGAAAAAACAAATCTATGTATGAAGAAATATAATTTGTTCATAATTGTATGGAAAAAGCTGCCGACCGATCCATTTTCCATTACAATTCTTATGGGAGACTTGAAGGGTTTAGCAAGTTTTAAGATGCATTTCTATTCGTCTACTCCTGCCAGTTTTTATGATCATTTTTGTAATACAAGGACATGGCCTCTGGAAAGTTTTTGAGGGACTTTCAGCTTCTTTTAGGGTAGATACTTGTAAATTTTGAATTGTTTTCCCCTGCGGTTCTTTTGAGGTTACTCTTTGTACTTTCTTTGGGGGGTGTTAAATTTGTTTTCTTGTTTTGCCCTTGTGGAACTTTCGTTTTCAAGGAATTGTGTGTGTGTGTGTGTGTGTGTGTGTGTGTGTGTGTGTGTTAGATATGGGAGTTAGCCTGTGAGCATGTTTTCGAATATGGATTTTTTTTTTACTTATCAATTTTGGGGGTGTGTGTGTGTGTGTGTGTGTGTGGGTGTGTGTTTGTTTCTTTTCAGTTGGAGTCTCACTGTGTCATCCAGGCTGCAGTCAAGTGGCAAACTCTCAGATCACTGCAACCTCTCCCTCCAGCTTCAAAGGATTCCTCTGCCTGCTGATGCTGCTTTTCCCCCACATGAGGAGAACATGCAGACAGTTATAAAAAATTCTGTGCCTGGGTAGGTATGAAAATATAATTTCAATGAATGGTAAATTTCACAAATACAGTTTCACATTTGTATTTTGCAACATTTTGAAAATTTTAGTTGCTGACACATGAAATTCTGTGTTGACTTTCATGTTAAATGTACACTTTTGAATCAATTTCAACAGTGACAACTAGCGAAGGCCAAGCGTTAGTTCAGGAAGCTGAAAGCAGTCGTTCTGTAAAAAAAACCATATTTATTGAAGGTATATTTAGAGAGATTTTAGAAGGCTTCAGTCAATATTTTTGTTTCTGTTGCTCTGGTGTTTTATCATACAGGGACCAGACTGTAGCATCAGTAGCTACAGTTACAAGGCTACCAAAGACTCAGTGCTATAGAAATTATTATTGTGGAAATTGGCAGCCTGGCTGTCTGTTTGAGGAGACTAGAGGACTTAGGAGTTTCCACCCAAAGTACAAGGGCCTGGTTTAGTGGGTGGCCTTCTTTTGCTGAAGTAGATAAGATCCAGGAGAAGGGTGGATTCACTGTAGTAGCCAGGGCTTTGAGACTGGTAAAGCTTATTTGTCTCCTAGTGCCATTGCCAGATATTGGTCTGTGCATAAAGGCACTTCCCGGACTCGCTGACTCCTGTAAATTCAAATGTAGAATTTAGATTTAAATCCCTATTCCAACTTCTTAAACTTAGATCTAATAGGTGGGTAATAAAATATGTATTCAGAAGAAAGGGAGACGTCAGGTAGGTATATAAGCAAATCATCCTGGTCAAATACCTTCAAAAATATTACTACAAAAAATTACTGAAGATTAAACCTTAAAAAAGTTATTTTAATTGGAGAAACAGAAAAAGGTTGGAGTCATTTTAAACCCTGAGGTGTAAAGGTACTGTTATTAGATTACAGGAATTATATACAATGAATAATTTGTGGGAAGAGCAGCATACTATCTCTTTAGTATGGCTAGAGATTCATAAGCCGTGTAAGAAAACTCAGAGATTGAGAAGAAAATGTTTTCAGGGATTTTGTTCTGTTATGAAAGACTTTTAAAATGGTTTCCTACTGATCAAGGATTCACTTATATTTATCACTGAGGCATATGCTATATACCCTTCTATATAGGGATGAAGTTATAGTTTCTATCATGTAGATACAAAAACATGTGACTCTGTACCACATTTGCATTAGAGCCTTTGGCATGATTAATGAAGCAAACGGTGGAACTGTCTACGTCAGGTTACAGGTGGGCACAGCTGGAAGCTTCCGTCCCTTGCACTTTAACATTTCTGCATTCTCATCTGTCTCTCCTGGAAAGAAAACGGACTATAACTATCCTAAAGGACATATGTTACATGAAGACACTAAGTATTGAGATAAGACCATGAGTTGTCTTATCAGTGTCTTGGCATTACATTTATATGTATAACTTATACAAAAAATCCAGTTTATTTTATCACGATTACATATTACATCCCACATTTATGTATTTTATTATCTTTCCAGTGACTGTTTTGTTTTGTTTTGTTTTGTTTTGTTTTGAAATCTCGTTCCACTCTGTCACTCAGTCTGGAATGCAGTGGCCTGATCTCAGCTCACTGCAACCTCCATCTCTTGGGTTCAAGGATTTTAAAAATTAGTAAAGAATTTTCAATTGAGTTAGCAGAAGTAAAAATAAACTTAAGTGGAAATAGAACAACAAAATTGTAAACACTATTTCTCAGCAATTCATAGATTATCATACTAGGAATTGAAATGTACTTAGAACTCAATGATACCGCCAATATTAAAGATTAAATCTGTGAGTAGCAAGAAAAGTGATATTACAATAGGAGTTTACAGACAAATATTTCTCTAATAACTTGAAAATTAATGTACTAGATATTTCAATAAAGAATTAGAAAAGAAACAACAGAATCAATTCTGAAAAACTAAAGTGTGGGAATAATGATGTAGACAAAATTAGTAAAACATACAAAGCTAACCTTTGCTTGTTGGAGAAATATAATAAGTGATGCAACCGTCAGTCAAGTTTAGAAAAAAAGGGAGAAAACATAGATAAAACTAAGAATTTAAAAGGTACACAACCATAGATACAGCATAGATTAAGAAGCTAATAAGGAAATATCGTTAACACCTTAACCTACAAATTTGAAAACTTAGGTCAAATAGACAGATATTTATAATCTGTCTATATATATAGACATATATATCGCTTTCTATATATATTTTCATATTTATACATAATTTTTATATTTGTATCTTACATTTATATATATAATATATAAACATAAGCTATGTATATAGCTTAGTAAAATTGATACAAGAAGACATATATAATCTGTATAGTCTCATAAATGTTCAAGGAAATAAAGGATTCTTCCTAGAGATAAAACGCTAGGCTCAGATTTTTTTCCCCAGGCAGAGCATTTCAATATATATGAAGAATTCTATAGAATAAAAAAGGGAAAATCCTAAACTCATTGTGTGAAGCAAGCAGAACTTTGACGCCAACAAGCCATAAACTGAGTGTAGAAAAAGATATGAAAATTAAGGCCATTCTCATTCCTGAAGCAAATCGTAAAATCCCAAATGTAACAAGATTTATGTGGATTCTTTGAGGGTTAGAAGGAAATTTCCTTCTGCCAGATCCTGCTACTCTGGGACAACCCACACACAAATTTATGTTTTGAGATTTTCTGTAATACCCATGCAATATGGAACTGGCTTGACAATCTGTGTGATAGCCAGCCTGTGGCCATGACTTCTCAGGGACACAAATCTTTTCTGTTTGCCTCCTTGTTCTGCTCAGCTCCAAGAGAACTTTGACCAAAGTTCCTTGAGCTTGGAAATAGGAATGGGTTTGCTTCTGTTTCACCCTTACTGTGAAGATACAGTCCGGTGGAATCCAGATCCACTGGGAGAGAGTCGGCTATTAAACTCTTTTCATGAGTAGTCCCTAGGCCTTGACTGGAGTCTTTCTTGAGATATGAGGCTAATAGTTCCTTCTTGGTCCACCACTTTTTGATATAATTAATGCTTCTTCTATTGGGAATTTTTAATTGTTTGGGAAGTGACATGGTTTGGTGTGTCTCCATTCAAATCTCAGCTTCAATTGTATCTCCCAGAATTCCCTCGTGTTGCGGGTGGGACCCAGGGGGAGGTAATTGAATCATGGGGGTCGGTCTTTCTCATGCTATTCTTGTGACAGTGAAGAAGTCTCACGGGATCTGATGGGTTTTTCAGGGGTTTCTGCCTCAGGTTCTTCCTCATTCTCTCTTGGCATTGCCATGTAAGAAGTGCCTTTATTCGTATACCATGATTCTGAGGCCTCCACAGCCATGTGGAACTGTCAGTCCAATTAAACCTCCTTTTATTCCCAGTTTCAGGTATGTCTTCTTCAGCAGCGTGAAAATGAACTAAGACAGGAGGTTTGGTCCAAATAACCTTGGCTTCCATGATAGAAGATAGAAGTTGCTGAAATGTTTAATCTTTTCTGTGGCAACCTTTTGCAGTGGGTCTTATTTTTCTCATTTTTTTTTTTCTTGTTCTCTTCACCTTTGTTTCTCACAGGGTACTCTCGCTCTGTAGACCAGGCTGGAGCGCAGTGGCAGGATCTCAGCTCAACACATCCTCCGCCTCCCAGGTTCAGCCTCTGCAGTAGCTGGGATTACAAGCATGCATCACCACGCTCAGCTAATGTTTTGTATTTTTAGTAGAAGCCAGGCTTCACCATGTTGGCCAGGCTGCTCTCCTACTACAGATCTCAGGTGACCCGCCCGACTCAGCTTCCCAAAATCCAAAGTGCTGGGAATACAGGTGTGAGCCACCGAGCCCAGCCAACTCCAGTATTTTTTACCTAAGCCAGTGGACGAGTGGAGTTGCCTTTATTTTTTTTTTTTCTTTTTTCAGTCATGGTCTCGCTGTGTCATCCAGGCTGGAGTGCAGTAGTCTGATCTTGGCTTACTATACAATCTCTGCCACCCATGTTCAGGTGGTTCTCCTGCCTCAGCCTCCCAAGTAGCTGGGACCACAGGAAAGTGCCACTAGGTCTGGCTAATTTTTGTATTTTTGGTAGAGACAGCTTTTTGCCATGTTGCCCATGCTGGTCTCCAACTCCTGACCTCAAGTGACCCACCAACCTCGGCCTCCCAAAATGTAGAAATTACAACAAGAGCCACGAAGCCTGGCCTGGAGTTGTGGCTTTTTGACATAAGAAATCTGTGGAGGGAAAAGCTTGGTTTGTGGGAGCACCTGAGCTCAGTTTGGCTCAAAGGTTTGGGATACCTATTATTGAGTGGCAGTGATGGTATGTTGTTAATGTACAATATGTTCCTGTATATAGCATACGTCTATGCTCATCAGATATTTTCAGGTAAAAAAAAGATAGTCTTTCCAGTAGTTTGAGCCATTATAGCAATTTCCACCAGGGGATTTCAAAGTCCAATTCCAGTTGTGGGCAACAGTGATTAACATAATGGTAATTAATGAGAAGAGATTTTGAGACGTCCAGCCACGTTTCCATGTCAGTGCCTTGTTTGCAGTATTATGAAGAAAGAGTGCATTGGACTAGATACTAAGAAAAACATTGAATTATTTTTCTTGCCTCTATAACATCAAAGGACAATTAGAGATATAGAAACTATGGAACATTTCACAGCATGGCTTGACATTTCACTGAACTTTTATCCTTTTAACCATGTACAAAGTTTGTTACCTATGCAAAGGTAGGACTGCAAAAGGAAGACAGAGGTGGAGTCAGAGGTCACAATCCACAGCAAGGTGACACTCTTGTTGATCGCACCTTGAAAGCCAAATTAGAGCGAGAATTAACTTTCCGGTTGCCGTAAGAGAACAAGGAGAATGAAGCTACCAGCAGTTAACAGTATTGGATTAATTGAAATGAAGGTGGACAGAGTTTTTTGGCTTTCCATCAAATTGAGTAAAGAAAAGGTAACCGCTTATCTAATTTCACACACATACAATTATGGATTAATTAAAAGATTACACAACCCATATATTATGGGTTTCTCATATAAGTGTATATATACATGGGCAAACTCACAGTGTGCCAGTATGTGTCTATATCCAAATATATACAAATCCATGTCCAACAGTTAGCAAGTGAGAAATTCTCTTCCATTTCACCATTCCCTTTCCTAGAATTTTTTCATAAATATAATTTTTCCATATATTTGAAGCCTACTCTCTGGAGGCATGTAATGCATGCATGCAGTAAACCTGTGCGATATCACAATGTTGGTGTCAGAGAAAACTATAACACCGATGTTATAAAAGATTAATTGTGAGGAGAAAGTTATGCTTCGCATTACTACAAATACACAAGTATGATTTCATCCAAAGCTGAAATCAGTCAATATAATTTGTTTTTAATGTTTTATTTAAAATCCTTAATTTCAACAGGATTACTCAAGAAAAATAACGTTATTGGTATTAAATAATGTTGATGTATTCCCTTTAATTGTTGATTATTTAAAATGTCAGTAAAATAGTAAATGGCACTGTACAATGTAGTTTCATGAAGCATTCTTTATAGTTTTCATAAAATTGATAGTCTCCATGGAATATTTTAAGACTGAGGAAGTTCCATATATCATTTGATTGTACTTTCACTTTATTACTTGCTTGCATGTCATAACTGATGGAAATAAAACTATGTATATTTACAAATATGAAAAACATGGATTTTTGTTTACGTTTTCTAGTGAGACACAGTTACCAACAATTTTATCTATATAGGAAAATTTTTACAAACCCAAAGTTCTAATGTTTCTTTTCTTTGAAGTTTCGTATTTCAGTCTAGGTATGTAATGGAATTGGCTGTGATCATTCTTTGATTTCACTGTTATTTGTGAGTTTCTGATATGCTTTTAGGAATGAATAGAGTTTAACGCTTGCTTTCTTCTTCTTCCTCTACCTTTGGACCTGTATATGCGATGTCTGCAGTAATGTGCAGTGTTATCTGACATACGGTTGCTGAAAGATACAAGCATATATAGAATTCTTCGTTTCAGTGAATCTTTAGGAACAGACAAGTAACCTGAGAGATAATTACGGTATGAATGTAAGCAAGCAGTTTATCATAGAGGTACAATAAGGGTGAAAATAAATTTAAAAATACATGCCTCATCCAAAACATGAGGTAGTAAAAATGAAAAATTTAAGTTGGCATAAAGAACACTTTAAAAGTTCTGATTCTTTCTGGTGAGAGCAAGGAGCTCAGAAACCATGAGAAAGTCCTTCAAAGCTGCATGTTGGATTTGCAGGTCAGGATGGAAAGCCTGGGTCTGGGGGAGGGTGCTAAGGTCCTGGTCAGGTTGAGGTCCTTCTGGGGCTCAGGTGTGTCTCAGCGGGAAAGCTGGGAAGGGGAAACGCATGCTTCACCCCGGCTAGAATGCCACCTCAGCCCACCTAGATGAAATTGCCCCTTCACAGCCCTGTTTCTCCTTCTTGGACAGGCAGGTGGAGGAACTCGGCCACCCTGAATACAAGGGGTAGGAAGAAGTTTGCCTTTCATCACAACATTTACTTCGGAAACAAAGTGACGACTAAGGAGTATTGCGTTGGCATCCTCCCTGAGGAGTAGAGGGGGTAGTACCTCGGAAGCTGGGCCTGGCGTGCGCCTTCCTGACTCGTCTCCCTCCAGGATACAGGGCGACTGGCTCCACTGCAGTCCAGTGGTTCTAGGGTCATGCAGGTGAAAGCCCGAGTTTCCCGCAGGTCACTGCCTGAGCTTCTTCAGCTGGTTGTCTGACTGTGAGGGCCCAGGTTACGGCACGATTGCTGAGGTGGGGCAGCTATGGGGCATCATGGCAAAGGACCTTCTTCGACATTCCTTGGCATCGGAGGAATTGGCTTTGAACCAGAACCTGACCTGTCACGACCAATTTGCCCAGTCCACCAGATCATCAGCCAGGGCCTGTGGCTCTATATTCTGCAGCACTACCCAAGGGAGTTAGGCCCTCAGAGAGGGAACAGAGAAGAGGCCAGGGAAGCAGCCCAGGGCTGGGGGTTGACAGGCCTGTGGGTCCTGGAGTTAGGACACACATAGAGAAGCCAAGGCTCAGGGAGGAGACTGCAGTAAGGAAACTCAGGCCATCATGGGCTGGTGGAGAAATGCCCATCAGGGAACTGTGGTACCCACATTTCACGATGGGGGAACCGTAATCTGCTTAATAGGCATAAGTAGCTAAGGTCAATGGGTGGGAAGCCAGGGTCAAGAGATAGCTGCCTCATCATCCCTTGCTAGCTACTTCCCTGTCCTGAGGCTTGCTTCTACCTGGGGTTCAGTTTGGGCTCAACCAGGGATCTCTCACCCTCCACACAGATGCCCACCTGAGGCCTCTCTAGGTCTGCGTCCTCCCAGAATGACTCTCCCAGGCCTGCTAAGTACCGTTTGGATGACACCACACTCCACTGACATGCTTGGTTCCCTCCGCCATCCTCATTCACCCAGCAACTCCCCACCCCAAAAAAGGCAGGCCACCGCACAGGGAATCTGGAGGACCACACAGGGCTCACAGGGGAGGAAATGTGAAGAGATGGCAAAACAGAACAGGACATTCCGTGTGTTTCCAGAAGGCAATCTGGCTGGATATTAAGGCCCACCTCAGTATTGGTGAGGACACCCAGTGTCTCTTGGCCCTGAGCTTGTGCACACAAACACGCACATTGTCTAAACGGCATTGACATCACTACTACCTGAGTCATCCTCAGATTCTATACAACCCCTGTAAAAATATCAATGACACATTCTTCTTAGAAAAACAATCTGGGAATCCCAAATTTGCTATGAAATGGCAGAAGATCCTGAAAACCCAGAGCAATCCAGTAAAAAGCACAAAGCTGGAGCCACCACACTACCTAACTTCATGATATACTACTACAAAACTTTTTGTACCAAAATACAATAGCACTGGCAGAAAAGCAGAGACTAGAGCTTAGGAAAAACAACAGGAGCCCAGAACTAAGTCACTGCATTTGCAGCTCACAGCCTTTTCCCAAAGAAGCAAGAACGACCAATGCAAAATCAAGTATCTTCTATAAACTAGGTTGGGGAAATCTGAATAGCCACACAAAGGATTTTACAAGTGGATTATTTATCACCAAACTCCAGTGTCAGATGTGAAACGATAAAAATAGCAGAAGAGATCACAAGGAAGAAGCTCCATGGCGTCCGTGTGTGCAATGATGGTCTCAAAGTGACTGCAAGAACACAGTAAACACCATCAAAAATAGAGAATGGAATCATATCAAACTAAAGTGCTTCACCACACCATAGAAAACTCAACATACAGAAGGGGCATCCTACAGGATGGGAGCAATGATTGGATCACCATACATCTGTTCATGGGGGAATAGTCACAGTACATAAGGAACTCCCAACAACTCAATAGCATGAAAACAAATGGGCGAAGGCTGCGAAGACTCATTTGTGAAACTGAGACATACAGTTGCCCAGAAGACACACTAAAAATTCCTCATTATCCCCAATCCATCACGAAAATGCAAATCAAAAACACAATGAGATTTCTTCTCACTTCAGTCAGAATGCATATTATCCGAAAGACAAACAAACAAAAAAAAAAAAAAGAAAGAAAAGAAAACCCTAATCTCTGGTGAGGAGGCAGAGAAAACGAATTCCCTGCTCACTTTTGGGGAGAATGTAAATTAGTGCTGGCATTAAAGAAGCTTTATGGCTCTTATTTAAGTATAAACAGCCTTCAGAAATCTACAAGTAGAACCACCCACTATATGATCCAGCAAATCAGAATACCCGGGCACGCCCGCCAGTACACAGATCAGTATGTTGAAGCGGTGCGCGCACCCATGCAATTATTGCTGCACTCATTACATTTTTGCTGTAGCCAAAATGCGGAAGCAACCTGAGTGTCCCTCCATTGATAAGTGGATTAAAAAATGGGGCAAAAACGCATATGCGCAACGTAAATATGCGCTGCAATAAGAAATCAGGAAATCCTGCCAGTTGTGAGAATGTGTGGGAATCTGCTGAATGTGTGCATGCCATTCTGTTAAGTGACATAAGCCAGGTATCAGAAAGGAAAATAGCACATGATCTCATTCTTATATGAAATCAAAAAAGCGGACTTCACAGAAGTAGTGACTCCAATGACTGCGGTGAAGAGGGTGCACTGACGAGATGCTGGATGAAGAACTCATACTTCTAGTTATAAAGGAGGAATAGGTTAAAAATATTTTCTTCAGCATGCTCACTATAACTAGTGGTAACATATTCTTTCTCTAAAAATATTCGAATACAGTGCAGGTCAAGTTTTTTCACAACAAAAATGACAACTATGTGAGGTCACACATATGTTGATTGGCTGGATGTATCCAATGCATAATGTATATGACCTGTTGAACATCACGCCTTAAGTTGTAAATATGTATCATTTCATATGACATTTTTTAAACAAACATACAATTTTTAAAATGCCTTAACAAAATAAATGCAAATAAAATATTTTATTATAAAGCAGTGCTTTTCTTTTCTAGCAAAGTCTTTTTCATGACACAGGAAAGAATGCAAGCCGTTTCGTAACTTGAGAAATAAATACATATGTGTACATGTATATATATACGTATATACATGTATATACGTATATAAATGTGCATATATACGTATATACATGTATATACGTATATATGTGTGTACATAGGTATTCTTATATAGGTATGTATATATATATATATATATATATATATATATATATGAAAATCCCAATGAATGCTGATGATGAGTTGAAAGATAGAAATTCCAGGCACAGAGGCTATAGTCCATGAATTGAAACCTTCAGTGCATGTTTCAAAACAAGACGTGAGGAGGAGGAAGAAAAAAGCAAAAAACACAAAGCCATGGCAGGGCCATGGGTCACACCTGTCATCCCAGCACTTTGATAAGCTGAGGTGGGAGGATTGCCTGCACTCAGGAGTTCCAGATGAGCCTGGGGCAACATGGACCCACATTCAAAAAGTAAGTATTTAGTTAATTAATACATAGCTTGGAGGGGTGGCATGCACCTGTACTGCCAGGTGTGTGAGAGTCTGAGTTGACAGGATCACATGGGTGTGTGGTGCCTGGGCTGCAGTGGGCTGAGATCGTGGGGCTGCTGTCCAACCTAGAAGACAGAGTAAGACCCATTCTCGGAAAACAAACAAAAAAACAGTCACATTAGGTAAATTAAAACTATGTAGTGTGAGGAGAATCAAAATAAACGAAACATCATTAGAGCCTACGCGATGTGATGAAGGAAACCAGCTTTCACATAATAACAGCCCCGGCTGGGGAGAACAATGAGAAAGGGCAGAGAGAACCCTGTAAATAATACCACGCCAAATTCCCCAAATGAGTTAAAACACATAAAAGTACGAAGAGTGCTTCTTTTCAATTCAATGCCCTTGAATTCAGAATTAGAAAGGAAACCCAGATAGAGAATAGAAAGATAGACGATACAGATGGAGAGAGTGTGGTGGGGAAGCAAGGGAAGGATGAAAGGGGTGTAAAGGAAGGAAAAGAAAAAAGGAAGGGAGAGAGAGTGACAGATGTTCAAAGACACAGATACAAAGTCTACAATGGTTGTAGAGATAGGCATGTGCAAATTGTCGCAGGGAGTGTGGAAAAATATCGGAACCACGGAGACACAGGTGGAGTCAGAGAAAATATACAAACCCGCACAGAGAAATAAACATACGCAACCACAAACACACACGTGCTACTTTAAACACGAAAAGACACCAAGTCCCTGTCGGTACAAATCACAGATGTGCTTCCGAGTTACTGAGGCACGGTGCAAATTTGTCAGTGCCCTTAGCATCTGTGGCCCACGTGCACGGATATTCAGTGGAAGAAGCATTACACAGCCTGTATAATTCAGCACGATCTGTGATAATACCAGAAGAAGGGATCTCATGTGAAATCACTAGACTGAATTGCACGTAGGATTCAAGGAAGAAGCCCAGTCTGCTGCATTCACTCGGTGGGGTGGCAATATGGCTGAGCCACCAACCCGTGGCACGCCCATCCATCGTAGACAGTTCCTGGTTTGCTACCTGCCTTGGAAAAAGCTCCTCCCCTACCACCACTTTAAAACAGGCTAGCTCCAAAACTAGCCCTGGCATCTATTTACGGTCATTTTCTTATCTATTTACCTCCTAGAAAAATCATTGCAAGACCCTTTCCTCAACATTTTCCTATGCCTTAAATTTGGGGCAACACGTTTTAAGACGACCTCGTTATAGGCAAGTCCCCAGACGTTTCCTAATCTGAGTTGCCCAGAGTGCACACACCAATCTGTTGCCCCATTGCCGCTATAGGGATACCGTACTGGACCACAGTGTCTTTGACATGCACACAGTAGGATACAGGGCAGCTTGAGGGGGCCAAAGGGTTCCGACTGTTTTCAGAATAATTTGCTTAGAACACCTGTTTCTCCTGTGTTTGTGGGTCAGGGGGACGGTAGTCAGAGGAGGACAAGACTCCCGCTCCAGAGCTTCAGAGGTCTGCATAGGAGCAGGGACAAAACCGGGCGATAGATTTTCAAAGCTCAACTGCTTTGACACCGAGCAGGAGGGGTAGAATGCATATTGCAGGCACCACAACAGATTCAGGAACTTTGACTGTCAAACCCTCTTCCCTGAAACAACATAGCTCTTCTCACAGAAGCTGTGCTGACCAGAGTCTATACGGGACAGCAATGTTAGCACTCTAGTAGCGTGTGGTCAACATGGATGCTCGTGTTGGAACTGTTTCATCTGGGAACAGGAAAGAAAGTTCTGCCTCCGACACTGAAATCCTCCTGCCCCATCCTTGACAGAGGCAACCCCTTGTCTTGTGCAGACACACGTGTTCCTGGGAAGCAGCCTCCCACTCGCGAATGAAAGCTGTATGTTTTGTCCTCCTGTGTGAGGCTTGCAAAACATATTCCGCAACTATATTCGCTTTACGTTCTAAACCTTAGGCAAACTATGCTGAAGAGGCCACAGAAAATTTAGGGGCCCTGGGCTCCAGATACAATCTGCAGTGCCAATCACGAGGGAGAATAGAGCCTCACTAGACTTTGCAAGAGCACAAAATGCACTCGTACTGTTGTTAGCTACATACGTTATTGGCTCCTCACCTAACACAGAATCTTGGAGAAAAGCTTAAAACAACTAAAGATGTAAACATCAACAAGAGTGTCCATATCCTGGGTCATCAAGTGACAAGAGAGTCCATGGATGGATTCTCCAACAATCTTATATTCCACTAATCCACCCCCTTTCCCCTCACTTCTGTAAGTTTCTGTTTTCCCTTAGTCATCTCTGCCAAAAGCGTATCCTGAATGCCTTCCCACATGCCTCTGTCACCTTTCCCACAGTCCCTCCATACACCTTACATGCCCATTTCTTCTCACGTTGATGTTTCAGAAGTCCTGAGAGGCTGATTGTCCCAGAAAAGGATCATGCATTCACCTTTAAAAGAACATGTGGATTCAACACGGAAGCGAACTTTAAGATTTCCATCATCCTGTGCTTAGCTACTGTGTATGATGATACCCAAAATGAAGGATTTTGGAGGTCCCAGCAAACTGGGCCCTGGAAACCCAGTAACCCCTTTCCTTGAACTATCTCTGCTTCCACAGGACGAAGTCAGCCTCCAACTAAGCTGTCTTTTGCTTTTACCTCTCCCACTCTGTCCTGTAGGAAGAATCCCAACACATCCCACACCCATTCACTCTACAACTTTAGAGGCCCAGCTCCAACGCAGACTGGTTATTTCCATTAAGAGAATAAAGCACGTGGATTGATCAATTCATTATGACACCCGAATAAAGTGGATAAACATACACACACACACACACACACACACACACACAAAGACACACACACACACACACACAGACACAGAGTCACACATCCTTGAGAATGTTTATTTTTCATTCCATACAATCCACATTTACCCCCTCTTCCTGAATTTTTGTGACTCGATCTCTTTTTCCTTTAGTTCCTGTGCATAAGACCATGCTGAGTACTGCCGTCCTGCATATGGCTGTAACTTTTTAGGAGTTCTGCTGTATTAGGTAAAATCTGATGCTCCATCATATTCAACTCAACAACTGGGAGTCCCCTAGAGAAACACAAACTCATGTTAAAACGCATTTTCTCTGAGCCATACTTTGAAATGTTTCAATTGTGGGGCCCGCTGAGAAAAGGATATCCCTTCCCCATTTGTGATCCCTTAAACTTCCTCCTACCACGTGTTACAAACTGTTCTGCGCAATCCCTGCCCCATTCCCAGTATTGTCTGTGAGGGGAGTCAGCTAACAAGATGCACTGGGCCCTAAAAGCACACACAAGTCTGATGGGGCAACAGCTTAAGGAAATCCATCAATCTAAACAGTCCTTTGTGGTTTGGGGCAAGGATGACCAGGACGCACATTCAGGGAGCCCAATCTCATGGGGTTGGTGGGATGACTGCCGGTGGGGTTGACAGCCGTGGAATCAAGTGCCACAGACTGAACTGAATGATTTTCAGCTTTACTTCTCATTGATTCTGGAAATGGACGATTCTTCACTGGGCTTAAGACTCCACAGCTATCACCCGCTTTGCAGTGCAGTCTCTAACGTGCCTTTTCAGCCCAATGCCATGAACGTCCTGGATTCTGTCACTCTGTCTTCCTCTCAAGGAATTTCTACATGTACGAAAGGAGCCTCAGTTTCTACATTTCTGAAATGAGCACCCAGGCTCCCTGAATAGGCAGGTGTGTCAACCCCCTTATACTGCGCATCAAACAGCTCCAGTGCCAACTAACGGCTCACCTGACGTCTCTGTTCCCTCTTCAGGTGGCTTCATCCTCTTGTAGTATTGCAGGGGATTGCGCCACAGGTCCTTACATAGGATCTGTCAGGGGACTCAATCGGGAAAGGCCTCATCAGGGCTCAGAAAGGTGACCCAAGCAGCTGGGAACACACGGGGTCATTCCTCATGTTTCCCAGTGAGGACTCACCTCAGCAATCTTGTTAGATCCTGCGAAGTTGTGGTCAGAGAACCAGTTGAAGAAGTTAAGGCTGCTGTTGTGGTGTCTGCGGCGATAGGCCTCCACTTCATAATCCGGATACCACTCAATTGGAGTGGAATGAGAAGCCCTGTATTCTACAGAGACAGGAGTTTTTGTGGGAAGGGGGCTGGATCCCGTTGGCAATGATCCACCCACCATCTTCCTTCCACTACCCATCCTGGGAGCCACCTGTCACCTGTGATGTTCACCAGATATTCCTTGGTAATCACTTTATTCTGGAAGTAGGGGTTACTCCGAAAGAACAACATGATCTTGCAGAGATGAACAGGATGCTTCTCTTCTCCCACCTGTCAGGACAAGGTGGAGAAAGCTTAGATAGGTTTTCGGGTGAGGTGCTCACTCTTGCTTACAGGAATGAATTATTTCCCTTACCCTCCCCCGCTAAACCCTCTAGCCCCAGTCTTCCTGGCCTCACCTCCAGGCTGACCATGTAGCTCAGCATGTCTTCATCTTCGTCAGTGATCAGGGCTGACATCTGGGGGTGGTTTGCAATCTGATTTAGGTCAAAGAGACTTTACACACGATGGAAGGGAAAGCGAGGAGCAACAGGGAAGAAGGCCTAAGAGCACCCAGAGGCTGGGGTAGGGGATTTCTCAGATCTGCTTCCATGTATGATCTCCTTTCGCCTCCCCGTCCCCGTAAACTAAGGCCTCCTGTGTTCACAGAGGGTGTATGATTCTGAGGCTGACTGCACTGACATGGGGAGGCGCGATTTGCAGAGACTTGCTGGTGTCTGAGGAGTGGCAGAATCTGCTTATAGCCGAAGACGCCCAGTCCCAGATCGGACTAGCAAGGGGCAGCAATCACACTCCCTTAAAAATAGCTTCATTCACTGAAAAACCTCTTCCGCTCTGAACTCGCTTCTGCTCTTCAAAAAGATGCCCCAAACGTCTGCTGCTCGGCATCACCAAGGGTTTCTCTGCCGCATGCAGGACAATAGTACCCACGCCTGCTCCGGCTTTCCACAGCCACACTGGTCCGTGGCAACTCCCCTTTGTTCCCCAAAGAGTCACATCGACGCCGAGCTGCCCATCGGTCACTTACACTTCCCCGAGAGCACCTCTCCACTAGAAAGGCCGAAGAAACACTGAGAAGGATACAACATTGGCCCAGAAGCCAGGGACGCTCTGGATGACGGCGCCTCTGCGGTCTAGGTGGGGCTTGCGCCTCCGCTCCATCTTTTCCCGCTGCCGAGAAAAGGCCTTCCTGGCTTGGGCATTAACCGGCTCCAGCTCCACCTGAACGGCCAGCAGCTCCTCCGGTGCAGACTCTGGGGTCATGGGCCCAGGGCCAGGCACAGCCTGCTGTGCCCGCTGGGCCTCCTCCCGCCGCTCCACGAGGCCCTCCTCCTCCGCCACCACCTCCACCTCCGCCATTATGTCATCCAACAGCAGCACCGCCTCCTCCCCCAAAGCCGCCTGCTCACTCTCCACCCCGGCCGCCCCCTCCTGCACAGCCTCCATCCTGAAGGCGGTGCCCTCCTTGGCACTCGCACACACCAAGGCCTGTGCTGCCCGACCCACGCCACAGAAACCCTGCCGCAGCCTCTCTGGCACCCGGTAGGTCAGCGAGCCCTCAGGGCGCATGCGCCGGGCTTCCAGGCGCCCCCTAAGGGACTGCGCGCGAAGGGCCGGGGGGCCGCACCCAGGCCGACTTCCTCCCGTCGTGGCCAATCAATGGGAGGGCGGTGGGCGTCTCCCTGGGCGGCACAGCCACTGGCGGGCCTGCATCTCCAGCCCCCCCACCCCCCTGCCTTCCCTGCCCAAGCCTCCTCCGAGAAGCCCTTGGAGCTTGTGCCGGGTAGCTAGGCATCCGGGCACACGCGGGCTGCGTGGCCTTTGGAATTGTGGGCATGGCAGCCCTGTGCCCTGACATCCTCAGTGTGGCAAGCCATGAACATCTCTATGTGTCATGAACACAGGAAACATCTCTCTTCGTTAGGCAGGCCAGGTAGATGGTACGGAGGTAATACAGCAGATGCAGAGAACTCTCTCTGGTTGCTGGGGCTAGGGCGGCAGGGGTGTCCTGGGGGAAGTGATCGGGGCGGGCACGTGGGAGGAAAGTCGCCTGCCGGTGCTGAGGTGGAATTGATCTGCTGTAGAGGCCAGAGCCCCGGCACACACTCTCACAGGTCGAGGCAAATAGAGGCTCCGAGTACCATGCTTCCTCCCTGAGGATGCTGTACTCCAAGGAGCATTCCAAAGGGCCTCTTGTCCTATGCCCTGGGCACACCAGAGGCCAGCCGCCAGGTTGGCCATTGTCGGCCTGCGCGCACGCTGTTGTGCGCTGCCTTGACGACCCAGAGGCTCCCGCACCCGCAGCAGCGGTTGCGGTGCCTGTTGGTGGGGCTCTGCAAGCCCAGGGCCGGGGCCTCTGGCTCCCGAGCTCCTGTGCGCAGTTGAGCCTGCTGGGGACCGGAGCCCTTTGGCCAGTGCGGGATCTGCGGGTCCAGCGGACGTCCTCAGGAAACCTGGGTCCACGTAGGTGTGGGACCAGGTTCACAGCAGGGCGACGCGTGGGTCTTGCAGGGAGCGGGTCTGCTGGGGAGCGGGCCCCCAGAGCCTACGGGTGCGGGGCATGGGCTGGGCTGGGCTGGGCTGCGCAGGCCCAGGGTCTGTGGGAGCACCCAGGAGAAAACCGTGTTCAGGCTGGAGGCAATGCTGGAGAGGACGGCCGGGGTACAGAGCAAGGAGGCGGCCTTGGAAGAGGAGGCGGTGCTGAAGGTGGAAGACATCATGGCTGAGGTGGAGGTGGTGGTTGAGGTGGAGCCCGACGTGGGGTGGCAGAAGGAGGGCCAGCGGGCACAGCCTGGCCCTGGACCGAGCACACCGGGGCCGTCAATGGACTCGCTGGAGGTCCTTCACTTGGAGCTGGGCTCCGTGAATGCCCCAGGCCACAGAGCATCTCCGCCTTGTGAGCCAGAGCCATATCCTTGCGGCTGCCGATTTGGGATGGCGGGCAGCAGGGGATAGTCATCGGGCCTCGGGGGGTATGGGGGCTGTTTGGGGGGAGGAGCCAGGTGGGAGGCACGTGGGGTCAGCCAGGAGGCAGGGGATGGGGGACAGCGTGGGAGCCGAGGCCACGTTCCCGCAGCTGTGAGGGCAGCTCGCTTGTAGCAGCCCTGGGAGCACGTGGTAGGGAAGGGGAGCCAGGGCCAGCACTGACAAGGGAGAATCGCGGCGCCAAGGTCCCTTTGCGCACAGCCCAAATTCGAAGGACGCGTTTCCCTGGGAACGTCCCTGGAGGACGGGGAATCTGTATGCCATTACCAGCCATTGAACCACCCCTGCTCTCGGTGCCTGTTTCCAGCAGGCTCACCCCAGAAACACAAGGTGCTTAAGACGGGTTCGCGGCGCATGGGGCTGCCGACCACCTGACGGCGGGCACCAGCTCCGCAGATGCGCATTCATCCAACTGCAGGCGCTGCACTCAAAGGCGTGTAGGCCCTGAGCCTGTATAACTTCCTATGGACCCACGCAATTCCCTTGGAGAGCGCCAGGCACGACCCTGCTGTGGCTTCTAACTACAAGGCTTCCCTCAGGTGGACAGGCCCACCCCTCAGGGAGACTAGGATAAGAGGACACCACACACCCGGACATCAGCGGAGCATGTCCAGCACCCAGCACACAAAGGCCTCCTGCATCTCAGAAACTCAGAGAAGCAGCCGCCTCACACCACCCCCGGTCCCTCCCGTCCCTCAGCTGCAACCACCTGCCCACTTTTTCTGCCTCCCGTCTCTGGTCAGCCCAGGCCGTCTTGGCCGGGTCCACCCACTCCAAAAACCACCACAGTTGTGGCGTTGCCTCCTCGCCAGACAGAGATAGAGGGCCAACAATGAAGGGTGACTGGCCAAATGTCTGGGAGATGGCCCTGTTCCACATTGTCTGTGTTCTTGCGAAATTGCAAGGCGTCACGAGGCTTGCCCACCCAATCCTCTGGAGAGTTCTTGCGCAGAGGTAGATTGTTTGGCACACGAGATGTCGGCGTGGGTCGGAAAGCATGCGGAAGTCCTGCTTTGCTACGTGATGGATTTGCAGGTCAGGCTGGGGAGCCTGGGTCTGTGGGAGGAGTCCAGTGTCTGAGTCAGTTTGAGGTCCCCCTGGGGACCAGGGTTGTCTCAGTGGGAGAGCTGGGAAGGGGAAACTCATGGTTCACTACAGCTAGTAGGCCACCTCAGCCCAGCTAGTTGAGATGGTCCCATTGAATCCATCCTCTTTCTCCTTGATCCGGCAGGTGGAGGAACTCAGCCATCCCGGTTACCGGTGGCAGGATGATTTCCTTTCATCCCAACCTTTATTTCCACAGTGAAATCATCATGAAGGAGCACTGTGTTGGCATCCTCGGTAAGGAATGCCTCCCAGCATGGTAGGGGAGCTGGTGTGTGGGAGGGTGGGACTGGCATGAACCTTCCTGACTCCTCTCCCTGCAGGCTACAGGGTGTCTCATTCCACTGCAGTCCAGCGGTTCTGGGATCACGAAGGTCAAGCCTCCAGCTGCAGGCAGTACACCTCCTACCTGAGCTCATTCAGCTGTTTGGCTGAACATGACTGCCCGGGTTTTGGCAGGATTGCTGAGGTGGGGTTCGCCGTGGGGCATCATGGGAAAGGACCTAGCTGGTCATTCCTTGGTCTCTGGGGAATTGGCTTTGAACTGTCACCTGAACTGTCCTGGACCCACTTCTGCAGTCCCCTAGATCATCAGCCAGGGCCTATGGCTCAATCCATTGCAGTTCTATCCCATGGAGAGAGGGTCAGCCCTAGAGGCGGAACAGAGAGGAGGCCAGGCGAGCAGCTAGGGCTGGGAAGGGCTGGGAACTGAGAGGCCTTTTGACCTGGATCTGGGCCCCACATGGAGAACCCAAGGATCCGGGAGGAGACTGCAGTGAGCAATCCCAGGCAATCCGTGGGTTGGGGGAGAGAGGCCCATCAGGGACATGTAACACCCACATTTCAGGATCGGGGCACCTTAAGCCACTATGATGCATATGTGGCTAAAGTCAGTGGGTGACAAGCAGGGCTTAAGGGATAGCTGTCTCATCATTACTCGCCAGCTCCCTGCCCTGCGGTAAGACCTGCTACCACCTGGGGCTCATTTTGAGATCAACCAGGGCCCCCTTTTTCTCCACGAGGATGTCCACCTGAGGCCCACCTAGGTCTGTGTCCTTTCACAGTGTTTCTCCCAGGCCAGTCATGTTTTGTTTCCATGACCCCGGCTGCCTTGACATGTGTAATCCTCTCTGCCATCCTCACTCCCGCTGCCCTGCCTTCCCATATAAGTTAGTCCACCTCACACGGAATCTGGAGGACCACACTGGGCTCCAGTGTGAGGCAATGTTTTATTTTCTTCAGGTACATGTATTTTAGGGCTACCTCCAGGGCTGGGAATGTGAAGAGATTGCCAAATGGCTGGGGACCTTCAGTGTGTGTCCAGGGAGGGAACCTGGCTGGGAATTAAGGCCCACCTGAGTAATGGTATGGACATCCAGTGTCAGTTATCTTGATAAAGGCCTGCTTTCTTACATCACCTACTATTAATATAAAAGTTAATTCCTTAGAATATTGAAAAAACAAATCTATGTATGAAGAAATATAATTTGTTCATAATTGTATGGAAAAAGCTGCCGACCGATCCATTTTCCATTACAATTCTTATGGGAGACTTGAAGGGTTTAGCAAGTTTTAAGATGCATTTCTATTCGTCTACTCCTGCCAGTTTTTATGATCATTTTTGTAATACAAGGACATGGCCTCTGGAAAGTTTTTGAGGGACTTTCAGCTTCTTTTAGGGTAGATACTTGTAAATTTTGAATTGTTTTCCCCTGCGGTTCTTTTGAGGTTACTCTTTGTACTTTCTTTGGGGGGTGTTAAATTTGTTTTCTTGTTTTGCCCTTGTGGAACTTTCGTTTTCAAGGAATTGTGTGTGTGTGTGTGTGTGTGTGTGTGTGTGTGTGTGTGTTAGATATGGGAGTTAGCCTGTGAGCATGTTTTCGAATATGGATTTTTTTTTTACTTATCAATTTTGGGGGTGTGTGTGTGTGTGTGTGTGTGTGTGTGTGTTTGTTTCTTTTCAGTTGGAGTCTCACTGTGTCATCCAGGCTGCAGTCAAGTGGCAAACTCTCAGATCACTGCAACCTCTCCCTCCAGCTTCAAAGGATTCCTCTGCCTGCTGATGCTGCTTTTCCCCCACATGAGGAGAACATGCAGACAGTTATAAAAAATTCTGTGCCTGGGTAGGTATGAAAATATAATTTCAATGAATGGTAAATTTCACAAATACAGTTTCACATTTGTATTTTGCAACATTTTGAAAATTTTAGTTGCTGACACATGAAATTCTGTGTTGACTTTCATGTTAAATGTACACTTTTGAATCAATTTCAACAGTGACAACTAGCGAAGGCCAAGCGTTAGTTCAGGAAGCTGAAAGCAGTCGTTCTGTAAAAAAAACCATATTTATTGAAGGTATATTTAGAGAGATTTTAGAAGGCTTCAGTCAATATTTTTGTTTCTGTTGCTCTGGTGTTTTATCATACAGGGACCAGACTGTAGCATCAGTAGCTATAGTTACAAGGCTACCAAAGACTCAGTGCTATAGAAATTATTATTGTGGAAATTGGCAGCCTGGCTGTCTGTTTGAGGAGACTAGAGGACTTAGGAGTTTCCACCCAAAGTACAAGGGCCTGGTTTAGTGGGTGGCCTTCTTTTGCTGAAGTAGATAAGATCCAGGAGAAGGGTGGATTCACTGTAGTAGCCAGGGCTTTGAGACTGGTAAAGCTTATTTGTCTCCTAGTGCCATTGCCAGATATTGGTCTGTGCATAAAGGCACTTCCCGGACTCGCTGACTCCTGTAAATTCAAATGTAGAATTTAGATTTAAATCCCTATTCCAACTTCTTAAACTTAGATCTAATAGGTGGGTAATAAAATATGTATTCAGAAGAAAGGGAGACGTCAGGTAGGTATATAAGCAAATCATCCTGGTCAAATACCTTCAAAAATATTACTACAAAAAATTACTGAAGATTAAACCTTAAAAAAGTTATTTTAATTGGAGAAACAGAAAAAGGTTGGAGTCATTTTAAACCCTGAGGTGTAAAGGTACTGTTATTAGATTACAGGAATTATATACAATGAATAATTTGTGGGAAGAGCAGCATACTATCTCTTTAGTATGGCTAGAGATTCATAAGCCGTGTAAGAAAACTCAGAGATTGAGAAGAAAATGTTTTCAGGGATTTTGTTCTGTTATGAAAGACTTTTAAAATGGTTTCCTACTGATCAATGATTCACTTATATTTATCACTGAGGCATATGCTATATACCCTTCTATATAGGGATGAAGTTATAGTTTCTATCATGTAGATACAAAAACATGTGACTCTGTACCACATTTGCATTAGAGCCTTTGGCATGATTAATGAAGCAAACGGTGGAACTGTCTACGTCAGGTTACAGGTGGGCACAGCTGGAAGCTTCCGTCCCTTGCACTTTAACATTTCTGCATTCTCATCTGTCTCTCCTGGAAAGAAAACGGACTATAACTATCCTAAAGGACATATGTTACATGAAGACACTAAGTATTGAGATAAGACCATGAGTTGTCTTATCAGTGTCTTGGCATTACATTTATATGTATAACTTATACAAAAAATCCAGTTTATTTTATCACGATTACATATTACATCCCACATTTATGTATTTTATTATCTTTCCAGTGACTGTTTTGTTTTGTTTTGTTTTGTTTTGTTTTGTTTTGAAATCTCGTTCCACTCTGTCACTCAGTCTGGAATGCAGTGGCCTGATCTCAGCTCACTGCAACCTCCATCTCTTGGGTTCAAGGATTTTAAAAATTAGTAAAGAATTTTCAATTGAGTTAGCAGAAGTAAAAATAAACTTAAGTGGAAATAGAACAACAAAATTGTAAACACTATTTCTCAGCAATTCATAGATTATCATACTAGGAATTGAAATGTACTTAGAACTCAATGATACCGCCAATATTAAAGATTAAATCTGTGAGTAGCAAGAAAAGTGATATTACAATAGGAGTTTACAGACAAATATTTCTCTAATAACTTGAAAATTAATGTACTAGATATTTCAATAAAGAATTAGAAAAGAAACAACAGAATCAATTCTGAAAAACTAAAGTGTGGGAATAATGATGTAGACAAAATTAGTAAAACATACAAAGCTAACCTTTGCTTGTTGGAGAAATATAATAAATGATGCAACCGTCAGTCAAGTTTAGAAAAAAAGGGAGAAAACATAGATAAAACTAAGAATTTAAAAGGTACACAACCATAGATACAGCATAGATTAAGAAGCTAATAAGGAAATATCGTTAACACCTTAACCTACAAATTTGAAAACTTAGGTCAAATAGACAGATATTTATAATCTGTCTATATATATAGACATATATATCGCTTTCTATATATATTTTCATATTTATACATAATTTTTATATTTGTATCTTACATTTATATATATAATATATAAACATAAGCTATGTATATAGCTTAGTAAAATTGATACAAGAAGACATATATAATCTGTATAGTCTCATAAATGTTCAAGGAAATAAAGGATTCTTCCTAGAGATAAAACGCTAGGCTCAGATTTTTTTCCCCAGGCAGAGCATTTCAATATATATGAAGAATTCTATAGAATAAAAAAGGGAAAATCCTAAACTCATTGTGTGAAGCAAGCAGAACTTTGACGCCAACAAGACATAAACTGAGTGTAGAAAAAGATATGAAAATTAAGGCCATTCTCATTCCTGAAGCAAATCGTAAAATCCCAAATGTAACAAGATTTATGTGGATTCTTTGAGGGTTAGAAGGAAATTTCCTTCTGCCAGATCCTGCTACTCTGGGACAACCCACACACAAATTTATGTTTTGAGATTTTCTGTAATACCCATGCAATATGGAACTGGCTTGACAATCTGTGTGATAGCCAGCCTGTGGCCATGACTTCTTAGGGACACAAATCTTTTCTGTTTGCCTCCTTGTTCTGCTCAGCTCCAAGAGAACTTTGACCAAAGTTCCTTGAGCTTGGAAATAGGAATGGGTTTGCTTCTGTTTCACCCTTACTGTGAAGATACAGTCCGGTGGAATCCAGATCCACTGGGAGAGAGTCGGCTATTAAACTCTTTTCATGAGTAGTCCCTAGGCCTTGACTGGAGTCTTTCTTGAGATATGAGGCTAATAGTTCCTTCTTGGTCCACCACTTTTTGATATAATTAATGCTTCTTCTATTGGGAATTTTTAATTGTTTGGGAAGTGACATGGTTTGGTGTGTCTCCATTCAAATCTCAGCTTCAATTGTATCTCCCAGAATTCCCTCGTGTTGCGGGTGGGACCCAGGGGGAGGTAATTGAATCATGGGGGTCGGTCTTTCTCATGCTATTCTTGTGACAGTGAAGAAGTCTCACGGGATCTGATGGGTTTTTCAGGGGTTTCTGCCTCAGGTTCTTCCTCATTCTCTCTTGGCATTGCCATGTAAGAAGTGCCTTTATTCGTATACCATGATTCTGAGGCCTCCACAGCCATGTGGAACTGTCAGTCCAATTAAACCTCCTTTTATTCCCAGTTTCAGGTATGTCTTCTTCAGCAGCGTGAAAATGAACTAAGACAGGAGGTTTGGTCCAAATAACCTTGGCTTCCATGACAGAAGATAGAAGTTGCTGAAATGTTTAATCTTTTCTGTGGCAACCTTTTGCAGTGGGTCTTATTTTTCTCATTTTTTTTTTCTTGTTCTCTTCACCTTTGTTTCTCACAGGGTACTCTCGCTCTGTAGACCAGGCTGGAGCGCAGTGGCAGGATCTCAGCTCAACACATCCTCCGCCTCCCAGGTTCAGCCTCTGCAGTAGCTGGGATTACAAGCATGCATCACCACGCTCAGCTAATGTTTTGTATTTTTAGTAGAAGCCAGGCTTCACCATGTTGGCCAGGCTGCTCTCCTACTACAGATCTCAGGTGACCCGCCCGACTCAGCTTCCCAAAATCCAAAGTGCTGGGAATACAGGTGTGAGCCACCGAGCCCAGCCAACTCCAGTACTTTTTACCTAAGCCAGTGGACGAGTGGAGTTGCCTTTATTTTTTTTTTTTCTTTTTTCAGTCATGGTCTCGCTGTGTCATCCAGGCTGGAGTGCAGTAGTCTGATCTCGGCTTACTATACAATCTCTGCCACCCATGTTCAGGTGGTTCTCCTACCTCAGCCTCCCAAGTAGCTGGGACCACAGGAAAGTGCCACTAGGTCTGGCTAATTTTTGTATTTTTGGTAGAGACAGCTTTTTGCCATGTTGCCCATGCTGGTCTCCAACTCCTGACCTCAAGTGACCCACCAACCTCGGCCTCCCAAAATGTAGAAATTACAACAAGAGCCACGAAGCCTGGCCTGGAGTTGTGGCTTTTTGACATAAGAAATCTGTGGAGGGAAAAGCTTGGTTTGTGGGAGCACCTGAGCTCAGTTTGGCTCAAAGGTTTGGGATACCTATTATTGAGTGGCAGTGATGGTATGTTGTTAATGTACAATATCTTCCTGTATATAGCATACGTCTATGCTCATCAGATATTTTCAGGTAAAAAAAGATAGTCTTTCCAGTAGTTTGAGCCATTATAGCAATTTCCACCAGGGGATTTCAAAGTCCAATTCCAGTTGTGGGCAACAGTGATTAACATAATGGTAATTAATGAGAAGAGATTTTGAGACGTCCAGCCACGTTTCCATGTCAGTGCCTTGTTTGCAGTATTATGAAGAAAGAGTGCATTGGACTAGATACTAAGAAAAACATTGAATTATTTTTCTTGCCTCTATAACATCAAAGGACAATTAGAGATATAGAAACTATGGAACATTTCACAGCATGGCTTGACATTTCACTGAACTTTTATCCTTTTAACCATGTACAAAGTTTGTTACCTATGCAAAGGTAGGACTGCAAAAGGAAGACAGAGGTGGAGTCAGAGGTCACAATCCACAGCAAGGTGACACTCTTGTTGATCGCACCTTGAAAGCCAAATTAGAGCGAGAATTAACTTTCCGGTTGCCGTAAGAGAACAAGGAGAATGAAGCTACCAGCAGTTAACAGTATTGGATTAATTGAAATGAAGGTGGACAGAGTTTTTTGGCTTTCCATCAAATTGAGTAAAGAAAAGGTAACCGCTTATCTAATTTCACACACATACAATTATGGATTAATTAAAAGATTACACAACCCATATATTATGGGTTTCTCATATAAGTGTATATATACATGGGCAAACTCACAGTGTGCCAGTATGTGTCTATATCCAAATATATACAAATCCATGTCCAACAGTTAGCAAGTGAGAAATTCTCTTCCATTTCACCATTCCCTTTCCTAGAATTTTTTCATAAATATAATTTTTCCATATATTTGAAGCCTACTCTCTGGAGGCATGTAATGCATGCATGCAGTAAACCTGTGCGATATCACAATGTTGGTGTCAGAGAAAACTATAACACCGATGTTATAAAAGATTAATTGTGAGGAGAAAGTTATGCTTCGCATTACTACAAATACACAAGTATGATTTCATCCAAAGCTGAAATCAGTCAATATAATTTGTTTTTAATGTTTTATTTAAAATCCTTAATTTCAACAGGATTACTCAAGAAAAATAACGTTATTGGTATTAAATAATGTTGACGTATTCCCTTTAATTGTTGATTATTTAAAATGTCAGTAAAATAGTAAATGGCACTGTACAATGTAGTTTCATGAAGCATTCTTTATAGTTTTCATAAAATTGATAGTCTCCATGGAATATTTTAAGACTGAGGAAGTTCCATATATCATTTGATTGTACTTTCACTTTATTACTTGCTTGCATGTCATAACTGATGGAAATAAAACTATGTATATTTACAAATATGAAAAACATGGATTTTTGTTTACGTTTTCTAGTGAGACACAGTTACCAATAATTTTATCTATATAGGAAAATTTTTACAAACCCAAAGTTCTAATGTTTCTTTTCTTTGAAGTTTCGTATTTCAGTCTAGGTATGTAATGGAATTGGCTGTGATCATTCTTTGATTTCACTGTTATTTGTGAGTTTCTGATATGCTTTTAGGAATGAATAGAGTTTAACGCTTGCTTTCTTCTTCTTCCTCTACCTTTGGACCTGTATATGCGATGTCTGCAGTAATGTGCAGTGCTATCTGACATACGGTTGCTGAAAGATACAAGCATATATAGAATTCTTCGTTTCAGTGAATCTTTAGGAACAGACAAGTAACCTGAGAGATAATTACGGTATGAATGTAAGCAAGCAGTTTATCATAGAGGTACAATAAGGGTGAAAATAAATTTAAAAATACATGCCTCATCCAAAACATGAGGTAGTAAAAATGAAAAATTTAAGTTGGCATAAAGAACACTTTAAAAGTTCTGATTCTTTCTGGTGAGAGCAAGGAGCTCAGAAACCATGAGAAAGTCCTTCAAAGCTGCATGTTGGATTTGCAGGTCAGGATGGAAAGCCTGGGTCTGGGGGAGGGTGCTAAGGTCCTGGTCAGGTTGAGGTCCTTCTGGGGCTCAGGTGTGTCTCAGCGGGAAAGCTGGGAAGGGGAAACGCATGCTTCACCCCGGCTAGAATGCCACCTCAGCCCACCTAGATGAAATTGCCCCTTCACAGCCCTGTTTCTCCTTCTTGGACAGGCAGGTGGAGGAACTCGGCCACCCTGAATACAAGGGGTAGGAAGAAGTTTGCCTTTCATCACAACATTTACTTCGGAAACAAAGTGATGACTAAGGAGTATTGCGTTGGCATCCTCCCTGAGGAGTAGAGGGGGTAGTACCTCGGGAGCTGGGCCTGGCGTGCGCCTTCCTGACTCGTCTCCCTCCAGGATACAGGGCGACTGGCTCCACTGCAGTCCAGTGGTTCTAGGGTCATGCAGGTGAAAGCCCGAGTTTCCCGCAGGTCACTGCCTGAGCTTCTTCAGCTGGTTGTCTGACTGTGAGGGCCCAGGTTACGGCACGATTGCTGAGGTGGGGCAGCTATGGGGCATCATGGCAAAGGACCTTCTTCGACATTCCTTGGCATCGGAGGAATTGGCTTTGAACCAGAACCTGACCTGTCACGACCAATTTGCCCAGTCCACCAGATCATCAGCCAGGGCCTGTGGCTCTATATTCTGCAGCACTACCCAAGGGAGTTAGGCCCTCAGAGAGGGAACAGAGAAGAGGCCAGGGAAGCAGCCCAGGGCTGGGGGTTGACAGGCCTGTGGGTCCTGGAGTTAGGACACACATAGAGAAGCCAAGGCTCAGGGAGGAGACTGCAGTAAGGAAACTCAGGCCATCATGGGCTGGTGGAGAAATGCCCATCAGGGAACTGTGGTACCCACATTTCACGATGGGGGAACCGTAATCTGCTTAATAGGCACAAGTAGCTAAGGTCAATGGGTGGGAAGCCAGGGTCAAGAGATAGCTCCCTCATCATCCCTTGCTAGCTACTTCCCTGTCCTGAGGCTTGCTTCTACCTGGGGTTCAGTTTGGGCTCAACCAGGGATCTCTCACCCTCCACACAGATGCCCACCTGAGGCCTCTCTAGGTCTGCGTCCTCCCAGAATGACTCTCCCAGGCCTGCTAAGTACCGTTTGGATGACACCACGCTCCACTGACATACTTGGTTCCCTCCGCCATCCTCATTCACCCAGCAACTCCCCACCCCAAAAAAGGCAGGCCACCGCACAGGGAATCTGGAGGACCACACAGGGCTCACAGGGGAGGAAATGTGAAGAGATGGCAAAACAGAACAGGACATTCCGTGTGTTTCCAGAAGGCAATCTGGCTGGATATTAAGGCCCACCTCAGTATTGGTGAGGACACCCAGTGTCTCTTGGCCCTGAGCTTGTGCACACAAACACGCACATTGTCTAAACGGCATTGACATCACTACTACCTGAGTCATCCTCAGATTCTATACAACCCCTGTAAAAATATCAATGACACATTCTTCTTAGAAAAACAATCTGGGAATCCCAAATTTGCTATGAAATGGCAGAAGATCCTGAAAACCCAGAGCAATCCAGTAAAAAGCACAAAGCTGGAGCCACCACACTACCTAACTTCATGATATACTACTACAAAACTTTTTGTACCAAAATACAATAGCACTGGCAGAAAAGCAGAGACTAGAGCTTAGGAAAAACAACAGGAGCCCAGAACTAAGTCACTGCATTTGCAGCTCACAGCCTTTTCCCAAAGAAGCAAGAACGCCCAATGCAAAATCAAGTATCTTCTATAAACTAGGTTGGGGAAATCTGAATAGCCACACAAAGGATTTTACAAGTGGATTATTTATCACCAAACTCCAGTGTCAGATGTGAAACGATAAAAATAGCAGAAGAGATCACAAGGAAGAAGCTCCATGGCGTCCGTGTGTGCAATGATGGTCTCAAAGTGACTGCAAGAACACAGTAAACACCATCAAAAATAGAGAATGGAATCATATCAAACTAAAGTGCTTCACCACACCATAGAAAACTCAACATACAGAAGGGGCATCCTACAGGATGGGAGCAATGATTGGATCACCATACATCTGTTCATGGGGGAATAGTCACAGTACATAAGGAACTCCCAACAACTCAATAGCATGAAAACAAATGGGCGAAGGCTGCGAAGACTCATTTGTGAAACTGAGACATACAGTTGCCCAGAAGACACACTAAAAATTCCTCATTATCCCCAATCCATCACGAAAATGCAAATCAAAAACACAATGAGATTTCTTCTCACTTCAGTCAGAATGCATATTATCCGAAAGACAAACAAACAAAAAAAAAAAAAGAAAGAAAAGAAAACCCTAATCTCTGGTGAGGAGGCAGAGAAAACGAATTC